>NC_000003.12:43646363-43949393 GCF_000001405.40 Homo sapiens | reverse complement strand
AGACATACTGTTCTTATTTGTACTTGAATCAGCCTGGTCTCAGAACACAGCCCTTTCACAGGTGTCCAAAGAGAGCCACTCCCACCAACATCTCAAGTTTTGCAGACCTCTGGGTTCTGGGAATCACATGTCCTTGCGGTCTCTGTGACCTCCCCTTCCCTCTCTTCTCTTCCCATTGTCTCTGTTTCTACACCCCATCCCTCTGGATTGCTCCAGAAGCTCTCAATTCTCCTTCACCCTACAGAGCTGCTGCCTTTAGACCCAAGGAGCCAAACCAAGCCCATAGGTTGTTGGCAGAACCGGGGACCCTCCATTGAACAGGACCCACTTTCCTCAGAAGAATGTGGGTTTTTATCTGTACTTCACCCATCAGGAGAGCAGGGCTTACAGGCGTGATATTGGGCTGCCCAAGGTCACAGGGCTAGTAAGTGGGTACGGCAGACTCTGTCAGGGCCCGTGGGTATCCCCTCAACATTCACCTTTCCACACTGAAAAATGCTAAGGGAAATCCCCCGAACTTTCTGCCTCAGGGTTCCCCTGCCTTTCCAAGGGACACAGGACGAGTTGAAGTGCCAGAGAGTGAATGTCCTCAACCGATGATGGAAGGGTGTTGGAGGACACATATCCCAGTTGTTGCCTCTGGCTGGGAGTGGGAACATCTCTGAGCCTCACTTCCTGGAGTGGTAACTGTTTCATAATTCACTCTAACTTATGCCTCCCCTCACTTTCCACTCCTGACTGATGTTTCTTGGGGTCTTCTACCAAGTCAGCCTCCAACTCCTTGTTTCACAGTCTGTGTCTGGGGGAATCTCAAAATAAGGCAGTAGCGGAGCTGGAATTTGAAACCATGTTTGGCCAACCCCCAAACAATGCCCTTTCCAATATACCACATGTGCCCTGCAGCATCTCTTGGGCATTTCTGCCTGTTGTCTGGTTGCCAGTGCCTCCTGGTACTTGCAATGCTCTTCTGTTCCTGACTAGACAGTGCCCCTTCCCCAGGGTTCTATCTAGCTTCCAGTCACCCTCCCTTTCCCAACATTCTGGCCTGGCTTGGAGACCGCATGCTGAGCTAGGAGCTCTGTCCTGAGACGGTGGGAACCCTCCTCACACTGAGACTGTGGGGGTGTAATTATTCATGGCTGTGGTTTGCCTGTGGCCTGGTGTTTCCCAAGCTCTTTGCAACTGTTTAGATGCAACCTGCCCAACATTTCTCTGATGTGGCTATAGGAAATTGCCTCTTTGTTTTCTTGGCCCTCTACCCAATGCCTTCGAAATGGGCCACTCTTGGAAGGCTCATCTGTCTGCAGTTATACAACCTGCCCACCTCTCCCACAATAAAAATGATTCAAAACTAGAGCATTCCTGAGGAGGGGCGTCGATCATTTTTTTGGCAGGCCCTGTAAGGGTGACCAGCACAGCCAAAGGGTATACAAATAAGGGACACCTGACACCATGTGTGGTGGCTGGAGCTTATTCCAGATTCATATACTGTTTGGCTGTGTGGGATCCCTCCCGGGGCTGTCTGTGTCACAGGACAGTTCTTAGACACTTTCTGTCCCTAATCAGAAAGGGGTTAGTTCCTGGGGTCTGTGTCTAGGGGATCTTGGAGGTGAAGGTGTGAGAAGGTATCAGTGGTGTTGCGGGAGAGACCTAAAGGGCTGGACACAGGACGACCTTGTAAAGCACAGCCTTTGTGTGGAGGTGGCCTAGCAAACCCAAGTGAAGCTTTACCAGGAAGTTCATTAAGCTCCTCCCACTTGTCAACTGGTCTCACAGAGGAGGGTCCCTGTCAGAGATCAGAGATCATGTGGGCCTTGCCCAGACTCCTGGAGGACACAGCCTTAATATTGCCCCTTCCACAGTGAAGAGTAATGTGGAAACTTGGAGTTAAGCCTCTAAGTGAGGCCAAGGGCTACTTGCAGTTTGAATAATGAGATGCTTCCTAACTCAATGCAAAAAACCACCAGGTGACTTAGTTCACCGGGAGCAGAGTGCACTAACTGGGGACTTTAGCTGGGACATGATTACTGAATATATAAATGTATTAAAAATGCAATATAGTTTGGCTGGAACATCTGTGTGTTTGGCCATGAGTGACGGTCTAACAAGAGACTACATTAGAAAGAGGGTTCTGGATCCCCATGAATTCATACTTGCTGAGAATATAATGAGTTCCTTAGTTTTTCTAAAGTGTTCTGAAACATCAAATCCTAAATTCACTTCTAGGGCTGTTTCTTTAATGATTGATGGATGTTCTGCATACAAAGGATATGCAGTAGCTACCTGGCCCTGGTCTCTTCTCCTGTTCAAATAGATCATCCTCTTAGATTCCTGTTGGGTGTGTTACAATGGTGTTAATAATCTAGACTATTAAAAAGAACATCAGTCAGCATGGCTGGTGGGAATGTAAAAAGGTACAGCTGCATTTTGTGGAAATCAGAAAGGAGGAAAAGTGTAAATATTAAATTGTAAATTGTAAATAAAGCCACATAAAGGCTGCACTTTATAAGGTCATCCTGTGTCCAGCCATTTGGGTCTCTCTCTCACCACCCCTGATACCTTCTCACAACTTCACCTCCAAGACCTCTCAGACACAGGCTCCAGGGACCAACTCCTTCATGATTACACCATCAATTTTGTGGTTCCTCAAAAAGTGGAAACCACTTTTGTGGTTCCTCAAAAAGTTAAGCATAGAATTGTCATATGACCCAACAATTCCACTCCCAGGTATATATACCCCAAATAATTGAAAGCAAGGACTTGATCAGATATTTGTACACTAATTTTCATAGCAGCATTATTGATAATATTCAAAAGGTAGAAACAAATCAAATGTCCACAGATGAATGATTAACAAAACATGATACATAGAGGTGGCTGGCAAGGTGGCCGAATAGGAAGAGCTCCAGTCCACAGCTCCCAGAGACATCAACCCGGAAGTTGGGAAATTTCTCCATTTCCAAATGAGGTACCCGGCTCATCTCACTGAGACTGGTTAGACAGTGGGTGCAGCCCATGGAGGGTGAGCAGAAGCAGGGTGGGGTGTCACCTCACCTGGGAAGCACTAGGGGTCAGGGAATTCCCTCCCCTAGCCAATGGAAGCCGTGAGGGATTGTGCCATGAGGAACAGTACACTCTGGCCCAGATATTACACTTTTCCCATGGTCTTGGCAACCCGCAGACCAGGAGATTCCCTCAGGTGCCTACACCACCAGGGCCCTGAGTTTCAAGCACAAAACTGGGCAGCCGTTTGGGCAGATACTGAGCTAGCTGCAGTTTTTTTTTTCATACCCCAGTGGCACCTGGAACACCAGTGAGATAGAACCATTCACTCCCCTGGAAAAGGGGCTGAAGCCAGGGAGCCAAGGGGTCTAGCTCAGCAGACCCACCTCCACACAGCCCAGCAAGCTAAGATCCACTGGCTTGAAATTCTCACTGACAGCACAGCAGTCTGAAGTTGACCTGGGATGCTTGAGCTTGGCGGGGGGAGGGGTGCCTGTCATTACTGTGGCTTGTGTAGGCAGTTTTCCCCTCACAGTGTAAACAAAGCCACTGGGATGTTCAGCTCCACAAAGCCGTGGTAGCCAGACTGCCTGTCTAGATTGCTCCTCTTTGGGCAGGGCATCTCTGAAAGAAGGGCAGCAGCCCCAGTCAGGAGCTTATAGATAAAACTCCCATCTCCCTGGGACAGAGCACCTGGTGGAAGGGGCAGCTGTGGGTGCAGCCTCAGCAAACTTAAACATTCCCTTGTAGGGGAGGAGCCAAGATGGCCAAATAGGAACAGCTCCAGTCTACAGCTCCCAGCGTGAGCGACGCAGAAGACAGGTGATTTCTGCATTTCCATGTGAGCTTTGAAGAGAGCAGTGGTTCTCCCAGCACACAGCTGGAGATCTGAGAACGGGCAGACTGCTTCCTCAAGTGGGTCCCTGACCCCTGACCCCCGAGCAGCCTAACTGGGAGGCACCCCCTAGTAGGGGCCGACTGACACCTCACACGGCCGGGTACTCCTCTGAGACAAAACTTCCAGAGGAACAATCAGACAGCAGCATTCGCAGTTCACGAAAATCCGCGGTTCTGCAGACACCGCTGCTGATACCCAGGCAAACAGGGTCTAGAGTGGACCTTTAGTAAACTCCAACAGACCTGCAGCTGAGGGTCCTGTCTGTTAAAAGGAAAACTAACAAACAGAAAGGACATCCACACTGAAAACCCATCTGTACATCACCATCATCAAAGACCAAAAGTAGATAAAACCACAAAGATGAGGAAAAAACAGAGCAGAAAAACTGGTAACTCGAAAAAGCAGAGCACCTCTCCTCCTTCAAAGGAATGCAGTTCCTCACCAGCAATGGAACAAAGCTGGACGGAGAATGACTTTGACAAGTTGAGAGGAGAAGAAGGCTTCAGTTGATCAAACTACTCCAAGCCACAGGAGGAAATTCAAACCAAAGGTAAAGAAGTTGAAAACTTTGAAGAAAATTTAGACGAATATATAACTAGAATAACCAATACAGAGAAGTGCTTAAAGGAGCTGATGGAGCTGAAAGCCAAGGCTCAAGAACTACATGAAGAATGCAGAAGCCTCAGGAGCTGATGCGATTGACTGGAAGAAAGGGTATCAGTGATGGAAGATGAAATGAATGAAATGAAGCAAGAAGGGAAGTTTAGAGAAAAAAGAATAAAAAGAAATGAACAAAGCCTCCAAGAAATATGGGACTATGTGAAAAGATCAAATCTGCATCTGATTGGTGTACCTGAAAGTGACGGGGAGAATGGAACCAAGTTGGAAAACACTCTGCAGGATATTATCCAGGAGAACTTCCCCAATCTAGCAAGGCAGGCCAACATTCAGATTCAGGAAATACAGAGAACGCCACAAAGATACTCCTTGAGAAGAGCAACTCCAAGACACGTAATTGTCAGATTCACCAAAGTTGAAATGAAGGAAAAAACGTTAAGGGCAGCCAGAGAGAAAGGTCAGGTTACCCACAAAGGGAAGCCCATCAGACTAACAGCGGATCTCTCGGCAGAAACTCTACAAGCCAGAAGAGAGTGGGGGCCAATATTCAACATTCTTAAAGAAAAGAATTTTCAACCCAGAATTTCATATCCAGCCAAACTAAGCTTCATAATTGAAGAAATAAAATACTCTACAGACAAGCAAATGCTGAGAGATTTTGTCACCACCAGGCCTGCCCTAAAAGACCTCCTGAAGGAAGCATTAAACATGGAAAGGAAAAACCGGTACCAGCCGCTGCAAAATCATGCCAAAATGTAAAGACCATCGAGACTAGGAAGAAGCTACACCAACTAATGAGCAAAATAACCAGCTAACATCATAATGACAGGATCAAATTCACACATAACAATATTAACCTTAAATGTAAATGGGCTAAATGCTCCAATTAAAAGACACAGACTGGCAAACTGGATAAAGACTCAAGACCCATCAGTGTATTGTATTCGGGAAACCCATCTCACATGCAGAGACACACATAGGCTCAAAATAAAGGGATGGAGGAAGATCTACCAAGCAAATGGAAAACAAAAAAAGGCCGGGGCTGCAATCCTAGTCTCTGATAAAACAGACTTTAAACCAACAAAGATCAGAAGAGACAAAGAAGGCCATTACATAATGGTAAAGGGATCAATTCAACAAGAAGAGCTAACTATCCTAAATATATATGCACCCAATACAGGAGCACCCAGATTCATAAAGCAAGTCCTAAGTGACTTACAAAGAGACTTAGACTCCCACACAATAATAATGGGAGACTTTAACAACCCACTGTCAACATTAGACAGATCAATGAGACAGAAAGTTAACAAGGATATCCAGGAATTGAACTCAGCTCTGCACCAAGCGAACCTAATAGACATCTACAGAACTCTCCACCCCAAATCAACATAATTACATTTTTTCAGCACCACACCACACCTATTCCAAAATTGACCACATAGTTGGAAGTAAAGCACTCCTCAGCAAATGTAAAAGAACAGAAATTATAACAAACTGTCTCTCAGACCACAGTGCAATCAAACTAGAACTCAGGATTAAGAAATTCACTCAAAACCACTCAACTACATGGAAACTGAACAACCTGCTCCTGAATGACTACTGGGTACATAACGAAATGAAGGCAGAAATAAAGATGTTCTTTGAAACCAACGAGAACAAAGACACAACATACCAGAATCTCTGGGATGCATTCAAAGCAGTGTGTAGAGGGAAATTTATAGCACTAAATGCCCACAAGAGAAAGCAGGAAAGATCTAAAATGGACACCCTAACATCACAATTAAAAGAACTAGAAAAGCAAGAGCAAACACATTCAAAAGCTAGCAGAAGGCAAGAAATAACTAAAATCAGAGCAGAACTGAAGGAAATAGAGACCAAAAAAACGCTTCAAAAAATTAATGAATCCAGGAGTTGGTTTTTTGAAAGGATCAACAAAATTGATAGACTGCTAGCAAGACAAATAAAGAAAAAAAGAGAGAAGAATCAAATAGACGCAATAAAAAATGATAAAGGGGATATCACCACCGATCCCACAGAAATACAAACTACCATCAGAGAATACTACAAACACCTCTACGCAAATAAACTAGAAAATCTAGAAGAAATGGATAAATTCCTCGACACATACACCCTCCCAAGACTAAACCAGGAAGAAGTTGAATCTCTGAATAGATCAATAAGAGGCTCTGAAATTGTGGCAATAATCAATAGCTTACCAACCAAAAAGAGTCCAGGACCAGATGGATTCACAACCGAATTCTACCAGAGGTACAAGGAGGAACTGGTACCATTCCTTCTGAAACTATTCCAATCTATAGAAAAAGACAGAATCCTCCCTAACTCATTTTATGAGGCCAGCATCATCCTGATACCAAAGCCGGGCAGAGACACAACAAAAAAAGAGAATTTTAGACCAATATCCTTGATGAACATTGATGCAAAAATCCTCAATAAAATACTGGCAAACCAAATCCAGCAGCACATCAAAAAGCTTGTCCACCATGATCAAGTGGGCTTCATCCCTGGGATGCAAGGCTGGTTCAATATACGCAAATCAATAAATGTAATCCAGCATATAAGCAGAACCAAAGACAAAAACCACATGATTATCTCAATAGATGCAGAAAAGGCCTTTGACAAAATTCAACAACACTTCATACTAAAAACTCTCAATAAATTAGGTATTGATGGGACGTATCTCAAAATAATAAGAGCTATCTATGACAAACCCACAGCCAATATCATACTGAATGGGCAAAAACTGGAAGCATTCCCTTTGAAAACTGGCACAAGACAGGGATGCCCTCTCTCATCACTCCTATTCAACATAGTGTTGGAAGTTCTGGCCAGGGCAATTAGACAGGAGAAGGAAATAAAGGGTATTCAATTAGGAAAAGAGGAAGTCAAATTGTCCGTTTGCAGATGACATGATTGTATATCTAGAAAACCCCATTGTCTCAGCCCAAAATCTCCTTAAGCTGATAAGCAACTTCAGCAAAGTCTCAGGATACAAAATCAATGTACAAAAATCACAAGCATTCTTATACACCAATAACAGACAAACAGAGAGCCAAATCGTGAGTGAACTCCCATTCACAACTGCTTCAAAGAGAATAAAATACGTAGGAATCCAGCTTACAAGGGATGTGAAGGACCTCTTCAAGGAGAACTACAAACCATTGCTCAAGGAAATAAAAGAGGATAGAAACAAATGGAAGAACATTCCATGCTCATGGGTAGGAAGAATCAATATTGTGAAAATGGCCATACTGCCCAAGGTAATTTATAGATTCAATGCCATCCCCATCAAGCTACCAATGACTTTCTTCACAGAATTGGAAAAAACTACTTTAAAGTTCATATGGAACCAAAAAAGAGCCTGCATCACCAAGTCAGTCCTAAGCCAAAAGAACAAAGCAGGAGGCATCACGCTACCTGACTTCAAACTATACTACAAGGCTACAGTAGCCAAAACAGCATGGTACTGGTACCAAAGCAGAGTTATAGATCAATGGAACAGAACAGAGCCCTCAGAAATAATGCCGCATATCTACAACTATCTGATCTTTGACAAACCTGAGAAAAACAAGCAATGGGGAAAGGATTCCCTATTTAATAAATGGTGCTGGGAAAACTGGCTAGCCATATGTAGAAAGCTGAAACTGGATCCCTTCCTTACACCTTATACAAAAATTAATTCAAGATGGATTAAAGACTTAAACGTTAGACCTAAAACCATAAAAACCCTGGAAGAAAACCAAGACATTACCATTCAGGACATAGGCATGGGCAAGAACTTCATGTCTAAAACACAAAAAGCAATGGCAACAAAAGCCAAAATTGAGAAATGGGATCTAATTAAACTAAAGAGCTTCTGCACAGCAAAAGAAACTACCATCAGAGTGAACAGGCAACCTACAGCATGGGAGAAAATTTTTGCAATCTACCCATCTGACAAAGGGCTAATATCCAGAATCTACAAAGAGCTTAAACAAATTTACAAGAAAAAAATCAAATAACCCCATCAAAAAGTGGGTGAAGGATATGAACAGATGCTTCTCAAAAGACATTTATGCAGCCAACAGACACATGAAAAAATGCTCATCATCACTGGCCATCAGAGAAATGCAAATCAAAACCACAATGAGATGCCATCTCACACCAGTTAGAATGGTGATCATTAAAAAGTCAGGAAACAACAGGTGCTGGAGAGGATGTGGAGAAATAGGAACACTTTTACACTGTTGGTGGGACTGTCAACTAGTTCAACCATTGTGGAAGACAGTGTGGTGATTCCTCAAGGATCTAGAACTAGAAATACCATTTGACCCAGCCATCCCATTACTGGGTATGTACCCAAAGGATTATAAATCATGCTGCTATAAAGATACATGCACACGTATGTTTATTGTGGCACTATTCACAATAGCAAAGACTTGGAACCAACCCAAATGTCCATCAATGATAGACTGGATTAAGAAAATGTGGCACATATACACCATGGAATACTATGCAGCCATAAAAAATGATGAGTTCATGTCCTTTGTAGGGACATGGATGAAACTGGAAATCATCATTCTCAGTAAACTATCGCAAGGACAAAAAACCAAACACTGCATGTTCTCACTCATAGGTGGGAATTGAACAATGAGAACACATGGACACAGGAAAGGGAACATCACACTCTGGGGACTGTTGTGGGTTGGGGGGAGGGGGGAGGGATAGCATCAGGAGATATACCTAATGCTAAATGAAGAGTTAATGGGTGCAGCACACCAGCATGGCACATGTATACATATGTAACTAACCTGCACATTGTGCACATGTACCCTAAAACTTAAAGTATAAAAAAAAAAAAATTCCCACCTGCCAGCTCTGAAGAGAACAGTGGATCTCCCAGCACAACGCTCGAGCTCTGCTAAGGGACAAACTGCCTCCTCAAGTGGGTCTCTGACCCCCGTGCCTCCTGACTGAGAGATACCTCCCAGCAGGGGTCAACAGACACCTCATGGAGGAGAGCTCCAGCTGGCATCTGGTGGGTGCCCCTCTGGGATGAAGCATTCAGAGGAAGGAATAGGCAGCAATTTTTGCTGTTCTGCAGCCTCCACTGGTGATACCCAGGCAAACAGGGTCTGGAGTGGACCTCCAGCAAACTCCAGCAGACCTGCAGCAGAGGGTCCTGACTGTTAGAAGGAAAACTAACAAACTGAAAGGAATAACATCAACATCAACAAAAAGGATATCCACACAAAAACCCCATCCAAAGGACACCAATGTCAAAGACCAAAGGTAGGTAAATCCACGAAGATGAGGAAAAACCAGTGCAAAAAGGCTGAAAATTCCACAAACAAGAACGCTTCTTTTCCTCCAAAGGATCACAACTTCTCACCAGCAAAGGAACAAAACTGGACAGAGAATGAGTTTGATGAATTGACAGAAGTAGGCTTCAGAAGGTGTGTTAATAACAAACTCCTCCGAGCTAAAGGGGCATGTTCTAACCCAATGCAAGGAAGCTAAAAACCTTGAAAAAAGGTTAGAGAAATTGCTAACTAGAATGACCAGTTTAGAGAAGAACATAAATGACCTGATGGAGCTGAAAAAGACAGCATGAGAACTTTGTGAACCATATACAAGTATCAATAGCCAAATTGATCAAGCAGAAGAAAGAATACCAGAGATTGAAGATCAACTTAATGAAATAAAGCATGAAGACAAGATTAGAGAAAAAAGAATGAAAAGAAATGAACAAAGCCTCCAAGAAATATAGGACTATGTGAAAAGACCAACCTATGTTTGACTGTTGTACCTGAAAGTGGCAGGGAGAATGGAACCAAGTTGGAAAACACTCTTCAGGGTATTATCCAGGAGAAATTCCCCAACCTAGCAAGACAGGCCAACATTCAAATTCAGGAAATACAGAGAACACCACAAAGATACTCCTCGAGAAGAGCAGCCCCAAGAAACATAATTGTCATATTCACCAAGGTTGAAATGACAGAAAAATGTTAAGGGCAGCCAGAGAAAAAGGTTGAGTTACCCACAAAGGGAAGCCCATCAGACTAACAGTGGATCTGTCTGCAGAAACCCTATAAGCCAGAAGAGGATGGGGGCCAATATTCAACTTTCTTAAAGAAAACAATTTTCAACCCAGAATTTCATATCCAGCCAAACTAAGCTTCATAAGCAAAGGAGAAATAAAATCCTTTATAGACAAGCAAATGCTGAGAGATTTTGTCACAACCAGGCCTGCCTTACAGGAGCTCCTGAAGGAAGCACTAAACATGGAAAGGAACAACCAGTACCAGCCACTGCAAAAACATACCAAATTGTGAAGACCATCGACATTATGAAGAAACTGCATCAACTAATAGGCAAAATAACCAGCTAGCATCATAATGACAGGACCAAATTCACACATAATAATATTAACCTTAAATGTAAACGGGCTAAATGTCCCAATTAAAAGACACAGACTGGCAAATTGGATAAAGCATCAAGACCCATTGGTGTGCTGTATTCAGGATACCCGTCTCATATGCAAAGACACACATAGACTCAAAATAAAGGGATGGAGGAATATTTACCTTGCAAATGGAAAGAAAAAATAAAAAAGCAGGGATTGCAATCTTAGTTTCTGATAAAACAGACTTTAAATCAACAAAAATCAAAAAAGACAAAGAAGGACATTACATAATGGTAAAGGGATCAATGCAACAAGAAGAACTAACCATCTTAAATATATATGCACCCAATACAGGAGCACCCAGATTCATAAAGCAAGTTCTTAGAGACCTACAAGGAGACTTAGACTCCCACACAATAATAGTGGGAGACTTTAACACCCCACTGTCAATGTTAGATGAACAAGACAGAAAATTAACAAGGATATCAAGGACTTGAACTCAGCTCTGGACCAAGCAGACCTAATAGACATCTACAGAACTCTCCACCCCAGATCAACGGAATACACATTCTTCTCAGCACCACGTCGCACTTATTCTAAAATTGCCCATGTAATTGGAAGTAAAACACTCCTCAGCAAATGGAAAAGAATGGAAATAATAAAAAACCGTCTCTCAGACCACAGTGCAATCAAATTAGAACTCAGGATTAAGAAACTCACTCAAAACAGCACAACTACATGGAAACTGAACAACCTGCTCCTGAATGACTACTGGGTAAATAATGAAATCATGGCATAAATAAATAAGTTCTTTGAAACCAATGAGAATAAAGACACAACATACCAGAATCTCTGGGACACAGCTAAAGCAGTGTTTAGAGGGAAATTTATAGTACTAAATGCCCACAGGAGAAAGTGGGAAAGATCTGAAATTGACACCCTAACATCACAATTAAAAGAGCTAGAGAAGCGAAAGCAAGCAAATTCAAAAGCTAGCAGAAGACAAGAAATAACTAAGATCAGAGCAGAACTGAAGGAGATAGAGACATGAAAAGCCCTTTAAAAAATCAAGGTATCCAGGAGCTGATTTTTTGAAAAGATTAGGTAGACTGCTAGCCAGATTAATAAAGAAGAAAAGAGAGCAGAATCAAATAGACACAATAAAAAATGATAAAAGGGATATCACCACTGATCCGAAAAAAGTACAAACTACCATCAAATAATACTATAAACACCTTTATGCAAATAAACTAGAAAATCTAGAATAAATGGATAAATTCCTGAACATATACACCCCCCCGTCCTGCCCACCAAGACTAAACCAGGAAGAAGAATCCCTGAATAGAACAGTAACAAGTTCTGAAATTGAGGCAGTAATTTATACCCCAATAATCAAAAAAAGCCCAGGACCAGACTAATTCACAGCCAAATTCTACCAGAGGTACAAAGAGGAGCTGGTACCTTTCCTTCTGAAACTATTCAAAACAACAGAAAAAGAGGGAATCCTCCCTAACTCATTTTATGAGGCCAGCATCATCCTGATACCAAAACCTGGCAGAGACACAAGAAAAAAATAAAATTTCAGGCCAATATCCCTGATGAACATCGATGCAAAAATCTTCAATAAAATACTGGCAAACCAAATCCAGCAGCACATCAAAAAGCTTATCCACCACGATTAAGTCGGCTTCATCCCTGGGATGCAGGGCTGGTTCAACATATGCAAATCAATAAATTTAATCCATCACATAAACAGAACCAATGACAAAAACCACATGATTATCTCAATAGATGCAGAAAAGACCTTTGACAAAATTCAATACCGCTTCATGCTGAAAACTCTCAATAAACTAGGTATTGATGGAACATATCTCAAAATAATAAGAGTTATTTATGACAAACCCAAAGTCAATATCATACTGAATGGCCAAAAGCTGGAAGCATTCCCTTTGAAAACTGGCACAAGACAAGGATGCCCTCTCTCACCACTCCTATTCAACATAGTATTGGAAGTTCTAGCCAGGGCAATCAGGCAAGAGAAAGAAATAAAGCGTATTCAAATAGGAAGAGAGGAAGTCAAATTGTCTCTGTTTGCAGATGACATGATTGTATATTTAGAAAATCCCATTGTCTCAGCCCCAAATCTCCACAAGCTGATAAGCAACTTCAGCAAAGTCTCAGGATACAAAATCAATGTGCAAAATTCACAAGCCTTCCTATACACCAGTAATAGACATACAGAGAGCCAAATCATTAGTGAACTCCCACTCACAATTGCTACAAAGAGAATAAAATACCTACGAATACAACTTACAAGCGATGTGAAGGACCTCCTCAAGGAGAACTACAAACCACTGCCCAAGGAAATAAGAGAGGACACAAACAAATGGAAAAACACTCCATGCTCATGGATAGGAAGAATCAATATTGTGAAAATGGCCATAATGCTCAAAGTAATTTATAGATTCAATGCCATCCCCATCAAGCTACCACTGACTTTCTTCACAGAATTAGAAAAAACTATAAATTTCATATGGAACCAAGAAAGAGCCTATATAGCCAAGACAATCCTAAGCAAAAAGAACAAAGCTGGAGGCATCATGCTACCTGACTTCAAACTATACGACAAGGCTACAGTAACCAAAATAGCATGGTACTGGTACCAAAACAGATATAAGACCAATGGAACAGAACAGAGGCCTCAGAAATAACGCCACACATCTACAAGCATCTGATCTTTGACAAACTTGACAAAAACAAGAAATGGGGAAAGGATTCCCTATTTCATAAATGGTGTTGGGAAAACTGGCTAGCCATATGCAGAAAACTGAAACTGGACCCTCTCCTTACACCTTATACAAAAATTAACTCAAGATGGATTAAAGAGTTAAATGTAAGACCTAAAACCATAACAACCCTAGAAGAAAACTTAGGCAGTACTATTCAGGACATAGGCTTGGGCAAAGACTTCATGGCTAAAACACCAAAAGCAATTGCAACAAAAGCCAAAATTGACATATGGGATCTAATTAAACTAAAGAGCTTCTGCACAGCAAAAGAAACTATCATCAGTGTGAACAGGCAACCTACAGAATGGGAGTAAATTTTTTGCAATCTATCCATCTGACCAAGGACTAATATCCAGAATCTACAAAGAACTTAAACAAATTTACAAGAAAAAAACAAACAACCCCATCAAAAAGTGGGTGAAGGATATGAACAGACGCTTCTCAAAAGAAGACATTTATGCAGCCAACAAACATATGAAAAAAAGCTCATAATCACTGGTCATTAGAGAAATGCAAATCAAAACCACAATGAGATACCATCTCACACCAGTTAGAATGGCGATTATTAAAAAGTCAGGAAACAACAGATGCTGGAGAGGATATGGAGAAATAGGAAGGCTTTTACACTGTTGGTGGGGGTGTAAATTAGTTCAACCATTGTGGAAGACAGTGTGGCGATTCCTCAAGGATCTAGAACTAGAAATACCATTTGACCCAGCAATCCCATTACTGGGTATATACCCAAAGGATTATAAATCATTCTACTGTAAAGACACATGCACACATATATTTATTGCAGCACTATTCACAATAGCAAAGACTTGGAACCAACCCAAATGTCCATCAATGGTAGACTGGATAAAGAAAATGTGGCACATATACACCATGGAATACTATGTAGCTGTAAAAAGGATGAGTTCATGTCCTTTGCAGGGACATAGATGAACCTGGAAAGCATCATTCTCAGCAAACTAACACGGGATCAGAAAACCAAACACCACATGTTCTCACTCATAAGTGGGAGCTGAACAGTGAGAACACATGGACACAGGGAGGGGAACGTCATACACTGGGGCCTGTTGCAAGGTCGGGGGCTAGGAGAGGGACAGCATTAGGAGAAATATCTAATGTAGATGACTGGTTGATGGGTGCAGCAAACTACCATGGCATGTGTATATCTATGTAACAAATCTGCACGTTCTACACATGTACCCTAGAACTTAAAGTATAATAATAATAATAATAAAGTGATACCTATATACAGTGGAATATTATTCAGCCTTAAAAAGGAATAAAGTTCTGATCTAAAACATGGATGAATCTTGAAAGTATTTTGCTAAGTGAAATAAGCCAGACACAAAAAGACAAATATGGTATGATTCCACTCATATGAAGTACTTAGAATAGTCAAATTCACAGAGAGAGAAAGTAGAATGGTGGTTACCGTGGGTCAGGAGGAGGTAATAGGGAGTTATTTTTTAATGGGTATAGAGTTCCAGTTTGGAACGATGAAAAAGTTCTGGAGAGATGGATGGTGGTGATGGCTGCACAGCAATGTGAATGCTTTTAATGCCACTGAGTTGTACACTCAAAAATGTTTAAAATGGAAGTTTTGTTTTATGAATATTTTGCACAACAAAAAACATTTTTTTAAAAAGTGATTCTGTGAGAATGTTTGTGATGTCTGCTTTCATTTCATTTACAAAAATCCTTTTCTTTAATCTGCTAGTTTCTCTGCATACATTGCTACAAAATATTAATAGTCCTCTGCTTCATGTCCAGGAGGGCCACTCTGCTAAGCCGAAGGTTTAGTGACCAGGTGGCTTCTGAATTTTGAACTGACAATCAACTTTTCTTGGGTGTGCATTTTGGGGAGGTGGGGGTGCTGTTGGTTCCTGATGCCTAGTCCTTTATTCTGTCCATGATCTGCCTTCCTGGAAGAAAAAAAGATTGGAAGATGCTGACAATGACTGCAAAGATTGCCTAGTAATTTCAGGTAGCAAATGGCTCATTAAAAAATTGAAAAAGAAAAAGAAAACCAACTTTGATGAGCAAGGTATAGACGAGTCAGAAGCATGAGAAATAAATACATCTGAAATCTAAGTAGGTGGTTTTTTTGTTTTTGTGTTTTTTTTTTTTGTTGTTGTTTTTTTTTGAGACGGAGTCCTGCTCTGTCACCCAGGCTGGAGTGCAGTGGCACAATCTTGGCTCACTGCAGCCTCCCCCTTCCGGGTTCAAGCCATTCTTGGGCCGCAGCCTCCCGAGTAGCTGGGATTACAGGCATGTGCTACCATGCCTGGGTAATTTTTGTATTTTTAGTAGAGATGGGGTTTCACCATGTTGGTCAGGCCGGTCTCAAACTCCTGACCTCAAGCGATCCACCAGCCTCGGCTTCCCAAAGTGCTGGGATTACAGACATGAGCCACTATGCCTGGCCTAAAATCTAGGTATTAAAAATGAAGGAGAAATGGTGCTTAGCAAAGTTATTTGTGGTTTTTCAAACTCAGATCAAGAACAATAGAAAAATTGTTCCAGATGTTCAGTGGAACTTGGGACAGAGCCAGATCCACCCAGCTCAGCGCAGTCTGAGAAAGGGAGAGGCAAAGGAAAAGAAAGGAGAGAGAAATGGGAATGCAAGGGGTGGGGGGTTGCTTCTGTTGTGTACATTTAACTGTGAAACTAAATACACATGTTGGTAGACACCAAGTTCACTGTGCCTGGTAAATGATGAATGCCAGGGCAACCCAAGTTTCTGAATTTAAAATTACAGGATAGAGGTTTAAATTAGCTCCAGTGTTGAATACTGGGGGGTCTTTCCTACCATGGGAATTCAGGGTTAGAAAGATTCCCGTAGGATGTATTGGATTCTTCCTCTTTAATTACACTTGAGTTGTTTTTTCAAAACCTCTTTTCTTTATATTTTGGCATTGTTTTCTGAATTGAAAATCTTGTCATGTTAATTTATTTATAAGCTAACAGAGGCCGAAAATGCAGTGTTTTTTTTTTTTGTTTTGTTTTGTTTTAAGTGATGAGCACAGTAATTAGCTTGCTGCTGAGTGCAGGAGTTCACATTGAGAATGCTGTGGGTGAGTTTCTGGTGGTGTCAGTAGTTGCCATGAGATGGGGCTAAATCAGCCCCCCACTGTCCTATAGAACAAGTCCAGAAATAAACCACTAAGATAAGTTTAAATTGTAAGACACAGAATACTACCCCCAAGGAGTACAGAAAACCCATCAACTCTCCAACACTAAGATTGACCATAAATGCCAAATCAACTGGGTAGTTTATTTGGCACACATTTTTTGAGTGTTCACTATATGCTCTCTTTGTGCTAGGTGTTAGCAAAGGAAGACTCCATCCTTTAAAAACTCACAGTCTAATGAGGGCCAGCAGACTATAAATAATCAACCATATCGCAACTTTTTTTTTTTTTTGAGACAGAGTCTCGCGCTGTTGCCCAGGCTGGAGTGCAGTGGCTCTATCTCGGCTCACTGCAAGCTCTGCCTCCCGGGTTCACGCCATTCTCCTGCCTCAGCCCCCCAAGTAGTTGGGACTACAGGCGCCCGCCACCACGCCTGGCTAATTTTTTGTATTTTTTAGTAGAGACAGGGTTTCACCGTGATAGCCAGGATGGTCTCGATCTCCTGACCTCGTGATCCTCCCGCCTCGGCCCCTCAAAGTGCTGGGATTACAGGCGTGAGCCACCGTGCCCAGCCCCATAATGCAATTTCTTAAGCGTTGTAAGACAAACTTGTCCATAGTGATGTAGGAACCCAGGAGAACTAGTGAATGGTTTTGTTTGGGTGCATGTGTATATGAGTGCATGTATGTGCATGAATGTATATGTGAGTGTGTGTGTGTGTGTGTGTGTGTGTGTGTGTGAGAGAGAGAGAGATCAGAGAAGGCTCCACAGAGAGACACTTGTCCTCTGTGTTGAAGAATGAGTAGAATTTCAAAAAGCAAAGGCAGGGGCCATTCCAAATAGAGGGAACTGCATGAATACAATACACTGTGATTCAAGCAAAAAAGAAAAAGGTTTGGTGAAGGAAACAAGATTGACTAGAAAAAGAAAACCCAGCCTGTCCTCTTCTTCTTTTACTTTCCCCATTTATTCCCTTCTTTTCCTATTTTTTCCTTCCCTTCCTAAACAGTTCAGTCCTAAACCATTAGCTGAGGCAGAGCAAAGTAAACATTCATTCCAGGGGAGGTCATGACAGTCCAAAGAGAAGCATCAAACCCCAGGCAGGTGGGGAGACCTGGGTTGGGATGATGCCCACAGAGAGGGGCAGCCAGGCTTGGGGAGTCAGTGCTTGGGCAAAGTGAGAAAGGCATTCCCCCAGAAGGGCAGCCTGGTGTGAGATGTCAGAGCCCATCTAAAGTGAAGAGAGTGTGCATTCAATGGCAGAACAAGAAACGTGAAGAAGACAACAGTTGATCTAAAAAACAAACAGATAAACTCAGGGTTTCACATATTGATCGAGTTCATTTGTTCATTCAACAAAAATGTGTGGAGCAGGTACCAAGTTCCAGGTCCTGGGAAGATGCTCTGCCCAGAAATGAGGAAGAAAGAAACTAATGTCCTTTGCAAAAATTTAGGTCTCATAACAGATATGGGCCACAAATAAAAACAATGAAAATGACACCCAAATTTTTACTGCAAGTGTGAGTTGAGTGGAGCAGCCTATTACCCCAAAGGGATCATAAACAGGTCAAGTTTAGAAACACTTGTCTACATTTACCAACATTTAGTCAATTTCTTTGCTCCTCAATTGTTCTTCTATTCCACTATTTCAGATTCATTTTTTTTTCCTGCTGAAAGTATATGCTTTCATTGTCCTGTCAGCATGCATCTGTGGCTTTGCTGGCACTTGAGTAATAGTTTAGCTGGAATAGAATTGTAGTTGGAGAGTTATTTTCCATCAGCATTTGGAAAGTATTTCTGTGTCTTTGGGCATCTGTAGTTGCTCCTAAGAAGCCTACTTCCAAAAGAATAGCCATCACATTGATATAATCTTCCTTTTAACTCTGGTAGCTTTTAAGATACTCTATTTGTATTTAATGTACTCTGTTTCATCACATTGTAACAAGATGTGCATTTGTTTTTATTTAATCTATTTGAGATTTAAAGTTCTTCAATCTAAGAACTCATGTTCTCTAATTTCTTTTTCTTTTTTTTGAGAGGGAATCTCGCTCTGTCGCCTAGGCTGGAGTGCAGTGGTGTGATCTCGGCTCACTGCAAGCTCCGCTTCCCAGGTTCACGCCATTCTCCTGCCTCAGCCTCCCGAGTAGCTGGGACTACAGGCGCACGCTGCCATGCCCTAATTTTTTTGTATTTTTAGTAGAGACGGGGTTTCACCATGTTAGCCAGGATGGTCTCGATCTCCTGACTTTGTGATCCGCCCGCCTCGGCCTCCCAAAGTGCTGGGATTACAGGGGTGAGCCACCGCGCCTGGCCCTCTAATTTCTTATCTCTTTGAATATAATTCTTCCCGAGTCTCTCTTGCATTCTCCTTCTGGAAAATATATTGGTTCTTCTCACTCTTTTGTTCATATCTCTTAATTTTCTTTCATATTTTTCACCTCTTTATCTCTCTGTGCAATTTCTGGCTGATTATGTCAGCTTTATCTTTCTATCTATTAATTATTTCTTCCCCTAGATCAACTTGTCCATTGAATTTTTGAAATATATTTTCATTGAGATATCATTTACATATCATAAAATTCACCAAAATGTTGGTGAATTGTAGAACATCTTCATCACCCCCAAAAAGAAACCCTGTACCCATTAGTAGTCACTCCCCATTTGCTCCTCCTCCATCCTGTGGCAACCATTAGTCTACTTTCCATTTCTATAAATTTCCCTTTTCTTGACATTTCATATGAAGGAAATAATACAATATGTGGCCTTTTGTATCTGACCTCTTTCACTTAGCATCATGTTTTCAGGGTTCATCCATGTTGTACCATGTGTTAATACTTTGTTCCTTTTTATGGCCAAATAATATTCCACTGTATGAACAGATCACATTTTGTTTATTAACTTGTCAGTTGATGGACATTTGGGTTGTTTATACTTTTTGGCTATTATGAATAATGATGCCATGAACATTTGTGTAGAAGTCTTTGTGTGAACATATATTTTCAGTTCTCTTGGGTATATATCCAGGAGTGGAATTGATGGGTGAACTCTTTATTAAACTTTGTGAGGAATTGTCAAACTGTTTTCCACAGAGGTTGCACCATTTTACATCCCCTCCAGCAGTGTACAAGGGTTCCAACTTCTCTGCATCATTGCCAACACTTGACATAGTCCATCTTGTTTGTTATGGCCATCCTATAAGACATGAAGTGGTATCTCATTGTGGTTTTGATTTGCATTTCCTTGATAACTGAAAGATGTTGAGCATATTTTCATGTGCTTTTAAAATTGGCTATGTGTATACCTTCTTTGGAGAAATGTCTGTTCAAATCTTTTGCCCACTTTTAAAGTGGATTATTTGTCGTTTGATTGTTGAGTTATAATAATTCTTTGTAAATTCTGGATACAAGTCTCCTATTTGATATATAATTTGTGAAAATATCCTCTCATTCTGGAGTTGTCTTCTCAGGTTCTTGATGGTGTCCTTTGAAGCACAAAAGCTTTTAATTTTGATAGAGTCAAATTAGTCTATTTTTTCTCGAGTTAATTTGTGTTTTGGTGTTATATCTAATAAATCTTTGCCTAATCCAAGGTCATGAAGATTTACACTCAAGTTTTCTGCTTAGAATTTAAAATTTTAGCTCTTAGATTCATTTGGGATTAACTTTTGTCTGTGACATAAGAGCCCAAATTCATGACTTGCATGCGGACGTCAAGTTATCCCAGCACCATTTGTTGAAAGACTATTCTTTTCCCCTTTGAATTATCTTGACATCTTTGTCTAAAATCAATTGACCAAAATGTAAGGGTTTATTTCTCAACTCTTAATTCTATTTCACTGAGCTGTGTCTGCCCTTCTGCCAATACTACACTGTCTTGATTACTGTAGCTTTGTAGAAAGTTTTGAAATGAAGAACTAGGAGTCTTCCAACTGGCAACGTGAGTGGGCTCTTCACTCTCTCCTTACTGGAGAAGCCAAGCAAAGGCACCGAGATCCCTCCCGGCAGAGCCCTCCCCTAAAGGTTTCCTTCCTGGAATATAATAAAAACAACAGTCACTGAAATAGGCCAGCCCACTTAAGTTTGTCTCATTTAATCCTAACAACCCTGTGAGGTAGGTATTATTTTTTTTATTTCTGTTTTGCAGATAAGGAAATGGAATATGCCCAATATGTTCCAGTTGCTCTTCCAGACTCACACTCCAGCCTTGCCCACATACTCTGCTATTGGGGCTGGCCAGTGTATCATTGCCCCCATGAGTTCTAGACCCTCTGGCTTCTAGTCGGGTTGGGCAGAAGAGAGAGACTTTGCTGGAGATGAGAGAGTGGGAGGTGTGTGAGGTCGGGGTTTTTATTCCCTGGCCATCTCTCAGTGAGGGTGCCCCTGGCTGGCTTTGACCCTTCCAGAAGGTCACGACTTCTCTCAAAGCAGCTTGCTCTAAATGACTCTTTCTTTTTGGGTTCTGGTGACCGCACCCGCCTTGGGCCGTTCCATGCAGAGAGGTGGCCACAGCTCCTGGGAACCGTGGCTTCCGTTTCAAGTGGGATGATGGGTCTTAGAGCTCTAAAATTATTGCTACCACTTTATCTTATTTGTACTGCATATTTCAGTTTACCTACTGCATCAAAACAGCATGCACACTCCACCTTAGGGCCTTTCAAAAATTAACTCTTTTGCTGTATTTAGAAAAAAGACTCAGAACTACTGAAAAGTTGCAAGAATATTTCACTGGACTCCAATATGTCTTTCAGAAGTGAACCCCTTCTGGGTGTCATGGGTTCAGCAGGCTCAAGAGGATGCACTCTTGAGGAGGACCTAAGGGAAGATCTACCTGATGTGCCAATTTCTAGAAGCACTTACTCCGAGGTCCTTTGCCAATCCATTTAATATTAATGGTAGTAGTAGGTGGAGCAACCCTTAGGAGTGAAGTTTGGGCAAACATAATGGAACTTGCAGACGCAAAGTGCCCATGGAGCTTTATGTTAGAATCTGCCTTGAAAGGCCAATTGGGCTCTGCCAAATTTGGAAAACCATTTAGAGTCTTTCAAAGCAAACCGAGAAAGAGGCAAAGTCATAAGTTAAATGTCAAGAACCTAGACATGTAGCTTCTAGCAGATGAGCCCATTAGCAATACTACTGAGACTTGCAGGTTTTAGGAAGTTTGTGAGTGATTTTGAAGTTATCTGGGCAGGATCCAAGCATCTGTTTGGAGATATACTTTGTGGAGAAGGGGAGGCAACACCATTGCAGAGCTTGAAAAGCGTTGCTACCACTTTATCCTATTTGTACTGCATATTTCAGTATGCCTACTACATCAAAACAGCATGTATATTCTACCTACGGCCTTTTAAAATAAATTAACTCTTTTGTTGTATTTAGAAAAAAAACTTAGACCTACTGAAAAGTTGCAAGAATATTTCACTGGACTCCAACATATCTTTCACATGGAGCCACCTATTGCTTACATTTTGCTGTGTGTGTGTGTGTGTGTGTGTGTGTGTGTGTGGCGGGGGGTGAGTGCATGCGTGCACGCATGCATGCATGCTCTTTCTGTCTGTCTTTCAGTAATATAAGGTTGAGCCATATAAAATATGAACATTATTATTCTTATTTTTATGTTTCATATTGATATATTTTTACTATGCATACTTATTCATTTTTTCATATTTATCATTATTATTCACACTTATTCCTATTTTTATTTTTGCTGAACATTTGAGAGTAAATTGTAGAGACCAAGATCCCAAGTCTCTAATACTTTATGTGTATCTCCTAGGAAAAAGGATATTCTCTTAACCACAATTCAAGGATAAAATTTGAGAAATTTAACATTTCTCCAACTCTC
Source organism: Homo sapiens (assembly GCF_000001405.40). NCBI lineage: Eukaryota > Metazoa > Chordata > Mammalia > Primates > Hominidae > Homo > Homo sapiens. The sequence goes on along the minus strand of NC_000003.12, from coordinate 43,926,698 downwards.
TTATTTCACATATAACCCATATTGAGATTTTGCTAATTGCCTCAATATCATCCTTTACAGCAACATTTATTTTCCCCAGTCCAGTATCCAACTCGGCATCCCACCCGGCACTCTGATGTCAAGCTTAGAGCTTCTCTCTCAGTACATGGGTTATGTGGTACTTAGAGTGGACTCAGGTCTTAGCTTAATGGTTCTGGTTGGCAGGGGAGCAGTTAGCTCCTGCCAGAGAAAAAGGCTTCCGATGTGCCTGAGATGAGACATACTCTATGATGGAGAACTTAAAATACTCCACGAGTTTTGGCTGACTCTGGAGAAGCCTTAGAGAGGCCAACCCAGAAACACTGGGAAGGAAGATTCTTACTCTGGGTCCCCATCAGCAGCCCTACAATTTGCATTTTCCTACCCCTGGGTGGCGTGAGTTCTCGGTGGAGTTTCAGGGGCTCTCCCAGGGTTACATATTCTGCAATGGGGAATCCTTGTCCTCGGTCTGCATTCCTCTGCCTTTGAAATCAGCAAGATATACGGCCCAGCCCTGCTCTACCAGGACAACCAACCAATGGTGGGTTTAGTCCCTAGCTCTGAAATGAGACAATAAAGTTTATATTGGTAGTTTGTCAGGATTCAAGGTAGTGCTCATAAAATCTTGGAACAGACAGGCTCTCAGCAAAATGAAAAAATATTATTTCTTTTTTTCTTAAAAATAAAAGTATTTGTTTCTTTTTTCTTAAAATAAAATTTTCTTTTTTCTTAAAAAATGAAGTGGAAGTGTCAACTCATCTGACCTTGACTGTGTGTATATACATATATATTCATGTAAAGATAAATACATATATATTTTATATACATGATATGTGTACATCTACCTATCAATTGATTGATCTATTGCTTACTTATAGGTATGATCGCCTGACCCTTTCTGTGTATTATAGAGACATAGGAAGATATTGGGGGAGGATATTGATTTTCCTACTGAAAGGACAGATGCCATTTGCACTATCCTTTCCTTTGTTTACCTTTCTTTGGATACAGATATGAGGCTTGGAGCTGTGGCAGCCATACTGTGCCCATGAGGGGAACCATTTTCCAACCAAGGGAGAAAGGCCAACCTGCTAAGAATAGCAGAAGAGAAGGACAGAATCTGGGCCCTTGTTAAGTAATTGAACTATGACCTTGTTAAGTAACTGAACTGATTATTACAATCACTTCTCTCAGATCTTGTTATACTGGGAAAAAATTAATTGTATTTGTGGCATCCTAAATAACATATATTTTGTCTTTGCCCTGCTTCCTGGCACATAGCTCCTGAAACCACTGGACTCTCTGGAGTGATAAGTCTTTAGTATGCTAATGAGAGAACTGGTGGCTGGGGGCTCTTAGATAACTTCAGGATGAAGCTGGTCACCAGAAAGACCAAGACATCATTAGAGGGTTGGGACTTTCTGCTCCCTCCATCCCCCAACTGCCACCTCCAGGGAGGGCTGGAGATTGAGTTAATCACTAATGGTCAATGATTTAATCAATCATGCCTATGTAATGAAACTTCCATTAAAAAAACCCAAACAGTGGGGTTTGGGAAGCTTCCAGGTTGGTGAACACATTGGGGTGCTAGGAGGGTGGCACTCCCAGAAAGAGCATGGAAGCTCTGTGTTCCTCCCACATCTTGCCCATGCATTGCTTCCATTTGGCTGTTCTTGGGTTGTAGCCTTCATAATAAACCAGTAATGGTAAACAAGGTGTTTGCCTGAATTTTGTGAGTCATTCTAACAAATTATCAAACCTGAGGGGGTGGTTCGCCAATCCTCAGCTTGTAGCCACGTTGGAGAGAGTGTGGGTACCCTGAGGACCCAATACTTGTGAATGGTATCTGAAATGAGGGTAGCCTTGTGGGACTGAGCACTTAAACCTGCAGAGTCGGATGCTAACTCTGGGTAGAGTCAGAGTTGAATTGTAGGAACAGCCAGCTGATGCCCAGAGAGCTGGAGAATTGTTTGGTGTAGGGAAAAACCCACACATTTGGTGTCAGAAGTGCTGTGAGTAAAAACAGCTCAGTATCTAATAAATCCCCTGTAAATTGGGTTTTCTATTACATAGTCTGAAAGCATTCGGAACAGATAGAGGCATAACTTTGGGAGTTATTTCCAAGGGAAACGAAGTCTGAAATCACTGAAGTTTGTTAGTTCCATTTATATCTGGAGGTGGAGAAAAGATAACTAGTTTAGTTTAAGAGATGTTAAAATTGTCATCACTTTTTTGAGTACTTGCCATGTGCTTTAACACATGCTATCTTATTTAATCCTCAGTCCAACCCAATGAGCTCAGGTAAGGAATGGAGACTATGCCTGAGGAGAGGGTCACTGGACTAGAAGGGTTGAGCTCTGTTCTCTGTAGCACATTGCCCAAGGAAAGTGCATGAGGGAAGAGAGAAGAGGCCAAGGACGGCAGAAGTTGGGTATTGGCCTGAGGGTTTGTCTTTCATGTAACAGAGGAGTAGACAGGGAGTTAGGACGGTCAGGAAGCCAGTGGGAACTGTGAGGTGGTAATGAGGTCTTTGGTGACCTTAGAGCGAAGGCCCCGGGGTGGATGTGGGGGTTGGGTTGTCTGGGCATGCTGAGGGAGGGCTTCTTTACCCACCCTGGGTCTCTTCTCCTCTGTAAACAGCCGCTGGAATAGTTGCTCTTCAGATGTGCTTTGAGTTTCACATTTGCTGAGTCCTCGTGCCCCCTTGGACACAGGAATGAAGACCTCTGCTTCTAGATGGCTGATGATGAGGAAAGAGAGAATGAAAGGGGAAGGGGGGAAGGGAGAGAGGCCCGCAGGAGGGGGAGGGGCCGGCTGTCTGTGGGGTGTGGGGATAAGAGAAAGACTGGCCTTGGCTGCTTTGTACAGCCGAGGGGCAGTGATGGCAGTGTGCCCACAGGACTCTGGATGAGGCAGGAAGGTGCACACCTGCTGAGATATTCTCATTTCCACAGCCAGTCAGAAACCCGGGAGGCTGGTACTTCCTACTCCTCGCTGGGGAGTCTCCTGTGCTGATTTATGGCAGCTCATGGCGGTCTGCTCTCCTGTTCTTATTCTGGTTTCCTCTTGTTGGTTCAGCTGGAGTGTCCAGCCCCACTCCTTAACTCCCTCTCAGCCTCCAGCATGGAGCCTGGCACGCGGTGAGCTGTCAGCCTGTTTACTGACTTCATTTGTGGAGAGTAGATTTTGGTTGAGGTCTCTGCCTGTCTTTTAATTTCTTGTTTAAACCAGCATTACCTGGCCCTTGTTAAGACATGTGACAGCTGCACAGGAAGCAAATGCCAACTGTTGGCATGCTCTCCCCACCCTCCTCCACAAACCTCCCTCCACAGATTGCCCAAATGGCACCAACACTTACTCTGGACACCTCCCTCGCCCTCCCCGCTCACGTCGGAGCCACTGCCAAAACCTATTAACACTTACGTCCTAAATATCACTTCTCTGCAACTCCACCCAGGCTTCTGCCCAGCCCTAGCTTTGCTCACGTGGGCCACTCTAACAGTTGCTTCTCATTGATGCTTTCTCCCTACAATCTTTCAGAAGCCCAAGTAGTTTTCTAAACAAAAAATTGGATCCTCTCTCTCCTTTGCTTAAAACAATTCCATGATCTGTTATTACCTTCCAGAAAAAGACCAAACTCGCGGCTGTGGCCTCGAGGACCCTTCTGTCCCTGGGTCACTGGTTCAGCCTCAGCTCACTCTTTCCTGAGCTGTGCCAGCTACCATGTCTGCTGTGAGTTCCTCAAACACGCCACATGCACTCTTTTCTTTCTCTCTCTCTCTTTCTTTTTTCTTTTTTTTTAAGATAGGATCTCCTTCTGTCGCCCAGGCTGGAGTGCACTGGCACAATCACAGCTCACTGCAGCCTCAACTTTTCAAACTCAGACAATCCTCCCACTTTAGCCTCCTGGGTAGCTGGGACTAAAAGCCTGTGCCACCACGCCCAGCTAGTTTTTTGTGTTTTTTGTAGAGACAGGGTTTTGCCATGTTGCCCAGGCTGATACGTGCACTCTTTTCTTGAGGTCTTTGTTCCTGTCTAGAATGTTCTCCTCTACCTCCCACTCTCTCATTACCTCTATGAGGTCTTACTTGCATTTCACAATTTAGTTCAAAGGTCATTTTCTCAGGGAAGCCTTCCCAGTTCCCACAAAGCCCAGTCGAGCCCTGCTATTACACTCTCCTGTAGAAGCCCAGAGCTTTTCCTTTGCAGCACTTATCATGGCTATAATTCTATATTTCTGCACCTATTTGATTAGTGTTCATCTCCCCATCTTAGCTGAAAACCATATGAGGACAGGGACTGGGTCTGTTTTTGTTTCTAACTGAATCCCTTGTAGTAGTAAGGCAAATAGTAGGTGCTCAATAAACACCTTTTGAAAAGTGAAGGCATGACTGGGTAGATGGATGGGTGGTTAATAGCCTAGATTCTTTTTTTCTGCTGGGGGAAATGCTGCACCATTTTACATTTCCAGCAGTGATATATGAGGGTTCCAATTTTTCTACATCCTTGTTAACACTTGTTATTCAAATATATATATATATGTGTGTGTGTGTGTGTGTGTGTGTGTGTGTGTACGTATATACATATACTTATTTCCATCCTAATGGGTGTGAAGTAGTATCCCATTGTGGCTTTGATTTGCATTTCCCTGGTGACTAATGATAATAGTGCATCTTCTTATGTATTTATAGACCATTTGTATATCTTCTCTGAATAAATACCTATTCAAATCCTTTGCCAACTTCTTAATTGGGTTGTCTTTTTACTGCTGAGCTGTAAGAGTTTTTACGTATTCTGGATACTAGACCTTTATCGGATATGTTTTGCAAATAGTTTAAAGAAATCTTTATCTTTGCTCCCTCTTGAAACTCTCCTAAAATGACAGCAAAATAATAAAATTTGACTCATTCTAACATCAAGGACAAGAAGCAAAAAGACACAGATGAGAGATTTCTAAAAATCTTTTGAAATAGCATTTGCGGGTGTGATCTCTGACTTTGCACATAGGGATAGTCTCAGCTCAAGTGTCCAGAAAGAATGCGACAGCTCACCCTAAAGAATTCTGGAAAAGTCTAGGGCCTTAAAACACCAAAACTGCAGAAGTTGTAGGGAAAACAAAGGGTAAAACATTAGCTTTATTTATATAGACAGTGGATGAACCCTAGGTCCCACCCACCATCCACAGGAAATGAGAGATTTCTTTCCCTTCAGACATTTCTGATTCAGAGGTGTAGAGTGTACAGCAGACAGGTGACAAGAAAGTCTGCGCCCTGAGCAGGGCCCTCTGCTGTTTCCTTATTTTGTTCCTAAGTATGGGGATCTGGACACCTCTACTCCAGGCAGAAAGCTAGGAAACGGGATGGTTCCTCTGAAGAAACTGCATAACCTCAGAAGAAAGTCTTCTGATCCTGGCGCTGGGCTGGAGACTAGGCTTGCATGCAGTCTGATCACCCCTGCTGAGGCTGACTAGTTCGAAAGCTCTCCGCATACTCAGAGTGGAGAGACATACCCCTAGACCCAGCCCCCCACCGCACAAATGTGCATATGCATTAGTTTAATCGCCACAGAGAGAAAAGAAGATGTATTTCAGCCAAAAAACACAAGGACAGAATGTCACTGAAAAGGAGCAACAGAAAATAGAAAAGCAGCCTTGAAAATTAAAAATATAACTAAAATTTTCAAAAATTACATAGCAGAATTAGAAGATAAAGTATAAGAACTCTCCTAGAGAACAGAACAAAAAGTCAAAAATAGGGATGAAAGGGCAGATGAGATAAGAAAATGAGATAATTAATCCAGAATTCCATAAAGGGAAATGAGAGACAAGAGCAGGAAAGGAACTATTAAAGAAATATTACATTAAAAATTTCCAGACTTTAGGCACAATAATCATCCAATTCAGGAAATGGGAAAAAGATCCACATCAAGGCACATCAGGGATTTTAAAAAAGATTCTAAAAGCCTCCAGGGAGGGACAAAAAATGGTTCCACATGAAGGATTGGGATGCATAATGCCATTAAACTTCTCAAGAGCACAATGGGAGCCTATGACAATGGAACAATGCATTTTAAAGAATGAGGAGAAATAATTTTGAATCAAGGAACTAATATTTCTAACCTATCAATCAAATTTGAAAGCAAATATTTTTAGATGGGTACAAGCTGAAAAAATTTGCTTCTCAAGCAAGTGATTATTGGGAAGCTACTGGAGGATGTGCTTAAGCAAAAGAGGAGAGAAAACAGGGGGAAAAAAGAAGAGGAGGAAGATAATAGATCCAACAAGCCAGAGAAATAGTCAAAAGAATCATAGTGGGAAATCAGGAATGTAGTCCATACCCAGTCCAGAATAAAGGAGAAGGATGTAGAGCTATAGAAGAGAGGTTGCTAGGAAGTCAACAGAATTGATAGAGCATCTGACATGCTTGGCCATTTAGAAAATGTTGTTCATAGGCTTTACAGATCCACTGAACGATATAGAGAAAAAAAATAAGTACATAAAAAATGAAGTAAATGGAAAAGACCAAGGCAATGATTAACTCCAGGAAAAATAAAAACTTGTACAAGCAATGAAAAGATGAAAGTACCTCCCTGCCTCAGCAGTGATTGATATTTACATAGTCATAAATAATATAACCACTGGCTACTTATTTAATTTCTGAAATAACATATTAGAAGAACAGGTAAAATGGCAAGGTGGTGGTGGGGCGGAGGGGGGCAGTGATCAGTAAGAGGGCTAAATTCTCATGTAACCTAATAGAAAGTCAATAGATCATTTCTAACACTTATAAACCAAGAAATTGAAGCATAAGCATGTTAGTTAGAAATAACAGGGTGAGTACTCAGGATAAACACTGAACTAAGTGTTTGTCTCTGGGGAGTGGACATGGGGGTTGGGAATGTGGAGGGAAAAAACCGATGATTTTTACTGCCAGACTTGGAGCATTATTTTACTTAAAAAACAATTTGAAAATCAATTACAAAACCATAAGGAGGCTCCTTCTGAAATGTGTGCTGTGAGACCAAGAATTGAAAGTTTCCATTCCATTTACCTGTGAGGAAAGTGACAGTGACATTCATATTCCCACAGGATGTTAATAACTCAGGGCTCAGTAAGTTCCCACATTGTCCTCTCTCCCAATACACACACCCTGCATTTATGAAAACCTTTGTGCTTTAGAGAAAAAAGGAGAAAACAAATGTGTGGAAATCCAAAATCACAGCCCAAAGCACATATTTATTTGTATCACAGACAAATCCTCAGATTTGGTTGGAGAAACTTAAAATCATTAGTGTCTACATTAGTGTCAAATGTGTTATCCGCAGTGTTTTCCAGTGGAGTAGCACATGTTTCAGAAATAAGTGGGAGACCAAAAGGAGGGAGCCAGAAAGCCAGGAAGTGTGACTCAGACATTTGCTTTTAACTTTAATTAGTCAGCCCTGCCAATTTACTTCTCGGAAGGGGAAGCTCATCTCCTACCCTCTTTCTTCTAGAGCAATTTCAAGTTAGTCTCGCCCAAGAAGTGAGCCACTTCGTTGCCGTTGTATGTCTGATGAGACCTGCCCACTTGGTACTGTTCATCAACATTCGAGCTGCACATCAGTCAGCAAAAATATATCGATCACTGTCTTTCTTTATCCTCACACCCTTTCATAGGACTTCCTAATGCTAGTGGATTTTTCAAAGCTAATCCAAGTCCCAGAAGGTTGCTAAAAGAAATGATGGTGTGTATATTGGCTCAGAAACAAAATTGCAAAGTGCTTTCCAGTTGGTAGACTTGCAGAGAAGATGCACAGAAGCACAGACCAAATTTGATTCAATAAACATTTATTGGGTGCTGACTACATGCTATTCTGCTGGGTTATAGAAGTGACTGGGACCTGAAACTGGCCCTCAGTTATCCCAATATTGGATCATAACTCTTTTCCCAGTCTCCTCTTTTCTGCCCCACATACTGGGGGAGCCCCACACTGTCTTCTGGGCAGGAGGAAAAACGAAGGGAATGGGCCGGTCTCTCCAGCTTGGGGTTTCTTCTGTTAATCTGAGAGAAGGGAGGATAGAGTCCAGCAGAAGCCAGTGGAGTGTGTGTGTGTGTGTGTGTGTGTGTGTGTGTGTGTGTGTGTGTGTGTGTGTGAAATGGGTATTTATCCCTTTTAAATACTACTTTGCTAGTTTTCTGTATCCTAGATACAAAATGGCCTTTGATGGTATTTTAAACAATGCCTTTAGAAAGAATTCCACTCTGAGACCCCAAATCATACATACACAGAGGATTTGTTTAGCTAACTTTCCTTGTTAGGGGGACCAGGCTTTCAGAGTATTCCATGTAGCTGTTCCCCCGAACTACTCAAACCCTCTCAGTTTCTATGTTTTTCTCTGTAAGCCCTTCCTCTCCCCCTCCTCCAGCATATGCCATTCTCCCAAGCCCAATACAAAGAAAGTTCCAGTGGCAGCTGCCAGCTATCGCTCAGGCATATTTCTATTGGTTATCAATGGTGTTTCTTCTGTCCAGTCCTTTTTCTGGGTCTCGGGTATGGGGAGGGGGAATCCTCACTATGGATGACTATAACCTGGACACAACCACTCAGACCCTTTATGGCCCCCAGGCCCTTATGCACCCAGCAGTTGCCATGGCATTACTTTGCTCCCATCCCAAAGGCAACGAGCATTTGAAACATGGAGGAGGTTGAAGATTCTCCAACTGGGGTTTCCAATTTCTTGGAAGGGTATTGGAGGTAAAGTATCAATTTCCAGAATGTTAAAATATAAATACCTTGAATTTGGTCATCCAAGCTATTAACGGTATATCACTCATGGTCCAATCAGGAAAATAGAAAACCATCTAGGTATATTAAACAGAGAGAATTTAGTACAGAAAATTGAATACAACGGCCCTGGAAGGGCTGGAAGAGCAATAAGGAGAAGGAGTGCTACCCAAAGATCAGTATGGGCTCTGCCCATGAGCCCACACCTGCCACTGTGCTGGGAAGATGCTGACGCAGAAGATTATTCTTAGACCAAGCCTGGAACTGTGGAAAAGGGCTGCCTTGACTCCACTGCTGAATCTGGAATCCTACTGCCACCATAGCACCACCAGCTACTGTCACAATATGGGAGCCAGAAGCAGATGGCTTCTCTTCTCCTCCCATTGATCTTCAGCCAATGTCTCCATTGGCCGAGCCTAACAGACAGCCTGCCAGCAGGGATTCTGGGAATATAGTTTACGGTCTTCCAGCCCTGAACTTACAGAACAGCATATAGAAGGGTGGGGGTGAAAGACAACAGAAATAACCTGCACAGGGAAACACCCATCCTAAATTTTGATCTGTTGCTTAGCACAGATCCTCTGATGTCCAGGAAGCTTGATGCTAAGGCATTGGGGTCTGCACTGGAAAAGCTCCTCTCATTGCTGCAACTAACCATGATATGACAGCATCATCCTTCAGGGCAGTTGGAATCTTAGGCCCTAAGGCCTGGAGGGACTCAGCTTTTCTGCTGGAAGACACATACAAGTTTTCTGTGTGCCTTAGTCAATTGGGCTGCTATAATAGAATACTAAAGCTGAGTGGTTTATAAACAACAGGAATTTATTTCTCACAGTCCTGGAGGCTGGAATCTGAGATCAGGATGCCAGCATGGCCAGTTCTGGTGAAGGCCTTCTTCTGGGTTGCAGACTGCGACTTCTTGTATCTTCACATGGTGGAAAGAAGTGTGAGAGCTCTTCCGGGTCTTTTTCATAAGGGCACTAATCCCATTCAGGAGGGCTCCACCCTTATGACTAATTACCTCCCAAAGGCCCTGTCTCCTAATACCATCAACTTTGGGGTTAGGATTTCAACACAGGAAGTTTGGGTACACGCAAATATTCGGCCCATAACACTACATGTTTATGAAAGGTGGCTCTGAAGCCAATTTTGTACAGCTCCATTAAAAAAAGACAAAATGAAAACATATTCTTTCTCTTAAAAATTTCTTTAGAAAACTATAAAAATATGATCTTATATAAAACATTGGCTCTTTGTATGACAGAAAGAGAATATTTGGCAAGACAAGACACTATAGGCTTTGTTACCCCACATCAGTGCCCAGCCTATAAGGGATTGTTTCAAAAATACCTCTCTTTTCTGAGAGTCAGATGAATTATAGAAACACAGAAACACCATCCAAAATGTTTTTTTTTTTAACTTAAAAGTACATATTAGAGTTGTTTTGTCATTTTAAGTTATTTATGTTTACCACTGGGAAATGTTGAAAAGCATAAAGGAAAAAATTATTATAAACATTTTGGTGTATATATCCCTCTAGTCTTTTCTGACATATAGAGAAAAAAATCTATAGTTTTACTTTTACAGTTTAAAAATCAAAGTGAATTATGTATAAATTATTTTTAAAATCTTTTCCTACTTGACAACATGCCATTAAACCAACTTTCATGACATAATTTTTGAATAGTTCCTTGTATCAAAAGAGTTGCACTGGGCCGAGCACAGTGGCTTATGCTTGTAATGTCAGCACTTTGGGAGGCTGAGGCTGGAGGATCAGTTGAGGTCAGGAGTTCAAGAGCAGCCTGGCCAACATGGCAAAACCCCATCTCTACTAAAAATACAAAAATTAGCCAGGCATGCTGGTGCATGCCTGTAGTCCCAGCTAGCAGGAGGCTGAGGCTTGAGAATCACTTAAACTTGAGAGGTTGCACTGAGCCAAGATCGTACCACTGCACTCTAGCCTGGGCAACGGAGCAAGACTCTGTCTGGAAAAAAAAAAAGAGAGAGAGAGTAATGTAATCGGCTTTATAGGTTGAATATTTAAAGTACTTCCTGGTTTTCTACTAATGCTATGATGAACATGAAGAATTATTTTTGCAGGACTTTGATTATTTCCATAGGATTGTGGAATAGTCCAGAGAGAATTGTTGAGTCAAAGTGAGTCAAAGGACATGAATGACTTTAAGGCTTTTGATGCACAGTGTCCAATATCATCCAGATGCACTGAACCAATTTCTACTCCTACAAGGCAGTGCACCAAAGTGGTTGCTTCTCCAAATCTCACTGATTCTAGGTCCTGTCATTTAACAAAAAACAAAATAAACAAACAATAACAACAGAATACTTGCAAAGGCCATGTAAAAGCATGGTTTCACTTGTCCAAACAGAATATTGAAAAGTTAAATGCCATATTTTACTGATTCTAAGATACATCCTTTCTTCTTCATATTTTAACATCTCTGATAACAGTGGGGTTGAGCACATGTTTTTGCTTATGCTCATTGTCCATGTGTTCCAGTTTGGATGAAAAATAGCACATTTCTTTCTAGGGTTCTAGTTTGGATGAAAAATGACATGATTATACTAGAAATCCACTAATCACAGTGTGGCTGGCTCTGACTTTGGACAGAACTGGGCACTATGAGAGTCCTTTGGAGGGGATCCCAACCCCCTTCTAGACAGCCAGAGATAGCTAAGTGGAGACTGAAGGATGAGAAGGGATTCATCTGGTGGAGACTGTGGTAAGAAGAACAGTCAGGTTTAGCAGAGGGCCTCACCTAGGCAAGGGCTTGAAGGTAGCTGGGACACTCATGGACAAGAGCTATGTAATGGGAGTAGCTACATCAGAGTAGTGCAGTAGTTTTGGCCATGGATCTACTTTTATGAGCTGATAACCTCTGTAGAGCTGTGTTTGGAATGTGTGACTCTGCTGACCAGAACTGGGCTACCCATATATACAGTACAAAACGAACGGGAGACTTTGCAATGAACTGGTGAGCCTAGATGGCCAAGAAGGAGAGTAAATCTGGATCAGAAGACAGAACCAAATTAGAAATTCAGGGCTGGCTGGGTGTGGTGGCTCAGGCCTGTAATTACAGCACTTTGGGAGGCCAAGGCAGGAGGATCACTTGAGGCCAGGAGTTTGAGATCAGCTTGGGAAATATAGTGAGACTCTGAATCTACTATTTAAAAAAAAATTGCTGGGTGTGGTGTTGCATGCCTGAAGTCCCAGGTATTTGGGATGCTAAGGCTAGAGGATCACTTGAACCCAGGAGTTTGAGGTTGCAGTGAGCCGTGATTGCACCATTGTACTCCAGCCTGGGCGATGGAGTGAGACCCTTTCTCAAAAAGAAAAAAAAAGGAAGAAAATTCAGGGCTGAGGTTTGTGCTGGGGCTGATTTAGTCACTGTGCAGCTCATGTGGCTGTGAAAGCAGACAGATATTTGTGGCATCCTAGAGCTGCTGAAGAAGGAACCAAATAGCTCTCTAGCCTATTCTGCCAGGGCACCTCCTACCTCTTTGAAGGTCATAGACCTAAATCCAGCTGCCCCTGGAAGTAATTTTCAATTCTTGTGTCAATCTCATTTAATAAAAATAATGGAGATATTTATTGACTCCAGAGGCTTTCTTCTTCTTTGGTTTTTCTAGGGTATCTGTATTAGTCCATTCTCACACTGCTAGAAAGAAGTACCTGAGACTGGGTAATTTATGGAAGAAAAGTGGTTTAACTCATGCACAGTTCTGCAGGCTGTACAGGAGGCAAGGCTGGGAACGCCTCAGGAAACTTGCAGTCACGGCTGAGGGGTGAAGGGGAAGCAAGCACATCTTCACATGGTGGCAAGAGACAGAGAGAGTGAAGGGGGAAGAGCTACACACTTTTAAACAACCAGATATGTGAGAACTCACTCACTATCATGAGAATAGCAAGGAGGAAATCTACCCCCATGAGCCAATCACCTCCCACCAGGTCCCTCCCCGAACATTGGGAATTACAATTTGGCATGAGATTTGGGTGGGAACACAGAGCCAAAAAGTATCAGTATCTTTCATGGAGCAGGGTCATGTCTCCAAGAAGTGCCTGTCTCTCTTCAACTCATCAAAAGTCTGGTGCTGCTTCTGGGGCCACCACTGACTAATAGCTGGAGTAAGTCACTTGAAATTTTTTCCATTGGTAAAACAGCTGAAAGCAGAAATATATCCCACTTCACTGGCAAATAACTGTAAGAGGTTACTCAGGGCCATACAAGGTCAGTCTTTCCTCTCATTCGCTTTTAGGCTGTGTCTATATCATGGTGAAGGAGAAACACAAAGGTTATATTTTTTCTCCTATTCACTGCATCACCCCATACTACACTGTGTATGGACAGAGCTCCAGAATGGGAAGTCTGGCTCCGCCACTGACAAGCTGCATGCCTGGAAGAAGTCTTGAAACTCTTTCAAATCTGTTTCCTCATCAGTAAAAGAGGAATAATAGTACCATGGTAGACACTGCTCCCCCTCTACATCCATTCTTCCTCCTTTCTTACCCACAAGACCCCGACCTTGTTTGGAAAGGCAGTGGTTCCAGTTAAGATGCTCCACTCCCCAGCCTCCTTTGTTGCCAGCGGTGATCGCATGATCAGCCCCTGCCAATGGGATATGACCACAAGCTTGCTGGTGTGGCTTCTTATAAATAGAGACAGACCCAACTGGCGCAGGCCTTTTACTCTCTGCCCTTCTCTTTCTTCTCGCCTGGAACACAAATGCTGTTTTGGGGGAGGGCATTCATCTTTCAACAAGGAGGTTGGGAACCACCTGCTCAGGGATGGTGGTTTACAGTCTTGGGTTCCTGATGATTCCTAAGCAGCTGTACCAGCCCTGGGCTGCTACATGTCTAGAATTTTTCATCACATGAGGAAAAGAAAACCCTTATTTTGGTAAAATCACTCTACCTGGGTTTCTTTCAGTGGAGGGTGCAACTGAAACAAAGCGGCTATGAGGACGAAATAAGACAAGGATAGAAATTGCCCATTTCACGGTCAAGGTGACTACCCGCAGGGAGATGCTCTAGTTTGCAACCTCTGAGAGGTTGGCGGATAAATGGCACAGATTTTACTGGAACCCAAAGGGCAAATCATTTCCAGCTCAGAGTGAAATCTGCATCCAGAAATCCTGCGCTCTTGCGTTCTGACCCTATCAGCCTCTGCCTTCCTCTCTTTGCTTTCTACTGGTGGCTTTGGCCCTGTGTGAAATAACATGAAGGTTCTGCAAAAAGAATAAGGCTCAATCAAATGGAGAATTTGAAAAGAGTGTTAATCAGGTTGGAGTTGGTTTGGGGGTCACAGAAAGCTAAGTTAAAGAGTGGGCCACCAGGGCAACTGCTTAGATGTCCAGAGAGGAAGGAACACTTAAACATATCTCAGAAAACGTGCTGCCCCTTAACCCAGGTTTCCAAACATGACATCTGGTGTGACTGGTAAAATGTAAATTGGGCTTACTTTGGGGCGGGAGTTGGGGAGTTGGGGAGGAAGATTGTTCTCAAGCCGAAATAAAGTACCCTCCCTCCCTCAACTCTATTGAGGTTTGTTACAATTGACAAAAAGTAGTTGGCCCCATTCCTGCCAAGGAAGGCAGGAGCTTGAGAAGAAATATACTGCCAAGACTGGCTGCACTCTGTTGTGCGTTTTTGTCATTTACTTGTGAGAGGTGGAATGTTAGCGGCAGGACCACCGACTACAAGTCTAGCCAGCTGCTCTGGGTGAGTTTAGCAGCTATTGTTGCTGAAATTTTGAAACAGAAAAATGTATAGTGGCAGGAATGGTTTATTATCTAAATATTTAAATCAAGCCTAATGCTGCCCAATTTTTCTGGTCCAGAAAATTGCATATAACCAATGTGAATAGTTACTTTAATTTTAAACATAGAAAAATATGTGTTTATTAATAGAAAATTAGTTTATCACAGCCTCTACAAACTGAATGTTGAATAGATATTTTTTTAAAATGTTATTTGAAGGAGTGCCAAAATAGTAGCTTAAGTGCCTCATGAGAACTTAGTGGGGAGAATTAATGATAACAGCTGATGGGGAACCAGGCTTTGGAGCTCCGCACTATCATATACACTTTACATAGGTTAACTAATTTAAATCTCAAAACAATTTATGAGCTACAATTATTTTTCATATTTTACAGATGAGTTACACAGCTAATAATAAAACTTGTTTTTTTCATATTTAAATATAATCCTTAATGGGAAGTCCACAGGAGGAAACCTAAAAATGCCTGTGGCCCAGTTAACAAATGTTTTCACTGTCTCCATTTTATTTTTATTTATTTTTGTCCCTTTAATCTAGAGTATATTTCTTCTGCTTTAATACAGCTCACAAGCAGCATTGGGGAGAGAAAATAACTCTTTGGTCAGGGAGAAAATGAGGTAGAAAGCAGGAGCAACTTTTCTTGGCTCTTAGGAGATTAATCGTCATGGATATTTAATATAGGATTAATAAGTGTTTTAACCAAGCCATTTAAAAATGTGCCAAACCAGCAAGGAAGAGGGAAAATGAATTCATGATCTGAAATTTGGGGAATAAAGCTTTTTCTCATTAGCAAATGCTTTCTTTTTGTAATGTGAATAAATCTAATGAAGGTCAATTATACGTTTTATTAAATTTTACAAAACCAGCATTATGGATACCCCTCTGCTCCACAGTCCCTCGCTTCGCCTCCTGAATTTGTATTCAAATTGCTTAGGATTTGGATTTCTTCTGTTGGAATACGGGTACAATTTATTCCACATCTGTGTTTGCCACTAACCTTTTACTTTGGAGGTCTCTTGGATATGATTATCTGAAAAATTGTGACACAAACCAAATCCCAATGGTAGGTAATATGGTTTTGAGGAACAAGGCCCCGGAGTCATCTGTGAGTAGGGAGCAAGATGAAAGTAAGGTGGCAAGAGGAAGAGTGGGGGAGGTTGAGTATTCCTGGCAGCCTCCACTTCCCTTTTTCCTTTCAGCTAACAGACTCTGAGCATGGGCCGTGTGCTGAAGGCAAGTGACCCAGGCCTTGCCCTTCAGAAATTCACACTCATTTAAAGGGAGGCTCAGTTCCTTCCATCAGGGAGGGTTAGGTAGTGATTGTGTGGCTTGACTAATCCATGCAAAGCCTCTCCCAGGTAGGTAAATTGGAGAATTCATTAAAGGTCATCAGCAGTGATGTGACAACCACATAGTTTTGCCTTTGTCTTCTGGATGATCTGGATAATTCCCAATGTTGCTTTCCTCTAGTAAGGGGTACCTGACTTTGTAAAACCCAAGGCCTACTTTACCAGAAGCTTCCACTACCACAAACTTGGCTGTGGGAAATTCTGAGTCTAACTTTTGCCACGTTAGGTCCTCAGAGTCTGTGAACATTTCTTCCCTTGAATACTGTTAGCTTAATTTCCATTTAGAAGAGAGGAAAGAGATTGAAAATCCCACTCCGCTTGCCTCCATGCCAAACGACCATGACTGAAGATGCCACTAGATATTTTGAACAATTATTCACCTTTGTTGCCTTACTAAGCGACTCTCTCTTTCCCCATATGTAATCTGGAGCATCTGTGGATTCACAGACCCCCAAACTTTATATTTACCATGGAGGGGCCACTGGCTCACATTCAAGAGACTAAGTACCTTGAATGCAGTTCAGTTATTGGGAAGGTCCTTCAATATCATCTTGGTCCAGTCCATTTTTCCACTACCTTTTCTGGGATTATTTTGATTATTATAATGTTTCCTTGTCTTTTGTTCTTAGGCAAATAAAAGAAAATTCCTGTGTCCCCTATTAGATTTTTCTTTTCTCTCTCTTTCTTTTCTTTTCTTTCTTTTTTTTTTTTTTTTTTTGAGATGGAGTCTTGCTCTGTCACCCAGGCTGGAAGGCTGGAGTGCAGTGGTGCCATCTCAGCTCACTACAGCCTCTGCTTTCCAGGTTCAAGAAATTCTCCCACCTCCGCCTCCCAAGTAGCTGGGCCTACAGGCATGCACCAACACCCCCAGTTAATGTTTTTGTATTTTTAGTAGAGACAGGGTTTCACCATGTTGGCCAGGCTGGACTTGAACTCCAGACCTCAAGTGATTCTCCCTCCTTGGCCTCCCAATGTGCTGGGATTACAGGTGTGAGCCACCATACCCGGCCATTGGAATTTCTAATCAGCTGTCTTTTCTGGTCTTTCACGTATTAGGAGAGTTCCTTTAAATGAATTGCTAAATAGGTTGAAGCAAGGTAATTTGGGTAATTATAAAATCCCCCAACAACAAAACACCGAGCATCGTACACATGTAAAAGCCTAGGTGACCCCGTACACGTTCATAGATGATGCCCTTGGGCCTTCCTCCATGGCTAAGCCTCAGCTCAGCATAATTTTCCTCCTGGAGCCACTCTGCATCCCCTGGCGATTCCCTTGGCAATAAGGGGAGAAGCGTTTTTGCTTCCTCTGATTATGGGCCTCAGCTCCTGTCAGTGAGTGACTTGGGAAAAACAGAACTGGAAGCAGGCCCTCCTTGGTGACTAGGCCTTTTCCTGGCTGCACTGGGAAAGTGGGAGTGGAATGCTGATGCTTTCTGGACTCTTCCTGATGTCACTACAGGGGTCAGACCAGCAGGACTGAAGGCAGCTGTCAGGCTCACAAAAGGCACAGGATTTTGTTCGCTGGCATATGTCTGTTCTCATCATGACTGTTCTTGAAATCATAATTTTCCCCTTTTCCTTCCCATTAACATCATTTCACCTGGGCACATTGAGGTGCTAAAAAATAATGACAGTGTATAATTATTACTATTTAGCTTCAATAGGGTTAGATCTAGATTTGTTTAGTGGTTTTGGAATCAGCTCTGATTCAAGCTGTATCATTTGCCTCTTGGCTACTGCCCTACACCCTCCCAGCCCTGAGTGCAGACACAGGTATGGTGGACAGTCCTGGGTGAGCCTTGAGTCCTCACGCCACTTGGTGCTCCTGGCCTCTCTCTGCCAGCCACATGTTCTCTGCTTCCTTCTCCAGGGCTTCCCCTAGCTCAAGGGTAGGTATGTGGCCCCCACACCTGTGGCTGGTGTGGTTCTCTGGGAAGCAGAGTAGCATGCAGGGTGCTTATTAGGAAGTGCTCTGGGTGTCAACCCTGAGGAAGGCGGTTATGGAGGCAGGTGTGGGCAGAGGAAGAAATTGAGCTGTGATGCAGTCCCATAAAGGCCTGTGCTGACCCCTTAGGAGCTCTGGAGCTGGGAAGGCCCTGCAGTTGCCCAACTTAGAGTGACAGGCTAGGCTTCTATATTGCCAGTGTTGAGCAGCGTGTGGGCTTCCCCCTGGAAGGAAGCATGGCCTTGGATGAGGCAGTGTTCATCACTAGAGGCATCTCCGGGAGGGCTGGCGTCTCGGGGCATTCTCAGGCAGCACCCCTGGAAGGGCAGCTGTGGAAATAAGCCTTCATCTCTGCTGGTGAGTCTGGGGTTATCTACGGCACCCACCATAGATGCTCAGCCTGGAGGTGTAGGAGAGTTTCAATCCATGGGGGGTGGGAGCTGGTGGATGAATGCTTCCGGCTATGGGAGAAGCTTCTGGCCTTGGGAGCATCCTCTACGCTCCCAAGAGGTCTATCCCAAGCTGCTGTTAGTGATGACCTCAATATGGCAATTTTCCAGTGGCTTTCCCTCCCTCCCTTCTCACTCTTCCTCACTATGGCTCCCTGGAATCACCTCCCAGGTAAACCCACCTGCACCCAAGTCCCCCTCTCAGGGTCTGCTTTTGGGGTGGGGAGGACCCAGGTGAAGACACACGTGCAGACTGATGCTTAATAAAGACTTTGTAATAATAATGTTTATACTTACAAATGAAAATGCCAAGCTCGGACTGATCATCAGAGATTATTACCAACCGCTCTATTTCTTGAATCAAAGTTTCCAAAAGCCTAAAGAGGGAATGGTAGAGGGAAGAGGGTAGGAATGAGATTGTGAACAAGAATTAAGAACTGGGAAACCAGGGGAGGAGGGAGAAGAAGCAGCAGCTGGAAATGAAGATTCAAAATTGATCTGGATTCAAATCTCATTCTATTTCTTAAGATTCTGGATGGGCAATTCATCCTTCTGAGCCTCAATAGCACCAAATCTATAAAATGGAACCAAAGCTAGAAACCCCATGATAGAGTTGGTTGAGTGACAGCAATCCTGGCTCCTGGCACAGTTGCTGTCACACAGGAACCGTTTCATAAGTGGGAGTGTAAGGGGTTTACTATTTCTGGGGCTATTAGCTGATGTACTTTCACTTCCTCCTTTATCATGTCCTTTGGAGCCTTCCACTGCTAAGGCTGAAGTGAACCAAGAGGTTTATTACCCCAAGGAAGGAGAAAAAGATGTCATTGATCAACTTGAGACTTAAAGCCAGCTTGTTCATATTAAGACAATTGTCTGAAAACCTGGGCATTAGGGATAAAAAATACCTTTTAACTCCTTTTAGGCCACTCAAGAGTACAACTTGGGAGATAAGTCCCCTAAGGTTGTATTAGGCACAGAGTATGACACAGAGGAGTGGGAAGCTCCCTGTGGATTACAGGAAGCAGGAGGCAGAGCGGGGAGCAGATGGGGAAGTACAGAGGTCCTGTTCTCTTTTCTCTAGGCAAAAGCCTTGGTGGGAAGATGGTGCGTTATGCAGGCAGAACAAGAGGAGGGCTTTTGTTTCCCTCTGGGGGCTGTGCTTGCCCTGGGCCCATTGCCCTCAGACTCATCCCTCCCCTGCCTTGCCCAGCTCTGGATCTGGGCATCTGCTGCCAGCAGCGTTTCCCAGTCTCCCGTGTCAGCTAGGTTCTGCTCATGGGAGGCCCTGAGGGAAGGCTGGCTGCCAGAGGAAGGGACAGGCCGGGGTATTTCCCTTTGCCTCTCTGCTTCAGCTGGGCCTTCAGCAGCCAATGCATCTCCTCCGTGGTTTCAGGTCCTATTGGTCAGGTCTGCTGTGGTTTCAGCATTCCCAGGTGACACCAGTCCCCAGGCTCTGCTAACCTTTCTCCTTTTGTCACTCTAGCCTGAGGGTCGTGGCAGCCACTGTTAATCCTGGGCGTCTTACCCCACCCTGCTCAGCCTCTTGGCTCTTCCATCATCTGTGTCACCACTGACCAGTACTAGAACCCCTCTGTTTTAGATCGCCAAGGAGTTTCTGTTTTCTGGTTGAATATTGGCTCCAGCAGGAATCTAGGAGAATGTTTCTTACCCGGCACCCATGTGGAACATACCACTGAGGAAGGCAATAGTGCCATGTGGTCTTTTCAGAGAACTCCTAGATTCTCAGAGCCCTTGTGGTGTTACATGCCCTAGAGGGCTGAGGTTTGGCTAGAAGGGATCACCACCATGGGGGCTAGAAGTCTGGACACTGGGGCTGGGAACTGAGCCCCGGGCTGCAGCCCTGGCAAAGCAGCAGGAGAATCACCAGGCCCTTGGAATAAACCAAGAGAGTGTAGATCCCAAGCCTCAGCAGCCACAGCCTTGGCTGATGCCAGCAGGGTAGGCAGTGGCCAGGTGGACAGGGGATGCCAGGTCTACAGAGGCAGGTCCCCCTCTCCCTCCCCCTCTGCCACCTGCACACAGTAAACTCCTCATGCATCCAATAGCCGTCTTGGAGCGGAGAAGGGAGGAGCAGTGGAAACTCAAAGGAGGCTGCTTAGACTCAGAGGGACTGAAATATCACCTATTGACACGGTTAGGTTTCTTTGCTACCTATAGGATAAAGGGCCCAAGAGAAAGGATGGCTCAGCATGTGACTAAGAAGCTACATTTTACTTGCCATAACTACTATTATATTATCACAAACTTATTAATAATAGAGTGAGCACACAGAAAGCACTTGCTTGCCAGCTTTACCCATCCCTTCATACCCTTTGCAGGGCTTTGGATATGGCACGTCTCTCCTGATCTTCCTTCCATTGTGCTTTCTGTAGTTTGGCACTTTCAAGCAATGGGACTTTGGGCAAGCCATGTAACTTCTGTGAGCCTCAGTTTTCTTATCTGCAAAGCGGAGGTAGTCAAGAGCATTTTTGCAATCTGAGTATTCTTAGAGTCCTCAGAGAATTAGGGTGACCATGGTGAGCAGAAGTAAACATAATGAAATAGTCACCTCTGAATGATCATGTACAAAATTGGGTCCCATTGAAATGCCCTTGTCTGTGCCTCTTGTAAAGAGAAATCACAATATCTGCAAAGAGGCAGGATTTCATAAAGATAATAATTGTGAAGTTGGAGAATTGCAAAAGTTACATGCAAAGTTAGCAAAAACTAAAATTCTTCAGCTGAGCCTTCAGCAGCCCATGCATCTCCTCCGTAGCTTCAGGTCCTATTGGTCAGGCTTGCTGTGGTTTCAGCATTCCCAGGTGACACCAGTCCCCAGGCTCTGCTAACCTCACCTTCTCCTTTTGTCACTAACCTGAGGGTGGTGGCATTAACTGGAGTTAAACCAGTTAAAAGTTGAAAAAAATGGGATAGGAAGTTATGGGGACAAAAGTAACCCTTGATTCATTCTTGATTCTAAGAACTGGCCATCATTGTTCATTCATTCACTTAACAAATATTTATTGCACAATTTTTGGCTCTGAGCACTAGAAATACAGCAGACCAGAGCTACACTGAAAATTAAATTTTGTAAAATATGAGATAAAACCTATCTTGTTTTTAGTTTCACTTTTCAAGTTTAAGAATACTCCATTCTTTTTTTTTTTTTTTTTTTTTTTACTACTTGAAATGACATTTTGGTCCTCATTTTAAGCGGATTTACTTTAAGAGGTCTTTTCCAGGCACAAGTCACCCTGTTTTATTCTTCCTGACTCTCAAAGTGTTTTAGAGAATCAAATGACATTCACATTTCATATTTTCTACCCAACACGACAATGAAAAGTAGCTACCCTTAGGAACCTGCTCCTGTAGTTTGGTGTGGCTTCTTGCAAAAACGGGTCCTCCCTTTTTTAAACGATTATTTCAGGCACAGAAGGAGCTTAGGTTATGTATCATATTAGCATTATTGCTCTGTAGGAGTCATCACTCTGGTTCACTTTATTTATTTTCCTTTTTATTCCTGATCCCTTTTATTCCTTTCCCACAGACACCCACTGCAATGGGTCCAATAAAAATCCTTAAATGTATGTTTCCTTGTGGACTATGTAGTGCCATTTTGTGTTTTAACTTGTGCATATGGCATTGGGTAAGGGACCTTGCTCAGTTTCTTTCTTTTTTCACTCAACATCCTGTTTAAGATGTATCCACATCACTGTGCCCCCAGTGTAGCGCTGACTGCTGCAGAGCATGTTGTGGGTCCATCCACACTGATTCACTGCCCCAGGGATGGGCCCCTGGACAGCCTCTAATGCTCTACCACCCAAATGACACACAGGTGAACACCTTTATACATGCCCCTTACAGACCTGAGTGAGCAGGTCTTTAGGATGTTTATCCAGGAGGTGGGGGTCATTGGTCCCAGGGCACATACCAGATAGGTTTCCTGAATGACTGTCCCAGATTCCCCTCTCACCAGTAGTGTGCAAACCTATCTCCCCACAACCTTATCAACCCTTATTACTCATTATCTTTTGATTTTTCCTCTCTTCTTATGGGTGAGCTATGTTATGTCCATTGTTTTTATTGTATTTATCTGGTTATTAGTGAGTTTGAGAATCTCATTTGTGAATTGACTATACATACCTTTTGCCTAGTTTCTATTTGGGATTTCTGTCTTTTTCTTGTTAATTTGCAAGAGTTCTTTGTAAAGTATAAAAATGGCTTATCTTTTTAAATAATTCCAACTATTTTTCCCCAGGCTGACACCTGTTTATCATGTCTGCCTATTGAACGGAAAACCTTTCACTTATAATGTAGTTGAATCCACTAAACTTTTTGATTTTATCTTTTTCTGCCCATCTCCTGGTTGCAAAGATATTCTCATATATTTTCTTCTATTGTATTCCCTTTCACAATTAGGACTTTAATCAACCCTGAGTTTCCCTGCAGAGGGTGTAAGGCAGGGCTCCAGTTTTACTTTCTTACACATAGTGATCCAATTTCCCACCACCATCAACTAAGCAATCCATCCTTTCCCCATGGCTTTGGTGGTACCACCTTCATCATTATACCTCATCATTATACCAATTTACCATGTAGAGAAGAGCCTGGTTCTCTGCCCTCTATTCCATCCCTTTGTTTTTTGTTTTTTTTTTTGACATCTCATTTTTTTGACATCTCATATCTTTTTAACATATTTCAGGTTTTATATTTTGCTTCATAATATGTTTGCTATGATATATAAATCATAGTTTTTAAGTCAAATATTTAAACTCCAAGGCTATTTAATCTAGAAATAAAGAGTATGGTATTTGCATTACAGGGAGCAGAGTTGACATCCTGCCTTTACCACTCAACATCCATGGGACCTTTTGGAGCAGTTTCCTATGGCTTCTGTAACAAATTATGACAAATTTCATAGCCTTAAAAACACAAATTTAACATCTTACAGTTTCAGAAGTCATAATCTAAAGTAGTTTGACAGGGCTGTGTTCCTTCTGGAGGCTCTAGGGTAGAATCCATTTCCTTTCCTTTTCCAGTTTCAGAAAAGCTGCCCGTATTCCCTGACTTGTGGCACTGTATCATTCTGACCATTGTCACATCTTCTAGGCCTCTCCTGCCTTCTTCCTTCTCTTAAAAAGACCCTTGTGATGACATTGGTTCTACTAGATAATCCAGATAATCTTCCCATCTCAAGATTCTTAACTTAATCACATTTGCCATGCCCCTTTTGCTTTGCAGGGTAACATTCACAGGTTCTGGGGATTAGGACATGGACAATTTTGGGGAGCCATTATTTTGCCTACCACACCTTGGATAGGTAACTTAACCTCTCTAAACATCAGTTTCCTTATCTACAGAATGGGGATGAAAAGGTAATTAGAGTTTCTTTGTTTGGCACAGTGTTGGGAACATAGTGAGTGCTTAATAAGTGGTAGATATTTTTATCCTCATCATGGTCCAGGATGATGCACCATGTACTACAATTGGAGAAATTCAGAGTGGATGAGACATTTTATAAGTGAAATGCTAAATTACTGAAAATAGTCATAACAAATAATTTGATTAGTATTTCAATTCTAAGCCAGGTGTCCTATTAAAGCCCAGGGCTCATCCGGTTGTCATTTTCTAATTGTTATTCCGGTGAGTAAAGTCAAAGTGATTTACTCTGTATTTGAAACATATGACCTTTGATGTTCTCTGAATTCCCTGAATTCATAGGAAACCAAGATTTCACCACTGGCTGTTTTTTGCTTGAGAGTTGGCATTGCATGGTTTCAATAAAGAAAATCACAGAGGACTGAAAGAGTCTTCTGTTCATAAATCAAGTTTTGTGTGTGAGAGATCTCAGGGGACTTCATTTGGCAAAAGGAAGTTCTCTGAATCAAGGCATATTACAATTTGTGTCTAATCAGATTAAGTAGATCAAGGAAGAGGGAGATCATCTTTTCCCTTGCAAGGCTGTATATTTCCAGAGCAAGAGCCATCAATGGGAGAAGGCTGGATGTCAAGAGCAGGATGGGAACACAGTGATGGCATGAGAAAATGGCCAAGTTCAGATATATCACAAAACCAGCACCAAGCACATCACGATCACAGAAAAAAATCATCCTGGTGCAAATCTCAGCATTTTAGAATCCAGAGAATTTACTTTCTGACCCTAGAGTTACATTGCCCATTACATTTCATTATGATATTTACTAGCTGTGGCCTTGGGCAGTGTTTTAATCTCTCTGTGCCTCAGTTTCTCTTATTTTCAAAATAATGATAATATCACCCACATCACTGGTGCCTGTGCAGATTAAATGAGTTAGTCTATTAATGGATTAACCCTACCTGTAACTCAGCCACAGTTAGTTGTTACAACCGTTGGTATTGTCCATCTCTAAAATGATTGTATAATTTCTGAGGCTTATAGGGGTTGGGTGATTCATGCATCATTCTGCTGATAATTAGGGGCAGAGAATCTAGGCTCCCTGTCTAAAACTGCTTCCATTGAGGAAAGATACAGTTATCTGGAAAATCCTATGAGATTTCATGGGAAACATCAAGGGCAATACCTCCCTATTGTAGTATGATTACAAAATTGCTCAGGTTGCAAGTCCTCCAAAAAGGGGAGCTTCCTTGATCTCTGCAGTCAAATTTACTTCTAATTACATGAATTCAGAGCACCATTACTAAGCACGTCTAGCAGACATGAAAGATTAACAGTGTATTATTGGTTAGTGTAGGCTCACTGCTGTAACAAACAAGCCCCAGCATTTTTGTGGCTCAATACAATTGAAGGTCATTTCTCTGCCAAGTAAAGTCCAGACTAGGTATTCCTACTGGGTGGGCAGCTTCCCTCCACATGGTGACTGGGGATCCATGCTCCTGCTCCTTCCATCTTGAACTCTGAAAGTGGCACAAACACTTCCACTCATATTCTGTTGGCTGTAGTTGTCACATGGACATGGTGAACTGCAAGGGAACCTGGGGGAATGTGGTCCTGTGGTATTCCCAGGGAAAAGAGGATAGTTTTGATGACCAGCTAGTTAGTTTCTGCTACAGAAAGTGACATAATTAGAAGAATGTAAACTCAGACCAGATTTCATTTGCCAGCATACCCTTAGGAGAGACCCTTCCATCATCACCCCTTAGATTCAATGAACTGCTCAGCCAGGAAAAAACAAGGTTTGCCATCTGCCCCAAGATCACAAGTGAACTCTGTTGCCCAGGCTGGAGTGCAGTGGCACAATCTTGGCTCGCTGCAAGCTCTGCCTCCCAGGTTCATGCCATTCTCCTGCGTCAGCCTCCTGAGTAGCTGGGATTACAGGCACCCACCATGACGCTTGGCTAATTTTTTGTGTTTTTAGTAGAGACAGGGTTTCACTATATAGCCAGGATGGTCTCAATCTCCTGACCTGGTGATCCACCCGCCTTGGCCTCCCAAAGTGCTGGGATTACAGGCGTGAGCCACTGCGCCCAGCCCAGAAATGTATTTCTCACAGCTCTGGAAGCTGGGAAGTCCAAGATCAAGGTGCCAGCAGACTTGGTGTCCGGTGAGGGCCTGCTTCCTGGTCCCCAGGTGGCCATCTTCTAGCTGTAGCCTCATATGGCAACAGGGGTGAGGGAGTTCTCTGAAGTTTCTTTTATAAGGGCACTAATCTCATTTATGAAGGCCTCATCCTCAAGACCTAATCACATAACAAAGGCCCTACCTCCTAATACCATCATGTTGGGTGTTAGGATTTCAACACATGAATTTAAGGAAGGCACAAACATTCAGTCTATAACACCTTCCCACCTTTGCTACCTTAATATCCTCTGCTCTCTGGCCTTCCCTTCACCCCCTCATTCTTCCTGATGCCAGAACACAAACATATCATCTTCTCTAAATCCTTGGTGATTGTTAGTTCACTTGTGATCTTGGGGCAGATGGCAAACCTTGTTTTTCCCTGGCTGAGCAGTTCATTGAATCTAAGGGGTGATGATGGAAGGGTCTCTCCTAAGGGTATGCTGGCAAATGAAATCTGGTCTGAGTTTACATTCTTCTAATTATGTCACTTTCTGTAGCAGAAACTAACTAGCTGGTCATCAAAACTATCCTCTTTTCCCTGGGAATACCACAGGACCACATTCCCCCAGGTTCCCTTGCAGTTCTCCATGTCCATGTGACAACTACAGCCAACAGAATATGAGTGGAAGTGTTTGTGCCACTTTCAGAGTTCAAGATGGAAGGAGCAGGAGCATGGATCCCCAGTCACCATGTGGAGGGAAGCTGCCCACCCAGTAGGAATACCTAGTCTGGACTTTACTTGGCAGAGAAATGACCTCAAAAAAAAAAAAAAAAAAAAAAGAAAGGAATTTCTGTGGTTTAAAAGCTGTCTGATCTACGGCACTTCGTTAAAGCAGTCTGAGCTGAAATAATACAGAAGGATAAGAGGTAAAATTGCTCTGAAATTTTAAAACATAATTTTTATTATGAAAAATTTTAAGCATAAAGTAGAAAAAAATAGTTTAATGTAAACATTTAATTTTAAAAGGTAAAAATCACATTTCATTATGGAAAATCATTAAAAGAAATAAAAGGAAAATATTTGTAATTCAACCACCTTATTAAAGCCAGGTATTGCTTTGGTGTATTTCCATCTAGTCCTTTTTTTTTTTTTTTTGAGGGGAGGGGCATAAGTTTTTATATAGAGTTGTAAAGAAGAGAAATGGTTATAATCAGAGACTTGGTGGTATGTCCTTATGGGAAGGGGGAGAGGAGAGGGGATGGATTCTTCTGCATGGTTTTACACAGAATCCCTTGCTCTGTGTTCCTCACTTTGGGGGCTAACACACATTTCTGATTCTGTAGCAGGTAGGGAAGCAGGAGGTGGGAGAGGAGTGTGGAGAAACATAATTTAGATCAGTTATACATTCAGTTTGTTAGCAGCTTTGGCAAAAAGGTTCCTGGGAAGAGCAAGTGGAAATGCCTTACCAAAATGAAGTTTAAAAGGTATCTCTAGGCCGGGCATGGTGGCTCAACCCTGTAATCCCAGCACTTTGGGAGGCCGAGGCAGGTGGATCACCTGAGGTCAGGAGTTCAAGACCAGCCTGGCCAACATGGTGAAACCCCGTTTCTACTAAAAACACAAAAATTAGCAGGGCGTGGTGGCGCTCGCCTGCAATCCCAGCTACTCAGGAGGCTGAGGCAGGAGAATCATTTGAACCCGGGAGACAGAGGTTGCAGTAAGCCAAGATTGTGCCACTGCACTCTAGCCTGGGCAACAAGGAGCGAAACTCTGTCTTAAATAAATAAATAAATAAATAAATAAAGGTATCTCTAACACATTCACGCTTGGTATTGAACCCCTGTGCTAATTAAGACTGTAGCGGCAATAGGGAAGGCCAACAAATCAGTGGTTTCCAGAGATTGGGAGTTTATTTCTCACCTTCTGTGCCCTTCAAGTGGGGAAGATGCTAGTCTCCTAGAGGTAACCAGGACTGCACCTCGGCTGCCCGCAGTGGTCACCTGCTCACCAGTGCACTCTGATGCCTGCTTCCCTCTCCTACCTCATTTCCTATAGTGCCCATGAGAATGTGCCTAGCAGTCCTGCCTCCAATTAGAGGGAGTATTGGTAACCAAGGGCCTGGCAATTGCTGCACTAGGAAGCCGAAGGACATGCTTCCCAAGGGCTGCTCCCTGTCAGTGACTGAGCACAGCAGGGACACTCGAATGCAGGTTGTTCTAGGAGATGTGGGGCTCCTCTAACACTGGCTTTGGCTCCAGGGTTCCATGATGGCTTCGCTGACCCTTCCATAGACAGCCTGGCAGTCTAAGACATTCTTTCCCCACCTCTTTCACTCAGGGTCAGACTTGGCTGGAGGTATGAGAGATCTCTGAGCCTCATGTGGCTCCCTCCCCATTCTCCCTCACGTTGATAGTTACCCTAATAAAATCCTTTCATGTGTAATCCCACCTTGGCAACTACTTCTCAGAAGACTCACACTAACACATTTCCCCCACTCTCCTACTAATACTTCCTGGAATCACCTCCCAGACAAACAACTTGTACTCAAGTTTTTGTGTTAGTATCTCTTTCTGGGGAAGCCAGCCTAAAATAAAGGACACTCCAGGGACACTGCACACACCCCTTGCACGAATTACCTTGCAGCAGAATAGGGTTAGGTGGCCACACTGAACAAGGGAGGCTGGGGCATGTAGTCTCCTTCTATGATGGACCATGCACGGCAGAATGGCTATCAGGAAGCCTGGTGGCAGCTGTGGCTATTCCTCCTCCCTCTAGCCTTCAAGGTCAACTTTCTGGAGCAGAATGTGTGGAGTCCTTTGTTAAATCTGTGCTGATGTAAACTGATGGAAACTAACCCAAATCTAACTTCATATTATACTGATGTGCTCCAAGGAAAAGTGAAAAGTGAGTGAAGTTATGGTCTAAACCTAGCCCATCTCTTGAGCCATGTTCCCATTTTTTCCTTTTTAGACCCTCTCCAGAACGTCAGCTGCCCAGAGCCCCAGCTTCCCAAAGCCCCTATTCCAGTGCCTCACCCAAGATATTGATTCATCAGCCTGACTTTCTTCCTCTTGCCTTAAATTGTACCTGTTCCATTACCCAAGATTCTGTACATCACTAATGTGATGAGTTAATTTAACATAAAGACAATAACGTTGGCTAAGGCTTGACTGTGGCAGCAGCCAGATGAGCACATTTGGCCTCTAACCAGAACCTGGAATGCCTTACCCAGAGGATGGAATGGTAGTTTGCCTGTTGACTGTCATTGAGTCCTGGATAATCACATGCAAATGTTATCCATCTTAGGCTTTTTTTTTTTTTTTTTTTTTTTTTTTTTTACGATGCAGATAACAGAAGTCAAGGATCAGGCATGAATAAGCTACCCCACTAGTAAGGATCTTGAAACCCAGTAGCTGAGACTCCATAAGTTCTGTGAACTCAGTTTTCCTCTGGGTCATGTTCCTTAGGATATTTTTTTTCTGTCGTATTCAGGAAAGAAGCCTAGACTCCTTTGATTCAACACTAAACTGTTCACAGTAGTTATCCCTAGAATGAAATTGTAGCCGGGGAGACTGTGAAAGGGCTATTGCTTTTAATACTGTAAAAGGGCTACTACCTTTTAATGTTTCTATAGGGCTTGAATTTTTCATATCAAGCATGTACTCTTTTGGTAACTTTTGAAAATAATGTAATTTAGCTGCTATGATAAACCATTTGCCTTGCCCTGTGGCATGGACAAGAAACCTGTCCTATGCATTCCTGAGAAGATCTCTTCATTTTTGGTAAACAATGAAAAAATCCGGTCCTTAATGTCTCTTCTTTTTTCAGAATGCATTTGGATCCTTTCTGCTATTAGCTTTCTTAAACGTGATATGAATTGTCCTGCATCCCTGGTTTCTCTCTGTCCCATGAGTCAGCTGTTCAAATGTATTTTAAAACATTAATTTTTAAGTGAAATTAGAATACAGACCACACTTATTTATCCACAGTGCCTGGGTCTAGTGCCTGGTATAAAATCAACACTTTAAAATGTTTTGAAAAATGGCTGAGAACTCATATTAGTCAAGGGACTCCTAATGACCACGGAGTTGTTTCCATATGGCAGCCACTGCAGGTCTTCGGGGGTGGGAGGTGAGCCTTGAGTTCTTTAAAAGTCTTTCCCTGGGATGTCGACCCAGATACCAAATGCAGTTGGGAAGGGAAAGTGGTAGTCTGGCCAATGGTGTAAAATTAGGTGTAATATATGAGAATACAACTGCTTGTGTCCTACTTACCTAGTCATTGGGCAAGGCAGGTTAGGTCTGAAGGGGAAATTACTGGCCAGAATCTCAGCATTTTACTGCAAGCTTGAGAAACTGAAAACAAAGCAAAACAAAACATAATCAGTTTTTCCTTGTTGTGCTTGTTTTGACAATAATTTGTTTTGACAAACTGACACTCTTAAAGATGGCTTTTCTGATATTTTGTAAGGCCACTGCACTATCTGCCATTTAACATTTTAGAGTAACTTCCAAGTTTCACACCTCTTGAGCGCCTAGCCACTTTTTGCTAGCATTGCTTCATGTTGTGAGAGAAGAGACCACCTAATGTCCTGACGTGCAGTGGTGACAGTAGACACATTTAAGTCCAACCTTAGCCCTTCCAGTTCTGGTCCTGTGACCTTAAGTCTCTGAGCCTCAGTTTTCTAATCTGTCAAATGGTATTAATGATGCTAGCTGTCTCTAGAGCTGTTTTAGGGATTACAGGAGGTAATCTTTTTTTTTAAGCACAGGGGCTGGTGCATAGTAAAGACTCAATAAATGATAACCATTGTTATCATCATCAACATTAAAAGCTTATCAAAGAGGGCCAGAAGGACTTGGGATATGGATCCAGGAAATCTACCACTTTCAGGCCAAGTAATAATCATATTAATAAAACCAGTAGAGTTCTGCTGGGTCATTCTTCTGGGACCTCATGTTCTGTTCTTTGCAGTATTGGGAAGTGGGCAAGGAAGAGGGGCGTGGAGAATGGAGGTGAGGAAGGGGGCTGGGAAGGCAGAGGGAAAATGAGGGCTGCTGATGGTTGGTGGTTCAGAGGCAGCAAAGCCAGCAGTGAGGAAATGGGAATTACCAGGCACTGAGGAGCCCTAGTGCCAGCTCTTTGCTGACATAATTAATGAGGCTGTTGTGCCAAAAACGAGGCATGTTGTTAATATACAGACCTGTTGGGAGCACAAGGGAAATGCAAATAAAAATTTTGCCAAAAGAGGAGTGGGGTCAAATCAGCTCCAGAGGGCGACCACGTTGTCTATAAAACTCTAGTATATGGGAGGCCAGGAGACAGTATGAAGAAAAAGAGAGGAATTGATTTCAAACAGGATCAGTAGCTACTAAATAGTAGACTTTTAATATTCGTGTTTGCTGATTTTTCCTTTTGTGTCTATTTCTTTCAAAGTCTGTTCAGTTGGTGAAATTCACTTGATAATGAAGACTACTTAGGTTGGTGCAGAAGTAATTTAATTTTTTAAAAAAAGGCAAAAACTGCAATTACTTTTGCACCAACCAAATAAAATTTCAATGGAGTTTTAGCATTCAGGACTTTAATATACATTCCATAAGATACACAAGAAAAAAACCTGAAAGATTATTTTTATTTTTACTTTAAAGAGCTCTGGGCTGCTGAGAGGAAGCAGTCTTGAACCTATATAAAATTGTGATTTTTGTGCCTGTTTCCATCATAAAAACCAAAAATGATTATTGGTTTCTTATGTGTGTTCTCAATGGCGAATTCAATTTTTTTTCCCAAAGAGCCTTGTTGAATCATCCGAGTGAGACGTGGACCAAGGTGAAGGCGCCTGCGGGTGGCTTTCCTGTCCAGGGGTAGGCAGGAAATAGAGTCCCGGGCTGCCACTGCTGTCCCCTATGGGTGTGGCTGGGGACTGGCTGGGAAGAAAGCCAGCATCATTTGATGCAGTTGCTCTGGAAGGTCGCTGAGCACGGGCCCTGGCACCCACCTTCCCAAACACAAGCCCGGCCCTCGGCCCAGCGGAGAGTCTCGTACAGGGGACAGGGATGGCGATGCTGGTCCCACGGGAGCCAGGCCGGTGTCCCCAGGGGATGAGGGGTGGGGGGCAATACAAGGAGGTTACTTTGGTCTGTTGCTCCCGCTTTGTTAACCCATCCCTATGTCCTATCCCCTTCTTCCCTGGCTTTGCCCAAGCCGGGTAACGAGAAAGCGCTAGGAACCAAGTGGCTGTTGGACGTGGCCGACTGCGGAAAGGCCTGCTTTATTTCGTCGCAGTTCATTTATTTTCCTTTTCGTTCTGCCGGCTGCCACGTGTTTGGTAAGTTAGAGCACGAAACACTTTAAGATGGGCCTGTGGGGCCGGAGCAGAGCCGCAGAGCTGTGCAGGCGCGCGTGTGCACGTGCGCGCCTGTATGCCGCGTGGGCGTGCGCGCGTGCACGTGGGCCGTGTGCGCGCGCACATTGTTTCTGTCTCCAGCGGTTGGGAGCGCGCTGGCGTTGCCTGTGGGCTTGGGGCCCCTGCGCCGGGGCGGAGCGGGCAGCGAGGCTGGCGGGAGATGCTGGGCTGCTCTGGAGAGCGCGCAACCGGCGTGCTCACCCTGTTAAGGCTCCGCTCTTCGCTGTGCCCAGATCCACACAGGTAGCCTTCAACCGCCGCCCAGGGAAGTCAGTGCTCTTATTAGCTTCAATTTCCGGACGAGGAAGTGAGGCACAGAGAGGTTAAGGAGCCCAGCTATTAGGAGCCTTTGAACTCAGACAGTCTGGCTCCAGAATCTGCATCTTAACTCCATTACGCGTTATTTTTTAAACGCAGGCCCGCCCCCCCCCGCCCCCCTGGACTCCGGTTTGAAACGCATTGAATAATGAATCCTTTTCGCCTCCCTCCCTCTGAAATAACAGTTCAGTTCATCGAAAACCCAGAGGTAGCCTACCGTGTGACTCAGCGGCACGGAAAACATCAGAGTCATTGACTTTGGCGTGGCAAAGTGGGATCTCACACATGGTACTTTATCAAATAAAGGGCACTGGCATGTTAAACTGATTCGTAGCATCTTTTAAATGTGACAAAACATAAGCTTTGATCACACTTCTGATTTTTTTTCCCTGACTTTAAGTGATGCATTATAGTAGGAAAATACAGGAAAGGACAAAGAAGAAACTAAAAGTTCCCCATAATCTCAGCTCTCCACCCCATAATACTATACGTTGTTGAAAATCTAGTGATTTTTTTCTAAGCATATACTATCACAAAATTGATTAAAAGAAATTTAAAACAGTATCATAATGTACATGGTGTTTTATAATTTTTATATTTAATAATGCATCACGAACATTTCCCCATATCAAATATTCTACTACAAATGTTTTTAATGACTACACCGTATTTCATTATACAAATTTGCCATGACTTAACTTGTCACTAGCCTTATTTTTTGACTTTTCAGTTGCTCCCCAACTTTTGCTATTATAAATGATGGACACCAGAATGCAGCAATTTTTTATACACACTATTTCCTTGGGACAAATGGGATTGCCAGGTCAAAGATCATCACACTTTTAAAGGGGTCAAACTATTATCTAGAAGGGTGGGCTCAGTACACTCACCTCCAAGTAGAATAAGTGTGCCCGTTTTCTTTCTCAATTCTGGGTGTTATTGCTCCAGGCAATCTTTCTTAATAAACAAAATACAGCCTTCAAAAAAAATACCTCAGTTATTTCATTAGACTGTGCCAAGTTTCAAGAGAAAGACTTTATATGATTGCAGATACTTGAAACATTTGGGAAATTCAGTTTATTCAGATGCTCCCAGGACTGCACAAGACTCAGCAAAGGACGTGGTAAAATAAGGGCACTTTGGAAAAAGGAACTAGGAAAGAATTCTCAAGCCATTTTTTTTTTTCAGGGCAGAGAGATAGATGATGTCTCTAAAATAAAAAAGGAGGTATTAATTGCCTCTTTGGCTGGGTCTTTGACTCCGTGGCAACTTTCCCATTGTCAGGTCTGAAAACGTTGATGGTGCTGCTTGCCGCAGAGCTACTGCAGAAATATTCAAGGCAGCAAACCTGGGCAATTAGGGTTTCTGTTAATTTTCTTCCCCTTTCATTCTACCAGCTTCCCCTCCCCCTATGTCAGCTAGTTGGAGTGACAAATATTTAAAGTCAGCCTGTCACGCATGAGCAGCGCAGCTGTGTGAATGACTGATTTTCTTGACGTTCTAAACAGCTTTGTGTGTGCATGTGGAGACCTGCAGACCCCAAACCTGCCACCGTCTGCCCCACAAGACAACATTGGTTTGATATTTGAGGCAACAGTGGGGGGTCTAGGCAGGTGGCATTTTATGACCAGGAAATGAACGGACATATAATCTGCAGATGTTTTAGGAATAGGCATGTTTGTCACAATGACCTCTAGGTAAATTTCTGCAGTGACAAAGAGGAGACTTTTCAGGTGTGGTTTAAATTCCTTTCCTTGCACAGCGTGCTCTAAAATCACTTTTGCCTAAGGGACTGGAGACCATGATGTCCTTAGTGAATCTGAAAGATGCACTTGGACCCGACTGGCCTTTTTTCTCCCCACTCAGCGTTGCAGCAAGAGTAACAGATGTCTATTTAGGGAAGGCATGTTCTCTTTTTCTATGCAAACCGTGTTGCTAAAAATTCTCTTTTAGATGAATTATTAAACCCAATTTATGAAATAAGGACAATACAGATTTCCTCTGGAACTATTCTTTCTCTCTGATATGTGATACCCGTGTCTGCTGGTGGAGAAAAGCAAAGAGAATTTGAGAAGCCAGGCGGGGATGGGAGAAAAGTGAGATAAATAAATACAGGTTATTTTATAGCCCTAGAAATTCCCTGAATGTTTGGACCCCTTGGGGTCCATCTAGAATTCTTTAGCCATCATATAGAAACACACAAAAACGTAATTATTTTTGTAAACCTAGATTTCTTCTCATGGTCTAATGAAGTAGGAATATTTAACTTATCACAGTTCCTTTAAGAAACAGTACTGCTTTTGTTTGAGAACAGGCATTGATCTGTGTTTGGAACATCAAGGTGGTGCTTCTAAGGGAGAGAGTAGGTTATTCTTTTTTTATTCAAGGGGAGGTATTTTGTGTTGCTCTTGAAGGGGACTCAGCAGGAAAAAGTGGCTGGAAGAGCTGAGTGGACATAAAGCCACAGAGAGGTGCAGTGGCCCCTGGATGTCCTGAGGCTGGGGATGCCTGGGGCTCTCAGCTGGTTGTTTGGGTTATAAACTTAACGTGAGGTGGAAACCAGCATCACCTCTCTTATGAAATCTTCAGTAACATCTACTTTTTAAAAGCATAAAGCCTTTGCTAATGAATATTCTCCTTACATTTTTTAGATGAACTCTGTTATAGAATTTATATCCCTTTTTGCAATACATGAATTTTTATAGTAATTATGAAAAAAAAAATTTAACCGTTAACTTGAAATTCACACCTCAATGCCAACCTTAGATGCTGCCTCCGAGGAAATAACTTCCTGCCCGTTTTATCTGCAGTGCGGTCGTGGACCTGCAGCATCACCTGGGAGCTGGATAGACCTAGTGACTTAGTCTGTTCAGGCTGTTATAACAAAATACCTTACACTAGGTAATTTATAAACAACAGAAACTTATTGCTGACGGTCCTGGAGGCCGGAAAGTCCAAGATCAAGGTGCTGGCAAATTCAGTGTCTCGTTCAGTGAGGGCCCATTCCTCATGGACGGTACCTTCTTGCTGTGTCCTCACGTGGTGGAAGAGGCAAAGGGCTCCCTCAAGCCTCTTTTATAAGGGCACTAATCCCATTCATGAGGGCCCTATCCTCTTGACCAAATCACCTCCTGAAGGCCCCACCTCTCAATACCATAACATTGGAGACTAAGTTCCAATATGTGACTTTTGGGAGGACATCAACATTCAGACCATAGTACCTAGTGAATCAGAATCTGCATTGCAACAAGATTCTCAGATAATTCAGGTGCGTATTACAGTTTGCAAACTGCTGGTCTGCAGTCCCGGTTCTAAACTTGGCTGCACATTGGAATCACTTGGGAAGCTTTACAAAATATAGATTCCAAAGTCCCATTCCTAAGGATTCTAATTTAATTGATTTGGGGAGGCAGGGCTCCCAAACATCTGGATTGTGAAAGGCTCCCCAGGTGATTCTAATATGTGGTATATTTGAAAACCCCTGATTTCAGAACGCTTTCTTCTTCAGGTCATGTCTAAGCTCAGACACCTTGTGAGGTGCCTGGCCTGGCCACAAAGTCTGTGCTGCTTGGGAATCAAAGCTCGCCTACAATAGTAGTGCTCTGCGTTCTCAAAAACTTCTGTGTAACAAATTTTCACCATGAGACTCAATAGAGGATTTAAGCCAATAGCAGACAATCAGAGGAGCTTCCAGGATCACTCTTCTCTAGCACCTTGACCCCCATCTTCTGGTTTTGCAACCCCATGAGACTGCCTAACATGGTGGTCAGGGAAAGGGTGGTCAAGCTCCCTGGGTTCAAACCACGGCAGTGTGCCCTAACATAGATTACCTACCACTTTCAAACTCCATTTCCTCCTCTCTACTTGGGGTTAATAATAGTACCTACATCCTAGGGTTGTGAGAACAGGTCCAACAGAATGCAGGGAACCTACTTACCAGGACTTGTATTCAAGTAATAAGAATATATGCACCATGAGGACTAACAGAAGGAATAAAACCTAATTAACACTCAACTTTCTCCGCTGTCGGAAGCCTGCAGATGGGAATGGCAACAAGAAACAAGTCCATTCATGCTGCAGACACTTATAAACACTCAAGAATTGAAGGACCAGGAACCTCTGAAAGTTGGGGTAATTGGAGGAGCTGAAGGAAGAAGGTTTGATACGTCTGTGTGAAGAGTCGTTAAATCCCTGCCCAACACAACCTGAGCTCAAGGCCTTCCTTGCCCCAGCAGAAGCCTGAAGTTTTACCCTCCGAAGAAACTGATCCAGGCTGGCTTCCAACCCAGAGTTGCCAGGCACAGCTGGGGTAGAGGTGAGGCCCTGGACAGAAACAAGGTTAAACGAAATTTTGCAGCTTTACCCCCACTTCAGTCCTATTTCCCCAGTAGGCTCCCAGAATGCATTAGATTCCCCAGGCCAGAAACCAGAGGAAAGAGCAGAAATACTGAATTTTGGCGGAATCTTCCAAAGGAACAGCAGCAGGTCCCCTGCCTGATCATCCTCAGCAAAGACCCTATTGGCAAGCTCATTCTACTTAATGAGCTTCCAGCCAACCTTGGATGCCACCTTCCTAATATAAATGAAAAGGCAATGATTACAAGGAAAATCTTCACCATGGAAAGCAAATATCAAAACAAGAGGAGAAAAGGAAATTAGAGTAAACAGAGATCATGTTGCTCCACCCTTGAAGGGAGCGAAGGCCCTGCATCCATAAGACAAGACTATTTAGGGGACGGTAGAGGTGTTGAAAATGAAAAGAACACAAAAACAGAAATAAAATGCAATAAAAAGGATGGGGCTAAAGTGGGTAAAGTCTCAAAAAGTGTGGTAAAAAACATTAGATTCATATTAGAGGCCCAATACTCCAGAGAAAATAAAGAAAATGGAAGAGAGAAAATTATCGAAGAGAACAATATTCTGAAATATTTCAGAACAAAAGTATATGATTTACTAGACTGAACAGGCCCAAAAAGTGCTCAGCATAATGAATGTTTTCTTCTTTTCCTGTATCTTTATTTTTTATTTTATTTTTATTTTTGTGGGTACATGGTAGGTGTATATATTTATGGGTCACATGAGATATTTTGATACAGGCATGCAATGCATAATAATCACATCATGGAGAATGGGGGATCCATCACCTCAAGCATTTTTCCTTTGTGTTACAAATAATCCACTCATACTCTTAGTTATTTTAAAATGTACAATTAAATTATGTTTGACTATAGTCACCCTGTTGTGCTGTCAAATACTAGGTCTTATTCATTCTTTCCAACTATTTTTTATACCCCTTAACCATCCCCACTCTCCCTCCCATACCTTTCCCAGTCTCTGGTAACCATCCTTCTACTCTCTATCTCCACGAGTTCAATTATTTTAATTTTTAGCTCCCACAAATAAGTAAGAACATGAGACGTTTGTCTTTCTGTGCCTGGTTTATTTCACTTAACATAATGACCTCCAGTTTCATCCATGTTGTTGTAAATGACAGGATCTCGTTCTTTTTTTTTTTTTTATGGCTGAATGGCACTCCACTGTGTATATGTACCACATTTTCTTTATCCATTCATCTGTTGATAGACACTTGGTTTGCTTCCAGATATTGACTATTGTGAATAGTACTGCAATAAACATGAGACAGATAGCTCTTTGATATACTGATCTCCTTTCTTTTGGGTATATACCTAAGAGTGAGATTGCTGGATCATATGGTAACTCTATTTTTAGTTTTTTGAGGAACCTCCAAGCTCTTCTCCGTAGTGGTTGTACTAATTTACATTCTTGCCAACAATGTATGAGGGCTTCCTTTTCTCCACATCCTCGCTAGCATTTGTTATTGCCTAACTTTTGGATAAAAGCTATTTTAGCTGGTATGAGATAATATCTCATTGTAGTTTTGATTTGCATTTCTCCAATGATCAATGATATTGAACACCTTTTCGTATACCTGTTTGCCATTTGCATGTCTTCTTTTGAGAAATTTCAGAGTGGCATTAATCATCTTAGCACATCAGAATATAGAAAATAAAGGAACAAGACTTTCAAAATGCTGAGGAAAACATTTTCAGCCTCGAACTCTATATCCAGCTAAGCAACCAAGGGTGATCTCTGGAAGCTAGTACAGATATCCCAAAATAAAGGAATTAACAAAGAAAGAGGATGCTATAGGATCCAGAAAAGTGATTCAACACAGAAGAGAGGCAAAGGGAATTCAGGGTTTGGTAAGTGAAGCCCCTGGATGACCACTGGGTGACAAGGATGACAGGTCACCAGCTCAGATTGGAACAGGAGGAAGGACAGCTTCTGGAAGGACATCTCCAAGGTACAGATGGGATGGATATGTTTCAATATACCCAGGGGAATTTTACATCTCTTCTGCAGAGTTTGTAGGGAGAATTAGTGATGGCTACATAAATTATGCAAGTGGAAGCAAAGTCAATAATTAATTCCAGGGAAAACAAAAAGTCATATGCAAAAGAAAATGCAACACTTTTCTGGAGCAGCTTGAACAATGTTTACTTAATGAGAATAACATGTTCATTGAATAATGATTTAACAAAACCTGTGACATGATTACATGGGGAGGATGTAGAAGGGAAAGTAGATGAGGTAAAGGTATCCTTTCTAAAACCCTCAGCAACCATAGCAGGAAGGCAGGAGATTATGTCTAAAATGGAAAAGTCAGGATTCAATAGTATGTCTTTTACTCAGAAAAGTGGAGGTAAATATGAAAAGTATTTGCTGAATTGGGACTTGGGGTGGGGAAGGTATGGGGAGGGGAACACTACATTTTTTTACTAGCCTTATAGTAGTATTTGACTTTTTAAAACGTGTATGTATTAAGTTTGATAGAAATAGAATTAAATTTTAAAACAAGGCTGAGCACCATGCCTGGCCCAGGTAAGTGCCAGCCATTGTGGGGAAGCTGTTCTTCCCATTCCTATATCTTGCCCTCTTGGTTTTTCTCAGCAAACCCTGACAGGCAAGTTACAAAAGTTGGCCATTGTGATTCACGGAACTTCGTCTTTCACTTCTACACTCAGGAGAGGCCCCATAATAGCATCTTTGGTGGTGGTTGTTTTTTTGTTTTTGTTCCTTTGCTGTGTTTTGCCTTTAAAGAGAAGGTGCCTGAATGCTGGACTTTGCTGGAGAAACTCACAGTGCATGAGAAACTTTGATTCAGAATGTTTTTGGTGCTGCTTCGGTTACTGAAATAACTGACTGGTGTTTAAAATAAGAAATCTGTACTTTTCACCTCATATATAACTAGAGATTTTTCTTATAAGGATTTTATTTATGTGAAAAATTGGACTGTCTTTTGGAGTACTGGAATGGATTAAATGTTCCCAACTGAAATAAATGGCAGAGGCCTTTTTTGCAAAACACCCCTTTGCCTTCTGCCCTTTCTGTGGGAGGTAAATTGAGAATGCTATGTCAGGGAAGAGCTGTGCCTGGGTAGAGTGGATTTTTCTGTGCAAATCAGTGAAAGGGTTGATAGTTTACATCTGGGCAGCTGAGTGGGTAAAGGGGACACCACTCTGGATTCCCAGGGCAGAGGGGACTAGGAGGAGGCTAAGGGCTGGGAATTTGCAGAAATCTTTGGAGGGTATGGAACTTGAACTTCACTGTGGCCTTATGGGTCTGCAGTCCTCTTAGCTGGATCTGGTAGGGCCAGAGAGGCCTAGCTGACCTCAGAGTTGCAGGAGTTGCCCAGGTTTTCCTGGCATTATCACACCCACGTAGCTGTCTTCACTCCATTAGGGATTAGCAGGTTCTGGTATTTGGTATTTGTACAGAAGACAGGCTTGCCTCAAACTGAAAAAAAAAAAAAAAAAAAAAAAAAGAAAGATTCTGGATGACCAAAGTGTGTTTCTTTTCTTAAAGTCATTTTCCCTCCCCCTTTCCTAGAATCAAGCCAAAGTTGCTCCCCACCCGATGGGGCACCCCTCTGCACAGCTCAGTGCAGCTCATCGTCTGCTGTGACTTAAATAGCAAGAAGAATTTTTAAAAATAAGTTTTGTCATCAGTCTTGCTTGATCCTAAGCAACACTGCTCCAGCAGATGTGGCAAAATCCTCTCACAGGCCAGCTTGCTTTGTTCCAGAGGCAATTTGTGCAGAAAGCAGCAAGTTCCCTGGTGCTAGAGGGCACAGAAAAGGACCTGCCACCCTGCCCCTGTGACTGGGGGGCAGGCAGGGGCTGTGTGTGGGTATGAGTGTGTGTGGGGTGTGAGGATGTGGGTGTGAGTGGGAGTGTGCGTGCGTGTGGGGTGGGTGGGGCTGGGGCAGGAGGAAGGAGAACACAGCTCAACCTAGTTAAGAAGTTGAACCCAGCTTTCTGGGTATATTCTTTTTTAACAAAGAGTGGTATGTTCTGTCTTAGCTATTCAGCCTCTTGGTCTGAAAATCTCAGCAAGAATCCACCAAGTTTATTTTTAAAATGCTTGTAATTTGAAGATGGACTTCAGAAAGACTTGATGTTTGCACGGGGCGGGGCTTTGGGCCATTGTAGATCATTTCTTGACCTTTCTGCAGTGGGGAGAAGAGGGTGCTGGTGAAGTAGGAGGCACTCATCTTTTATTATCAACAGGAGAATATGTTGTGTTTTCTGTGAAAAGTATAGGTAGTTTAAGAAGAAACGCGTTTCTCCGTGGTGTGGGTTTGCCATATGTCTGGATTGCCGCCATGTGACAACTTGGGTCCTTATTTTAAGGACAGTACTCAGACAAAAAAGCGTGTGTCCCTGAGCTGAGAGCTTCACATACAGTGACTCAGTCCTTTCCTGGGGTGTCACTGGCCATGGGGGTACCAGTGATGATTTTAGGTGGAATGTGGTGAACACTTTTACTTTAAAAGGTGTTTGTTTATTTTAATGTGTATTAGGAAAGATCAAAACCAGGATAAGTCCATAATTACATGGAGAGATGAAATTCCTGTCAAACAAATAGTTTAGATTCTTAAAATGAGAGTTTGTTTAAGAAAATTACCAGTTAAATACTAATCCAGGAGCGCATCACCCCAGGTTAGGTAGGAGAAATAATTCTCCCTGACGGTCCCCATGGCGATACGTATGAAGGGATCATTTGCAGATCTCTGGGACAGGGCAAATGGGGGCCCTAAAGAATGCTGAGGTCCCCAGAGAGTAACCTCAGAGTGATGCTGGGCCACCTTAGGCCTGAAGAGTCAAAGGAGGGAATCAGAGTCCACTGACAGCCAGAGCCACAAAAGGGGCACAGCCAGGGGCACAGTCGGCACCAGAGCGAGGGGGGGGCAGGGAGAGATTCTCCCATCTCCCTCCTCCCGCTGCCTCAGCCCTGCCAGCACCTGCCATGGGCCAAATCCAACCGGAGACCAGTGGGCTACGAGCCCAGTGAAGTCCACAGTGTCCACCTCCCCAAGAGTACAGATCTGGGCAGAGACTGGATCCAGGTTGGGGCAGGGTGGAAGCAGAGAGTAGCCAGCAGGAAGTGGGCTGTGGGCATGGCGGGAATGGTGGAGATGGTGAGTGAAGCTGGGTCTGGCTTCTCACGATGGTCCAATGAGGTTGGTATGGATTAGCTCACTTTTCAGATGACAAGCTGAGCCTCAGAAAGGTTGAGAACGTGCTCAAGCTTACATTACTGGTGACAGAGCTGGTTCTCAAATCAGGTCTATCTGATCAGAGAGCCTGAGCTCTTAACCATTACACACACACATACACCCAGCTCATACAAAACCCAGCAAAATGATACTGGAGCTATGTTCACAATGAATACAAACAGTAAATCGAATCTTAAAAGTGTACTTGAAGTGCTGATGTTTTATTTCCATTATCTCTGTGGTTGGGGGTGCACAGGTAGGCCTCCTGTGTAGACAGGTTCTGTGCTAGACCGCTGGACTACATCCTGGTTCACCCGAGGCCTTGTGATTCCAGCCACAGAAAACAAACCCTATTTGTCCAAGTGCCAGAGTCTGGTTGGCTCTCTTCAGGGTTCACACTCAAGGACAGGGCTCCTGGCCAAATTAAAGTGGGGCCTGGGAGAATTCAACTGCACTTAAAAAATAATAATAATTGCATGTACTTTCTTTAATGAGCTCTCATTCCCACTTGGCAGCAGGAACACTAAATTCAGTCCACTCCAGCAAAGCCCAGTCTAATCCAATAAAAATGTTAGTCTAATCCAGGAATTCGATCACTGTCCAGTTCAAAGGTCTCTCTCCACAAGGTGCTTCCCCTCCTCCACCTAAGGGGAATATCCCAGGGACTTGCTGCCAGCCCACAGCCCATCAAGCAGGGGCAGGGAGAGCCAGCACCCAGCGGGGGTGAGACTGCACAGCCTCATGGCTGCTGTTCTCACCCTATTCACTCGTGTCCACCTGCCGTCTCTGCACATTTGATGATGTGGTCTGCCTCGCTGGACGCCCCACCCGAATGCTGAGGGGCCTACAGAGGCACAGTGGCTGCTATGGCACCCTCTACTCAAGCAGGCTTCACCTCCCAGCCCCTGCCTGCAGGTCACTTTACTCCTCTGGAAGTCCTGTGAGGTGAGAGAGTAGCCCACTGCACTTTTGAAGTTGGCTTTTAAAATCGCTATGGATGAGATTGGGGGCTTGGCGGGGGTAGGATGGAAATCCCTGCTTGGTTTCACGTAGCCCAGCCTCCCTTGAATAGAGAGCGTGAGGTGCCATGTAAGGGGAAGGTACGATCCTAGGGCAGCAAGAGTGAGAGTGAAGGAAGGAACACAGGGAAAGGGTGGGGGGAATGCAAGGCGCTGTCTTGCTGAGCCGGCCCTGCTTCAGCAAGAGGCCCAGCTGGTCATTCTGCCATGGGGGATGTCTCTGAACAGATTTACAGAAATGCCATGCCTCGAAACAGCCCATCATGGAGGAATGGAGTGGGGATTTATCCCTGGTTCTCT
Organism: Homo sapiens; assembly: GCF_000001405.40. NCBI lineage: Eukaryota > Metazoa > Chordata > Mammalia > Primates > Hominidae > Homo > Homo sapiens. The sequence continues at coordinate 43,883,259 of NC_000003.12, read as the reverse complement.
CCTACCTCTTGTCCCCCACTGGTCAGGGGTGAGGGAGTCAACTCTCCTGTGTTTCTGGGCCACATCGCCTATCCTATCTTCTGGGAAGCCAGACCCCGTGTCTGGCGGCATGGCTCATCATGTGAGTCTGGGAGCTGGGAAAGCAGCCAGAGCTTTCCACAGGGGCTGTGCTTCCCAGAGCCCATCATGGCAGAGGCTGGGCATGGGGGAGACTGTGGAAAGAGCCTGAGGTTGCACATGAAGGGTCAGATGCTGTGGGGATGTTTTGTTCTTGTTTTAAATATTCTAGAAGAAATTGGGCTGAACCAGCATCTAAAATACTTCAGTAAAAAATACCGTGGGTGACTGTGTGTCTTCAGAATACCCAGGACCAAGACTGGTGGAGGCCTGAGTAGCACAGAGACCTGGGACTTCCTTCCTTCATGTGAATTGGAGCTGCAGCGTATCGTGGTGATTAGACTCGGGGTTGTAAGGCAGAGCTGCAGCTTCCTTAGCTGCACTGCTTCCTGGTAGTTAAGAAGGTTACTCCACGCCCCAAGCCTTGAAGCCCTGATACACAGATGGGAATTACAGCTATATCTAACTCACCAAGTTGTTGTGAAAAGTAAATGGGATAAGCCAGTGTTTCTCACATTTTGGGTATTTGCATACCACCTTCACACTTTCCTCCTTACCTGTGTACCATCTCTTATTATTTAGTTGATATTTTTTTTAAATTGGCCCTATTTTAAACCTTAGCCTCATTCTAAGCGATAATATCTATGAATTCTCCAGGTAAACATGAAGATATATATATATATCTTCAATATAGATATATAAATATATATATATATCTTCAATATAGATATAAAAATATATATATATATATATATATATTTTTTTTTGAGATGGAGTCTCGCTCTGTTGCCCAAGCTGGAGTGCAATGGTGTGATCTTGGCTCACTGCAACCTCCACCTCCTAGGTTCAAGTGATTCTCCTGCCTCAGCCTCCCAAGTAGCTGGGATTACAGGCACCTGCCACCATGCCTGGCTAATTTTTGTATTTTTAGTAGAGACGGGGTTTCACCATGTTAGCCAGCCAGGCTGGTCTCGAACGCCTGACCTCAGGTGATCCACCCGCCTCAGCCTCCCAAAGTGGCATATATTTTTTCTAATACACAGTAGAATAAGATGTTAGTCTTAGATTGTTAGTCTTAAACTGAGAAAATGACCATCTCACTCATGAAAAGTAATGCAGTGCTACACTTTGGTGAACACTGAGCTGATCTTTACATTCAGGCAGAATCTGGTGTTCGGCAAATATTTGCTATGCTGGCACCTTCGATGCTGGCCGATGCTTTGTCACTTACTTCCTGAGTGTGGGCTGCTCGTTTATCTCCAGCTCTTCTGTCTTGCTTAGGAGCATCTTGCCAGTGGAGCGATGGCCGTCTCCCACCGACTCTGCAGTTGCTCATGGACCTGGCTCTTCCATGCCCATGCAAAGGCCTTCTTCTTGAAGCTCTTGTCATCCATCTCTACTTCCTTCTCCCCTCCCAGTGGCCATCTTTCATAGCCTCCTGGTCATTTCCTTTCTTCCCTGAAAGCTTTCGCACCTGCCTCTTGGCTTTGCTCTCCACTCTAGGCTTATCCATAAACCTTGATGACTTCAATGACATCCAACATCTTGTCTCAAAGGTCCTTGACCTCTTCACCTCCAATAACTATCTTCCCCACGACCTCTTCAGCAAACCTGGCACAGCCACATCCTATGGAGCATGCCACCTGCTAGAACTACACAATCTCAGAAATCTTTCCATCTCAGACTTCACCCTCTTTCCCTCCAACTCCTTGTGGCCTTATTCCCATGTTTGGTTCTTTAAACTCATTAGAACTCAAATTCCTTGATGCTCGCTTTTCTCACAGGTCTGCATCGACCTTCACTGCCCAGTCTAGGCCCCATGAGGCATTGCTTAGCAACTTGGAAGTTCCTGGCCATTTTCAGATTCCACCACACCCACCTGCAAAGCCCCAATCTTGGAGCAATTAACCTACCTGCAGGCCAGTCCTATTCCTGGGACTGCAGTGGGGCGTGTGTGGGCTGAGCACTGTTGAAGAAAATCTACTCATCTTTTTCTCAGAAGTTTGTTTTGTTCTTATTTCCCTATTTGTGGTACTGTTTCTGTTAGATAAGTGTTCTGAAAATGATAAAATGCTAAAAAAAAAAAAAGTAAAGTATTTGTATCTTTATCATAAAGACCTGACCTCTCCCATGGAGGGGTTTACAGTCAATTGATTAATTGTGAGAACCATGCCCCTGTAATCATTTGGATTTTACACTTCTGTTTGGAAGGCCCTTCCCCTTCTAACTCAACTTTCAAGACTGTCCAAAATCAGTTCTTACAGGAAATCTTGTCTGTGACCCAGACTTGGTTAGGTGGTTCCTCTCCAGCTATGCTTTCATAGCACTTATCACAGGACTTTGCAATGAGCTACTTATGTAGCTGTCTCCCCTATTTGACTGTGATGTGGGTTTTTGAAAGGAAGGACTTTGTCCTACTCTTCTTGGTTCCTCCACCTCTCACCCCAGAGCAGATTCACAATAGTTGCTTGTTAAACAAAACTAAAATGACCTAAAGCCAGAAGGAGAACTTCAGCATCTTTTGGAGAAGAAAAAAAAATTTCTTGCATTAAAATTATGCTAAGCTGCAATAGACAATTAATATTTTGTCTATTTAGATCTCCAACTATGTGTTATGGAAGTTAATCACAGGATCACTTCCTCTTGGCCACTGTTGATTGGCTTCAGTTGGGCCAATCAGAGTGTTCCCTGGGATCTTTTGAACTGGAATTAGAGTACAAGACATAGTTCCTCCTTGTTGGTGAAGCTGTGAAATGTGAGGCAGGGGGGCTGCTGAGAGCCATGTTCACCTCCATTTAGAAGAAGCCAGTGTGCAATGAGAGTGATGTACACAGGACCAGAAGTGGATTCCTGCTTCCCGCTGTTCCAGGTGCCTAGGCTGCCAGTCTGTGAGAGATACAGACAGTCCTCTCATCAAATTACTCTTGGTCCTAAGGTAGATAGAGCTGAGTTACTGTCGTTTACAGTTAAAAGGAGCCTGACCTATTCATGTGCTCATCCTTTGCTATTGATTTTTACTTCTCTTAGGACAACTAAACCAACTTAAAATAAAAAATGGTCAAGAGATATGGACTGATGGTTGACCTGATAATTTAATGACCCTTATTTTTTTCTGATTATTTTGTTAGGGTATAATTTACCCAGAGTAAAATTCTCCCTTTTTAGTGTATGGTTCTGCAAGTCTTGAGAAAAGCATAGTCTTGGAACCATTATCACAGTCAAGATAAAGAACAATTCTTTCACCCCAGAATTTCTCTGTTCTCCTTTGGTGTTTAATCTTTGCCCCAATCCCAGCTTCTGGCAACCAGTGATCTGTTTTCTGTCCTTATAGTTCTGCCTTTGCACAAATGTCATGTATGTGGAATCCTACAGTATGTAGGAATTAACACAACACATGTACGATTCATCTGTGTCATTGAGTGTATCAGTAGTTCAGTCCGTTATCTTGCGGTTTTGTATTCCGTTGTACAATGCACCACAGTTTCTTAATCTATTCCCCAGTTGTAGGACATGCGAATTGTTTCCAGAGGGTTTTTCTCAGTGTCTGCTTCAATCTTAGCTTCAGGTATTATTGCACCTGCACCTCTGAGAGGCTGTCTCTCCTAGCAATGCTCCTGCCCCTGTCCTAGCAATAGATGGTGTCCCTTGTTACCTGACACTTGTTGACCCAGTCACAGTGTGTGGGTGGGAGAAGGAGCGTTCTTTGTTCTGATTCAACCTGTCAGGCAGGCACCATGCCGGTGTCTCAAGAATGAGGCCTTCTAAATGACTCTGCACTGCCCCCAGCTGTAGGAGACTTTTACTAGTTTGAGCCTCTTTCTCAGGGGTGGAGATTTTTTTCTGTTCTTTTCCTCCAGCTGCAGTGGGTGCTCTAAAGGCAGCGGAGTCCGCTGCCCTTCTCTTAGCAACTTATCATCATTCCACAGGGAGGAAGGACCTCTTACTGTTCCTGCAGCAGCTGCTGCTGTTCCCTTGCCCAAGGGCTGCACCACGAAAGACGCTTTCTCAGGACTCTTGCTCTGCTCCAAATCTTTCTTATGAGTGCTTGGTGAGATCAGGGAAGAAAAGCCTGCTAGTATGTACAAATTCCCTCGTGTCTCAGTCTCTTTGGGTTGCTATAACAAAATACCATAAACTGCGTGACTTATAAACAACAGAAATTTATTTCTCACAGTTCTGAAGGCTGGTAAGTCCAAGATCAAGGTGCTGGCAGATTCATTGTCTGGTGAAGGCTGGCTTTCCTCAGAGATGGCTGCCTTCTCACTGGGTTCTTATGTGGCAGAAGGGGAAGCCAGCTCTCTCTGGGGTTCCTTTAATAAGGGCACTAGTCACATTTATGGAGGCTCTGCCCTCATCATGACCTAAGCACCTCCCCAAAGCCCCACCTCCAAATACCATCACCTTAGGGGTTAGAGTTTCTTTTTTTTTTTTTTTTTTTTTTTGAGATGGAGTCTCGCTCTGTCACCCAGGCTGGAGTGCAGTGGCACAATCTCTGCTCTCTGCAAGCTCCGCCTCCCAGGTCACGCCATTCTCCTGCCTCAGCCTCCTCAGTAGCTGGGACTACAGGTGCCCACACCATGCCCGGCTAATTTTTGTGTGTGTGTGTTTTTAGTAGAGATGGGGTTTCACCGTGTTAGCCAGGATGGTCTCGATCTCATGACCTCGTGATCCACCCGCCTCACACTCCCAAAGTGCTGGGATTACAGGCGTGAGCCACCGTGCCCGGCTGGGGTTAGAGTTTCAACACAGCACCTGCGTCTGTGGCACCCAGGGGCTCCATATTTTCACACTAACCTCACTTAGGCTTTAGCAAGTCATTAAAAATTTTAGGTGAACTCTTCTCACTGACTAGTATGGCATCTGGTGACATCTGTTCTAGGTAAGCAAGTGCTGATGTCCCCTCTTTCCTTACAGGTACTTGTCTTTCTTTAGATTTTGAGTTGTTTACCCTGTGGCTTCAGCTCTCCTATAGGTTCAAGAAAAGTTGTGAATTTGCACAATGGTCAGTTTTTTCTCATCGTAAGGGTGGAAATGATGTTTCCCCAGCTTTCTACATCTTAAGCAGAAACCAGAGCCCATCCTCACTTTTAAACAGAAGGTGGGAGGACAGAGCCCCAGTGGTGAAGGGAGAGTCATTGGCTTAAAGCTGGGGGAGGGGACTCCCAAGGGCCAGCTCCAGCCCTGGCTATATTCCAGTTGAGCCACAGGTGTTTGAACAAAAACTTGAGTTGGCTTCAAACATTTTAAAATCTGAAATTTTCTCATTTAAAAAATCTGGATTTTTGCTTTCTCTTGGAAAAACTTCCTGCTGTGATCATCACCAGGATACTTTTTTGGTGTGGGGCACATTCTCCTTTCCCTGTCATCCCCACCCCCCCACGGAACACTCACCTGCTTCACCCATTTTCCTAACCTGCCTGGTCCCTGTGGGCAGGGATGGGGCTGAACCAGTGTGCTCTGGTAAAGTTCTACCAGTGGTGGAGATGTCAAAATAGTCCCATGCCTGTGAGTAAACAGCCAGCTCCCTGAGCCCTGGGAGAACCCATCCATCAGCTAGACTGGCACCTTCCCTAGGACCTTCATTCCCAAAGGGGTAAAGTTAGCAAACCCAGTGGCTGTGGTGCAAAGCTGTGGCCGGCACCTGTGCTGACTGCTGTCCTGGCCCATGCTAGCATAGGATGCCTACTGACAGGATGACACTCAAAACACTGAAGTTTGCAACTCCCGACTTAAAGTACCACACACAAGCTCCTTGCTCTCAGAAGGTGGAAGCAGGTAGAGTGATGCTGTTTAAGGTGATATTTTCAAACCTTTCAAGCCTAGTAGTAGAAATCAGTGTAAGCGGTGAAAATGTGCTTTGGATATTGGTTCTAGGAGAGTAAAGAAGAGACCAAAAACAAATAGGAAGTGAGAAATTAAAGAATACATCGAAGAGAAGCTTAAGCTACAGGAAAATCAAGAAACAGGGCTGATACATGTCGGAGATAAACGAAAAATGGCTATACCTCAGGGTAGCCCATTATCAGGGATTTTTTGGCCTCTTTCTACTTTAAAATGATACATAATTACAATAAAGTAACTGTTTTGTAATTAAATACCAAAATAATTAAATTTGAAATTAAACATGATAACATCAAGTTGTTCTGACAGGATTAATTTGTGTCTTAATCTGATAAATCACTTTCATTATTATTAGGATTAAGTTTTAGAGGGAAGAAATTGCAAAAGGAATAGTTCCCGCATTCCACAGAGAAAGACTGACAGGGCTTTGATTCCTCTCACACAGAGCTCTCTCAAAGGTCAAGTGCTGGAGGCTGATTTTTAAGGCACAATTGGAAGAACAAGAGAAGATATTCTTGAAAGGACTGTTTTTCTGATATTCATACCTCAACTATTTTGTGCTTGGATTTTGAAAAGTAACCAAAGTTTCCTCACAAGTTTCTGATCGAATAAATAAATTAATCAGAAGCCAAAAAAAGTAGCCAAATTAATAGTTTCCCATCAAACAACAAACATTTAGTGTCTGTTTTGTGCTAAGTAATACGCTAGAAAATGCAAGCGCATGGGAAGACATGTAAAATACAGTCTCTTCTTTCCAAATGCAAGGCTTTCTTCTCTTGCTGTAAAGAAAAATAATGTATGCATATAGAAAATAAGATGGCAATCCGAAATTCAATAATAATAGAAGGTGCCTATTTGGTAAGACCACAGTACCCAGATATTTTGTTAAACTGTATTTGTTATTCGATATGTTCTGTGAAGGTATTTTTTTTAGAAGAGATTAACATTTAAATCAGTAGACTTTGAATGAAGCAGGTTACCCTCCATAATGTGAGTGGGCCTCATCCAATCAGTTGAAGACCTTAATAGAAAAAGACTAGCCTCCCATCAGAAGGGGAATTCTGCCAGCAGACCACCTTTGGACTTGAACTGCAACTCTTCCCTGGGTCTCCAGCCTGCTGGCCTACCCTGCAGATTTTGGACTTGCCAATCCTCCACTATCACACGAGCCAATTCCTTAAAATAAATCTCTCTCTATATATATATATACACACATCCTGTTGGTTCTGTTTCTCTGGAGAACCCTGACTAATTCAGCACCAAAGTAAGAGATGCCTCAGGGAAGCTCACTCTGTCTTTGGCAGGCTCTATTGTTATAGCAGCAAAGTGCTACAGGTTGGATGAGCCCACGGTGCCCTGATAAAACTGCATTTATAGAAACAGACAGCCCGCCCGTGGGCCACAGTTGGCCAATATGTTTTTTTAAAACTATTGCACAAAAATGTTATTTATCTTGACTACTGAGTTTCTTGGTGTCCCCTTCCATTTTTCACTCCAGATGATGCCTCTCTTGCCCCAACACAGTCCCCACCTGGCTCCTCAAGCAACGTGATCTGAATGGTGTCCATGGGGATAGAGTTCAACTAGCAGGACCAGAAAGCAGCATGGACATGCTGGAAAGATGGCCCTACCATTCTGTACAACCTTGAATAGCTCTTAAACTTCATTGGGCCTTGTTTCTTCTTCTAAAACTAAGTGTTGTAAAAAAAAAATATGAATATAGCAAGTCTTCACACAGGTAGCATCCTGGGTGGAGTGATCTCCATGAAAAGGCCCAGTGAATCCCTGAGATGCTGGGTCGCTGCGCAGTTTCCCAAGGTTCTGGCCATGATCCCTGCTCCAGCCAGCCCAAGGAGAAAGCCTGGGTGGCCTAAGAGGAAGTGCCATCCCTGGTAGGGTGGGCTGAGGGGCCCTGGGAGTGCCTGCCTCTTGGGCTGGATGAAAGTGGACACCTGCCTTCAAGCATGTGTCTCAGTCCACAAGTTATAGGAGAAAGAAGGAGAGGAGAAAGCAGAGGTAGAAAACAAAAGAATCACTCACCCTACAGACTGCCTGCCAAGTTCCTCTGCTGCCTGGAAAGCCCAAGGAGAATTCAGAGATCCCATTAGGTTGGAGCACAGGGCAGGACTGCTTAGGGCAAGATGCTGGTCAGGCTCTCTGAGTTCCCAGGCTCTCAATTTAGGGATTGTTTACTACCCTGCTGGCCTCTCTTTGTATTAGCCACTGCAGCCTTTGAATAAAAGGCATGATGGAGTTGCCAGCCAGAAGTCATTGTGGCCTTTTCTCAGGATCTCAGAGGGCACCCTTTGTCCAGCAAGGTGGCTGCATAGTGGATGATACTTGAAGGGTGTGGCAAGATTTACAGGGACTATGGGAGACTGGCACTGACTCATTGGTTTAGAAAGGACTTGCTAGGCTGGGCAGGCCAAGGTGGGAGGATCCCTTGAGCCCAGAAGTTCAAGACCAGTCTGGGCAATGTGGTGAACTCCATCTCTACTAAAAATACAAAAAATTAGCAGGTGTGGTGGCATGCGCCTATAGTCCCAGCTACTCAGGACACTGAGGTGGGAGGATCACTTGAGCCTGGGAGGTTGAACCATGATTGCACCACTGCTCTCCAGCCTGGATGAGACAGAAGGAGACCCTGTCTCAAAATAAATAAATAAATAAATAAACAAAAAACAACAACAAACAAACAAAACAAAAAACAAAAAACAGGACCTGCTAGCTGCACTCATTGGCCACCCCACATTGGACTCAGGGACATTGCTCACACCCTGTGTGCCCTGGGACAAGTTCCCTGACTACTTCATGACTCAGCTTCCTCATCTGTAAAGGTGTAATCATAATGATAATAACCCCACATGTTTAGCAAATTATTTAGTAGAATGAATGGAGTGCTTTGCACAGAGTAGTTGCTGAACAAATTAGCTGCTGTGTCTATTATTGGTCTTGGGCTGGGCAATGACGTAGGCCAGCCAATCAAAATCCTTCTTTAGGATTTTGTAAACTAGCAGTGGGACAAAAGGCCAGTCCCTCCTAGGTGATGAAGCTTTAAGTTGCAAATGGGGGAGCCATTCCCTGCCATGTACAGGAAGCTGGTTCTGGGAGGACAAAGTCAGAGAAGCAGAGATGGAAGATAGAGGTGAGCTCCTAGTGGCTTTCAAATCCCTGATTCCAGTTGTTTCACGTGGCCCAGCTGCACCTCAGTTGTTCCTGCAGTGTATGATCCATCAAACAAATTCCCCTTTGGGCTGTGGCTAGTTTGAGGGGTATATTAGCATGCTAGGTCTGCCATGACAAAGTACCACAGACTAGGGGGCTTAAACAACAGAAATTTACTGTCTCACAGTTCTGGAGGCTGGAAGTCCAAGCTCAAGGTGTCAGCAGGGTTGGCGTCCCGTGAGGCCTCTCTCTTTGTCTTGGAGACAGCCGCCTTTTCCTTCTTTCTTCGCATAATCTTCGCTCTGTCTAAATCTATGTCCTAGTCTCTTCTTATAAGGACACCAGTCACACTGGATTAGGGCCCGCCCTGATGACCTCATTTGAGTTTAGTTACCTCTTTACTGACCCCCATCTCCAGATATAGTCACATTCTGAGGCACTGGGAGTTAGGACTTCAACATATGAATTAGAGGGGAGGTGGGAAGGTGCAATTCAGCCTGTACTGAGGCATCTGAGTTTTTTCTGTCACCTGTAACCAAGAGAGTCTTGACTGATATGCATGCATACTCATAGAAAATAAAATCTGGGAGAATGTTTATCAAAATCTTAAAAGATACTATTTCTACACGGTAGATTAAGACTGACATTTGTATTTGCTTACCCACATTTTCAATTTTTCTTCTGTAATAAACATGCATTCTCATTGTAATAAAAATGTTTTAAAATATTTCAAAGAATTCCAGAGCCTTGCAGGTGATGGGATGGGGTAAAACCTAAGGGTGACATCTGAAAGCAGCCAGGCAGTGGGAGAGGGCGTAGGTGCTGATTGCTGTGGACAAGGTCTGAGGGCACCCATGGTGTGCCATGGGGTGTTGGCAGAGACTGCCTGAGACAGCTCGGAGATCAGGAAATAAGACATCCCTCTGCCAGTTAAACCATAAAGCATGCAAAAATGGATCCACACAGAGAAATGCCAAGTCACCTTAAAGAGGCAGGAGGGCTGCAGCCCAGACTTGCTGTGATTGGAGGAATTCAAGAGCTAGAGGCAGTGTGTGTTGGGGGCGGGGAACACAGGGGGAACAAGAGAAGAGGGAACGAGAGGCTTGTGGGGTTGGGAGCAACAATAAGCGTCTGGAAGGGATGGTCTTGTGAAAACCAAGCTGCCGTTTGATCCAGACGTCTTGGAAAAATACAAAGTCCCTGTTAGCCTCTTAGGCTTGGCTGCATTTTTGTAAAAAAAAAAAAAAAAAAAAAAAAAAATGGGGAAGCCTTCTGTTTTTCTTTCCTCTTGTTTGTTTATGGTAGAGAAAAATGAGGTTCCTGTGTCTAGACCAGAGGGAAAGGGGGTAAAGACCATGAAGAGCCATGCTGGCCACCTGATGGGGCCACAGGCACTGAGACCTGTCCTTGGTCAGCCAGCATTGGGAGAGGTTTGGGGAGCGTGTGCTTGAGAGAGGGCCGTCATGCAAGAGGGGTCCATCAGCATTGAGGGAGGGGAGGCCTGGGGATAAGAAGGATGAGTAGATGCTCCCCAGGGGTGGGGAGAGCCCGGCAGCCTTCCAGTACAGTCATCTCCAGGACTGCAGAGAAAGCTGCTTCCTGTTCTGGGCTCTGTCATACCCCCCTTCATTACTCCCCAGCCTCAATCAGATTCCATGACACACAACAGCATCCTGTTAGCAGTGCTTGGGGGAATGAAGACAGAGGGTGGTGACTACATGAGAGGGAAGGACAAAAAGAGGGGGCAGCAGCCCAGGTGGGGAGAAACAGGGGGCAGGCTTCAGGGAGTTTGAGACAAACTCCCTTTTCTCAAAAAGAAAGGGAAAGAGGAGCAACGAAATACAGGGAGGCTAGCCAAGGGGAAGACACAGGCAATGATAATTGTCATGTACTCTTTTCTGAGCAACAGCTCCCTCACATAGAGCAGGAATCCCGTGGCTCTTTAAGGAGGAGGTATAAGACACTGATTCTGAATCGACCCTACAAGGGCTGGGGTGGCAGGCATTCCAGGCAGATCTTAGATGATGAGGCTTAGAGAGGCCCAAGGTTACGCAGCTCAAACATGAAAGAGACGGGGTTGGAACGTGGCTCCACCTGACTTCCAAGGGCAGCATGTCTCTTATTGCACCACAAGGCTGCCCGTGATGCTGTTGCCTCCAGCTCTGGCAGGGCAACATGGAGTCCTGACCCACAAACAGTCCTGTCCTTCTCTTATCACTGCTGAAGCTCCAGGACTCAGCCATTATGAAATCCAACCAAGCTTCTGGTGGTGAGTGCCTCATTACCCTGTAATCCCCGTTTATAACAGAGGTTTTCTTCCCTGGAGAACATGGGCTGAGGATCCTTGGACATGAGAACCAGAAGTGCTGGCTAGTTCTGTCTCTCCCTGGAAACGTGGCCATCTCTTGGGAGTTTGCTTCCTGCAAGTCAGTCCCGGCACCTATCACCTTTGGGTGTTGTACCAGTTGCTGCTTTGCTCTGCCCAAGCTCCTTGGATCCCCTTCACCATTTTTGTGCCCATAGACACCTCTTGTGCTTTCTCCTTAACAGCCAGCATCTGAGGACAGCTCTCAGGCTGCTGAAACCCACTTTGCCTGTGTGCATGGAGAGCTGGAAATGCCTGGGATGTGCCTCTTCCTGGGGCTACCTGTGACTAATGACTGATCAATCCCCAGCTTCCCCCACCCCCAGACACTCTGAGGTGTCACCTGCCCTATCTCCAGAGCTCACCTGGGGGAAACAGCCAAAGTTACCCTCCAGGCAGGATGTCACACTCCTGCTTCTTGGTCCTACTTTCCCACTTGCCTACCCGTTTTTCCAGGGAACAATTGCTAATAAATCTTTTTCAAATGAATTGCTTCCAGATGAATCCTCATCTCAGGGTTGGCTTTGGGGAACTCAAACTAAGACAGTTATATTAACAAATCTAATTGCTGAGCCTCCAAAGCTGAGAACCAGCAGACTGGTTCCATGGGCTGAATTTGGCCAGCAGTTGTATTTTGTTCAGCATGCCTCCTCATCCCTCCTGATCTCTTCTCAAAGCAAACACTCTGTTTGCCATGTGGAAATAAAATTCTTGACCTTGGCTAATAGAGTGCTTATCAACTGTGTTGATCCTTCACAAAGAAAAGCAATGCATGTGGCCACCACATAGCAAGTGCTTCAAGAGCCACTAGTATCTCCTGCAAACTTTGCAATTACCTGTGAGAAAGAAGCTAACATCGTCTGATTTTAACTGATGAGGATTCTGATTCATAAGGGCTTGTTTACCCAGTTTCATATCTGGGGGCCAGCAGAGATGGGGTTTGAACTGAGGCAATTTGACTCCAAAAGACATGTTCTAACCACTGTGTCACATAGAGACCCGGGAAACCCACGCCTGCCCTCCTGGCCCCCAATCAAGGCCATCTCATAACTGGTGGGATTTTCACCTGGTTTTTGAAACTTCGATTTGGTTTTTGCTTGTCTCTTTCCCTATTATTTACTTTCTTTCTTTCAACAGCTTAGGGCTTGATTTGGGTAGGCACAAGAATAAAAAATGATTGAGGACGATGTATTTTTGGAGGAATTTGTATCTTTCTGTAAAAGAAAAGACTAAGCATCTACATATATTTAAATTCTCAAATTGCAAAGTGGCAGTTCCTGGGACCCAGAAATTCCACAGAATTTCTAAGGCTGCTTCCAGAAACTGGACCTTTATGTGCATGGGGCTGTGGGTGAACCAGAGCAAGTCGTCAGGAGAGGAAATCTGCCCCCCTCCCCACCTTGTGCCACTCCTCCTCCAACAAGCTGTCAACTCTGCAGTGGAGAACAGTGCCAGCCTGCAGGCTTTCTGTTCCCAGAGCTCAGGGGATGACTCAGTTACTGAGGTATTTCCTTTTTTCATAAGCCTACCATGCAGAGATTTTCAAATTATTTCCCTGAAATGTTTCTCCCCTCACCTTTGCTGCATGCCTTGTCTCCAGAAGGCACAATTTTCAATAGATTCTTCCTAACAACGTACCAGCCAGCATCTATTAGGCTCTTCTTAGATGCCAGACACCCAGCTCAGCATTTCATATCTGTCAGCCCAGCGCTCCCTCACAGCCACACTGGAAGGTCTGCATACTAGGCTTCCCATTTTCTGGATGAGGAAAAGGAGGCCCAGAGAGTTTGCCCAAGGCCATTTTGTCCAGAAGTAGCAGAGGTGGAGCTCAAACCCTTGCCAGTTTGCTCAAACCCTTTAACCACTCTGCTATACTGCCCCATTACTATTAAAATATTCTTTTTATCCATGGTAGATTGTATTACTTGTCTGAAATCGTTGCTACCCTCCTATCCCTTGATATGACTTTCCCGTGGGCAGATCCTCTACCCTTAACTTTGGCTTTGGCCATATGGCTTGCTTTGGCCAATGGAAAGAGGATGGAAGTTAGAGTGTGTCATTCTGAGCTGAGGCCCTAGGCAGATAGCACGTTCCTGCCAGTCCTCTTGGCATTTCCACTCTCTGCCACAAGAAAAGCACATTCCTGAAGCCAGCTTGAGCCCCAGCAGAAAGCTGGGACAGCTCACTCTACCTGTGGGACAGTCTTGGTCCCAACCTGATGCCCTGAGTGAGCCCCTCTCATCTAAACTTGGCTGAGTCCAGCCAAGACCAGCCAAAGCACAGCCAACCAGCACATGGTGGGTACAAAATCAGTGGTTGCTGTAAGCTACTGAGCTATCAGGGCTGTTTGTTATGGGTCATTTTTGCAGCAAACCTCTCATCAATATATGTATTATCATTCTAGTCTAGCCAGTGCCACATGGACCGGCTCTCAGCATCATGGTGGTGGAGTGCAGGATCACACTCTCAGGGAATGAATGGGTCTGTGAAATCATCTGACCCGGCTCCCCTTCCTAGCCTTCATCCCTCCCTGCCTCCTAAGGCAGACCTCTTCTTCTCTGGACACTCTGAAAGGAAGTCTTCCCTAGGTTGAACTTTGAAAGTCTGTGTTCAGCCAACAATTCATGATTCCTGCCTCTTCTTCATAAGATTGGCACCTGAGTCCCTCACAACCTTTGTCACTCTCTTACAAGCACACTTCTGCTTGTCAATGTCCCTCCTAAGCTACGGGTAGGGCCACTTGCTGGTTTGCTCTCATATCCCTGCCGTGTCCTGTTTCCCATTCTTCTCTGCATCGTAGAGGGGTGAGCCCTGCGAATGAGTGTCCTGGAGTTCTTGCTCACTGGCTTGCAGATAGGTGTGGCTATCAAAAGGCTCTGGGGAGAGATTGGGAGAGGAGAGACAGGGAGGAGCCAGGGTACTTCTCCCCACTATCCCTGCTCCAGGTAGTGTTTCTGGCAATGGCTGAATGTTCTCCATGGGTCCAGCTCCTTCTGTCAACAGGCCTCCCACTGTATCCTCTCCTTCCAAGTCCTATCTAGTGGCCCCTAGAACCCAAGTTTGGGAGTATCCCCTCCTCCTTTGACCCTTCCAGCCCAAGGGGTGATGGTGGCTTCTAGTTGTAGCTAAACTCTCGGTTGCCTCTCCTTCTCCTGTTTCTTTTGCAGCTAACTCTTCTGACCCTTTGCCCTTCCCATATTAAATCCCCCTCATCTCAACTACTTGGCCTGGACCATTCTGTTTTCCTCAATGGACATTGACTAATACAGCCTCCTGACTTTTCAGGGATTCATCTCACATGATATACAACATGCCCACCCTTTATGCAAACAGAATTTACATGTGAAAATAGGACATGAGTTGAATTGCAGTTGACTAGCTAACAAAATGTTAAATTTTGTAGCTGTTTAATTATCAATATATTAATTTCGAATAAAGTTTTATTTTAGCACTGTTTTGCCAACATGTTTTTCCCTAGCCCTTGGGACACTTTTGTAGCCCTTAAAAAGCTCATGGGCTCTGTGGACAAAATCACTCTGATGGTGGTGACTGAAGTAAACAAAGATCAGTTGCAAGAGACTGTCTACTCCAGAGAGTTGCTCTCTCAGTGAAAAGCCAAGAGGAAAAGGAACCCAAATCTTCACTGTTGGGTGCCATTTTGCCCAGAAATTCTCTACTTTCCCATCCAATAAGACAGTGTTTTTATCCTTTAAGAGGCCCAGAGCTCTGAAAGACTTTGTGTCTATGAGATGGAGTTTCTTCATGATCTGAGAGGCAAGAGGATTGTAAATGTGTCAATGGAATTCAGATTTCCCAAGTTGCCCAACCACTATAATACAGTTAAAAGCAAAACTCCCCTGGAAGGCTGCCGAGACTCTAAGGCAGGATGCTGCACAGCCTTGAGAAGACAAACAGCAGCTCTGACAGCCCCTCCTTTGCAAATGGATTTGGCTCTGTGAGCTGGGCTCCACAGCACGGTGAGACTTAGCCCTGCTACTGAGCTGTGTGGCTCATCCTGGTAGGAAAATGGCCACACCTGGGAAAAGAAAATGCTGCTGAGGCCTGAGGCCAGCACCCAGACACTGAGCCCTGAGTCTTCTCATCAGGCCGATGGGAAGAGTTCATCTCGTCAGCCAGATGAGGAGCTGGGCCATGGCAAACACATGGGGCTGTGGCCAACTCAGTGGGCACAGCAGGGCTTGGTATGAAACACCCACCAGTCTGACCAGTCACCCCCCCACCCTTGCTTCTCCGCAGCTGGTGGCACTAGGGAATTTGATTCTGTGACACCCCCACTGCCCCTGCCCGCCCGCCCGCCCATTGTGGACAGCAGTGGGAATGGAGATGAAAGCCTCTTGGTTGGAGAGAGACCCATTGGGAATAGTGCTGAAGACAGAACTAAGCTAATACAGCACGTCACATAAAGAAGAAGGAATGGGGAGGGCCTGGCTCAAAGGGGACATGAGTCCAGTCTTTAGCCATTCGAAGGACATTAAGCAAGAAGGCT
Organism: Homo sapiens; assembly: GCF_000001405.40. NCBI lineage: Eukaryota > Metazoa > Chordata > Mammalia > Primates > Hominidae > Homo > Homo sapiens. The sequence continues at coordinate 43,867,264 of NC_000003.12, read as the reverse complement.
TTATTGAGCACCTATCCAGTGTCTTCCCCTTTCACCGGCATGCCCCTGGGCTGCTGACCTCACTGTATTTTCCAGAACACCCCTGAGCTGAGAAAAGTTGGACCAGTGAATGTGCTGTTGTATAATATGCCCTTGTTTATGTGATGGGGAGTTGTCATCCAGGGGTTAAGGCCAGAAAAGTGGCAGATCACGGGAGCCAGGCAATAAGAGGTGCTTGAGATGGAATAAAATGGAGCAAATTAAATTTACCAGAATTTTTAGGAAGCAAAGATGCCAAGCAGCATGTGTTTGAAATGAATCTTCTGCTACATTGCCTGTGGGGAGGAAAGCTGTGTTCCCCAGGGACATGCTCTACTGCCTAGTGGCTGACTCAGGTGGTCACTCAGTAAGAATTTGCTGAAGAAATGCTTGGGAAACACCAGAGGTTCTCTAAACAGCCTCCCAGGGTGTAGGTCCCCCTAAGTGAGGGCTTTGGTTTAGCTGAGTAAGAGGTGAATGCCAGTGCTGTTAATAATCTTCTTCATTCCCACCACAGAGCTCAGCCTCACCCTTAAATCCACCTTGAACAAATATTTGCAGAATATCCTATGCATGGGGACCTCACTCTTTGCCATTCCAGATCACTTAGGTCAGGCATGGTCAGAAGTCAGAGTTCCAGGATGGGAAGACTAAGCTCTGCCTCTAGCCAGCTGTGTGACTTTGGGTCTTGACCTCTGTGGGCTTCAATTTCCTTATCTGCAAAATCATGGTCTAAGACTCAGACTTGAAGCATTGCTCTGGGCTTTTCTTGAAATCAGGCAGGCAGCACTTGCTGAAGACAATGCGTTTGAGATCCCAAGAGGCTAAGAGGTGAGAGTGAATGGAAATGATAATAACTAATGCATGACCAGCATCTACATGAGCATGGAACACTTGTTAACCTGCTGCATTCTTACAGTGGCACCCATTTTGATCAATCGCTTCCTGTCCTCAGCCCCACTAAGGTGTGGGGCTAATGTCATATTTTCACAGATGAGAGGGAAAATTGCAAGCATTAACCTAAGACCAGAGACAGTAAGCAGGTGTGTGGACGAGGTACTGCCTGGTCTTTCGTAGCACAGGCCCACAGTGCTGGTTCTCCCTAGAAGGCGTGAGCATGTACCTGGATACCTGGCCACAGGACCTCTGGGCCAGCTGCTTCCTTCTTAGGAGTTGACACCCCCTCACATCCTCACTCTGCCGGGAAAGGCCTTGAGACAGAGAAGAGCCTGTGCTCACGGAGCCGGCCTAAGTCCTGTTTACCACTTAGTCGCAGCCAAATGGAATAAGTGCAGTATTGATTAATTGCAATTTTTTTGGAATACATATTCACTCTGATGTTTTATCATTAATGCATTAAGAAGCTGAACAAGCAATAAGACCAAATGGACTTCAAAACACAGCAAAATTTCCATCCAGTGCGGTCTGATTTACAGCCATTACCTCCTGGCACAAGACAGCCCCCATTATAGCCCACACCTTGGCTGAAACTTGAGAGGTCTTTGTTCTTAACCTTACTTATTTATTTCCTCCAACAGCAGGTATACTCCGGCTTTGTGCCACAGGGCAGGACCTTCCTGGTGATGGGGTACATGTGCTGGAAGGCTGGACAGAGGGAGAGGAGTCAGCTTCCTGCTGCATGCAGATGGGGGGACTGCAGACCCTGACCTGGTTATGGGGGAACATGGTGACCTCACCTCCCATCCTCCCCAGCAACAAGCTTCAGAGGGAAAGGAGGACTCAAGGGCCGAGTGACTCCAGCTCACTCTATCAACTCACTCTGCGCATCTGTCAGCTGCTGCAGTGCCCTGTGCGTCATGGCTGGGTTGGGCACTGGCTCTGTCATTAGCTGATGGCAAGAAAGACTGGCTGTTTTCTTTCCTGTTTGGGGGCCTCAGTTTCCTCATTCGCCAAATAAGGAAACTGGACTGGACAATTTCTGAGAGCCTTAAAGATGCAGCAGCTCATGACTCTTCCCTCTCTCCCTCCTTCTCTCCCTTCTCTCTTCCCTCTCTTTCTTCTTCCTCTTCCTCCTCTCCCGCCTTTTTCTTTGCAAAACAATTTTATTCTTGCAGAGTCTTGTCAAAAGCTCTCTAGGTGCACTGACTGGGGCAAAAATTGTCTAAAATAATAACAGCAGCAGCAAAAAAAAAAAAGAAGAGGAAGAAAGAAAAACACCACAACTATTTAAAAAGCACTTTTGCAAAGCTCAGATGTCAACAACGAAAACTTTGGGAAGGTATACTTAAAGGAGTTGGTGTTTTCAAAATTTAACCTAAGATATTCAGAGAGCAAGGAGGGACTTGGAGTCAGGTGGAGTCTGGGTCAGTGGTGTGGCCCATAGAACTGGCCATCCCAGAATGGAGCATTCTCTCCATTTCAGGGTTGCTTGTGGGGACTTGCTGTGTGTTGGTCACTCCCTGGTGGCAGGCCCTGTATGGGTTCCAAGGATGGCACTTAGAGAGGGATGAAGGGCAGCCACGGCTTCAAGAAGCTTCAGGAAAGCTGGACAAGTGGACTGTGACTGGCCAGTGTACTGTGGAGGTGGCAGAGGTGAGCCCAGGACACTGAGGGACCTCCCCAGAGCCACAGGCTGGGATGGGCTGGGTGGTGAAGGTTCAGTAGAACTGAAGTTAAATGTCAAGTGGGAGTTAGTTAAACAGGGATTGGGGCATTCCAAGGGGAAGCAAAAGACTGGAGGTCGGAGAGACCACCTCTGGGTCCAGAGAATAGAAAGTGAGGGCAGGGATGTCAAGAGATCATGCTAGACAGACAGGTAGGAGCCGACATCCGTGGGTGCTAATTTTATGTAGTCATAGTTGCAGGTTTTGTAGAAAGAGAGTGATCTAAGGTGCCCAGGGGGCATTGCGAGGGAGAGACATGAAACCAGGCTCCTATTTCATGCCATGCCCTCTCTGGGCCAAGTCTCCTCACCTGTAATGTAGTGCATGTGGATTCCATGAGGATTCATGTAAAGGGCTTGGGCCATGACAAACACTCAACAAAGGGTCACTCTGTCCTTTAGACTCAGTCTGTAAATGAGGAAAGCACCGTGTCCAAGGGCACAATCAGCATTGGAGTCCCATCCCTTCCAACTCCAAAATCCCAGCTCTTTCCTCTAGGCTGCATCATCTCCCTGATCAGCCTGATGCTCTGGCAGAATCTGGTGAGAGAGGCTGATATGGGGACTCAGGGAGTGGACATGGCAGGAAGAAGAATGGGAAGATCTTGCTGATTCTTTTGCAGGTAGAGTATGCTGACTTCAGGCCCAAGCATCTGCAATTACAAGGTAACCTTGAGCCAGAGGCCACATGACAGAGGTGCAGGGTAATGGCCTCTGAGGCCCCCATGTGCCGTTCCAGCCATTATGGAATGGAGCAGCATGAGGCCAGGCAGTCCTCCATCCCACCAGGGCGGGCAGTGGCCCCAAGTCACCCAGAAATGCCTCTGATGGGCATATTCTTCCAGCCTCCATCAGACCTCACTGCTCTCAGGAGGTCAGACACCTCCCCTGACTTCTCTCGCTGTGTGGCCGTGCTCACCACTTCCAACTGCCCCAATCTGGGAAGAGAGTCTCTCTGTTCATCTGGAATGCTGACGGGCCTCAGGAGCTGAGCCCCCTGCTGACTGGCAGATCAGGCCAGCTTAGTTGTCTCCTGGGGGATCCAGAGCAAGAGGTCCACAGGAGGAGCCTGGATGTGAAGGCAGATGGTGAAGGCTTCCCAAGTTTAGCCCAGATCCCCTTTGTTTGCAGGCCCCTGCACCCTAGCTGCAGTGAGTGTGGCTGCTGCCACAGCTGTGTGGATACAGGAACCATCTAACCCAGGAGTCTTGCTCACCCCAGTCCCTGCAGCCACAGGCCCCAACCCCGACCCCCACCACACACAAGTGATCCTCCCTCCTCCTCAGCCACCCAAAGTGCTGGGATTATAGGTGTGAGCTACCATGCCCAGCCTGCAGCCCTTTGTCTTAAGCCCAGATTAATGCCTGCTCCAGAGCTCCTGCAGTGGGAATGGGACTGCAGATAGACCCTGCCCAAGAGAACATCTTAGTTCTGTTCCTTCCCCCACCCCAGCCTCCTCCCTCGCTGCCTTCTCCAGTGAGCGCTCCCTCAACCAGGCACCTGCACAAGAATCCCTGTCTCAGGCTCACTTCTGGGGAACCTGACCTGAGAGACCCTGCAATGGCCACATTGCTTCTCCTCTCTACCCCAACCCCCACCAGACTGTCTGGCGCCAACATTTCAGACGCTCTGAATGGCCTGCCTTCGTCTACTCTACTATGTTGCTTCATCCCAGCCGGGCTTTGCAAACGCAGTTCCCTCTGCCTGAAATGTCCTCACCAACTTCTCATCCCAGTGAAAAACCCATCTTGAATATAACCCCTTTGTGGCACTTCCGCTGAGACACCCAACCATTTTGCATCTGCACTGGGCACTGAGCACATGGATCAGGCACCATGACTCTTACTTGTTTGGGAGGTGGGGTAGGGCACTGCTCCCTGTGACTGAACTATGAGCCCTCAGGACCCTTCACCGCTGCCAACATGCCCAGCACCCACCAGGTGCTGCATTGTGCTGGCTGGCTGCTGTGAATAATTTGCCGGCCTCCAGGTCTGCCCATCAGTTTGTCCCCACCCCTCTGTAGGCCTGCAGTCCTCCTCTTTGGCACCTGGACCTGTCTCCTTCGAGCCCACTAGGTCATATCTCCTGCCTGCTGCATCCTTGGGAGAGCCTTGGAAGAAAACAGAGCCTCATGGGGGTGGTGGAACTGGCCCCAAGCCACACAACCAGCAGGACAGAGAAGCAGAACTCTTGACCCCAAGACACCTTTATCCAAGATTGCCTAGGCTGATCTTGAACTCCTGGACTCAAGTGATCCTCCCTTCTCCTCGGCCTGCCAAAGTGCTGGGATTACAGGTGTGAGCTACCATGCCCAGCCTGCAGCCCTTTGTATTAAGCCCAGATTAAGCCCTGGGTCACTGCAGCTGAGGAAAAAGCGGTTGGCTCTACCAGAGCTCAGGAGAGGCCCAGTGTAATGGTGGGTCTTGTGGAGAGAAGTGGACCCTCTCGCTCCTTGTGCACCTGTTGCCAACAGCCCAGGCCCTCACAGACGTTGCCTGCTTCCTCTTCAGAGGAGGGAGGCACCTCATATTGTACCAGTCAGGCTGGACAGGGAGCAGAATTCACCCTGGATGGTTCAAATAAAGGATTTAATGAAGAGGATACTTCCAGAGGAGTGGGCAGGGTTAAGGGGACAGATGGGGATGTTGAAGCATCCAGAGACCAGCACCATCAGGAAACTGTTGCCACCCCTAGGACTGAAAGGACAAAGGGGAGGAAAGACGGTGATCTGAGCCTGATGAGAGGAGGGGCTGCAGTGGAGCAGAGCAGGCAGGAGGCAGGCAGGGGGAATGACCATCCTCACCGCTCTTCACTACCCCAGTCTCCTGCCCGCATCTCCCATGGGTCAAACCCAGCTAGAAGTCCAGCAAGAGAGCCTGGAGTCAGCCTCTAGGACAAAGAACAGGGCCATGAAGAGCAAGGAATGGGTCTGGGGGCAAGTTGAGAATGACCTACTCCAGAAAGAGATGATGCCTCCCTTTAATGAGCCAGCAGTTGGTGGCATCGAGGACCATGGAGATATGGGTTCCCTGGAAAAATGCAAGGCATGTTCATGGCCATCTGAGCTTCTCAGTTTATTCCCCTTCCTCTTACTGTGTTCCCAGAGGTTACTGAAGGGTGAGCCAGTGGGGCTGCCATCACTTCTTTGTCACAGGGCCCAGGAAGCAATGGAGACTGAGCCTGGTTGGCCAGCCATTGGGTCAAGGTGCAGACCTCTGCTAGAGGCTGCGTTGTTTTCAGAACACTAGGGAAGGGGGATGCTGAGGTCAGACTGAGATAGCCTGGTGACCTTTTCTTCTCCTCAGTCCACTGGACACCATGAAGCAATTCCACTGCAGCTCTTCCCGAACACTTCCATCTACTTGGTCCAGCCCATTAATGATGGCACAGTGAAAGAACTTATGGAGACACTCCCTGACTTTGTGGTATTTGGCTTAATTTCTGGGTAGGAATGGAAGACTTTAGAAGGGTTAACACCCTCGTGATTGGTGGAAGCTTGAGGTAGTTTCTAAAAGAGAGTCAGCTTGGAAACAAAGGGCATGTATCTGCCAGACAATTCTCCAGTGAACAGCAGGAAGCAAGACGGACCTACAAGTCGGGTGACTTGTTTCTTCTTACCCCCCTCCCCTTCCTCCAGGTCATTGGGAAAGGAAATGAAAGGCCACTAGCATGGTATTGAGGGGCATATGCTTTTGTCCCTCCCGATATTAATATCTGCCCTCCCCCATGATATCCTAATGAATGCCTCCACATCAGGAAGAATATTACAACCAATACACCATGACAGTTGAGAGTATCTAAAACTAGATGTGCAAATTCCATTGATTTTTATTTCCTATTTTGAAAAACTTTTGCAAAGGAAGAGAGAAAGCCCACAGTCTGCAAAGGGAGCAGAGGATGGTGGACACATAAGGATGGGGGACTTCTCAGGTCTCCAGCATTGCCGCAAGGAAACTGCACAGCCTCAGAGGGGAAGGACTGTGGGGTGCCATTATAGCCCCCAAGGTCCAGTCTATAAGGTCCTGAGGCCCCACCACCAGGTCAGTTTCCAGTGGCCTCAGCAGGCTTGTTTGCTAGGCATCACAGAGTGAGCTGATGATAGAAGGCTCCTCAAAGAATGCTGTGTTCTCACCAGACACCAGGACCATGGCATGCCTTCGGGGAGAAGGGAATAGAATTCTCCTTCAACTCCGTAAGAGCTCAGAGTCCAGTTTCATTTATTTCTTATAGAATAAATAATATGTTTCTTCCATATCTGTGGTGGCTAATTTAAAACCACCGTACACTGACTGTACCCTACATGCCCTAGGCCTTGTGCTCATGCAGGAAGACAGCAGCGAGTGATGGGTTCAGAACCCTGGCTATGGAATCTGACTGCCCGGGCTCCATTTCCCGAGATTCCACTTAGTAGCTGGGTGCCCTTGGTTCACTCATGCTAGGTAACCCAGCAGTTTTGAAACTGGAGAGCAGAAAACTCTTCCAAGGGGTACACTGGCATGGATAGTGTGGCAGACTATAAAAATGGCCCTAAGTTGGCACCACTCCCTGGAGTCTATGTTCCTACCCATTGAATCTGGACAGGCCTGTGACTTTCTTGGGCCAGTAGAATGTGGCAGAAGTGAACTAATGCCAGTTCTGAGCTGAGGGCCCAGCGAACCAGTGCACAGAAGAGTGGTTGGAGTACTTCCTCCCTTCTCCCTCCCTGCCCTGGGCTGCCGCCTGGACAGTGACTTCCTCTCCACCAAGCTGCAGCTCCCACTGGACCCTGATGATGCTGTTTCTTCTCTGGCCCATTAGCCCTGAGTGTGGTGTCTTATGCAGGGTTCTCCAGGAGAGACCGAGAGATGAGGATTTGTGTGAATATGCCTTATTAGCAAGTGTTCCCTGGAAAATCCAGGAGGCGCGTGGAAAAGCAGGTCAGGTGAGGGTGTGAGGGCATGGAGGGCTGGTGTGGAGGCCACACATTAGCATGTCCCCATCAGAGACAAGGGACTCTTTCATCAGTCCTCAATCAAATGTTGCTCAGGGGACACTTCTAGCTATTGGTATGCACTGGCAACACGGGGCTCCAAGGGCAGCCCCCTGGTAAAGAGACCAAGTGCTGGCTGCAGGGCAGAACTCACTGCAATCTCCACACTTAAGGACACCCCCACCTCCAGCTTTTGTTTCTGAGTTTTAGCATTCGCCAAGGTAGGCAGTAAGGAAGCATGGGTTTCATATCTCCAGAATAGTGCAGCCTTGCACAAAAAGCAGAAGAAATGGTTATCTTGGAGCAGTTACTCCTTTCTGCCCTGGAAATCTCTCAGGAAAGGAAATATAAAGTACTCTGTTACCTTCTTTAAGGGAGGAGGGAGGAAAAAATTAATACCTCTGAGTTATTCTGCCACAAATGTGTGTTGAATGGAACTGACCTATTCGAGCATGGGCCCTGGGTTCAAATTCTGACTCTTCCATGTTCTAGCTGTGTGATCTTGAGCTGGTTGTTTAACCTCTCTGGGGTCTCTAAAACAGAGAACAAAATGTCATTTGTAAAATGGGGATAACAGTAATAATAATAACCACTTCAGAGTGGTTGTATTAAGTGAGTTAATCTATGCAGAGAGCTTAAAATGATGTTCTGCATGGAATAAGCAATAAGCACTGTGCAGGTTTTAGCTGTGGCTATTATTAATCATTAAAACAGCTTTTACGATTTGAATTTGCATGTTGTAAAGTTTTCTTCTTCTTTAAAATTGCTTTGGATGAGCAGACAATACTTCCTACCTTAAGCAAATCAGAGTTTATACCCTTTGCCCCGACTTGGTGAGGGCAAGATGTTACACGGATGGAATCTGGGGTGGGTCTTTTAAGGTGACGTCTGCATAGGGCTGAGGGTTAGAAGGTGAGTCCAAGTACACAGCAAGACCCGTGCTTTCTTGCTGCTTACCTCTGTGAGACTGAAACTTAAAGACAGAGGTGGAGGAGGGGTGCTTTCTAATCGTGGGCGCCTAGGCGCGTGTGGCTGCCCCTCCCTTCTCAGCCTGTGGGTTGTGCCCACTAAGCACATTCGCTTTCCTCCTATTAAAGCGAAATGCTGCAGGGCTGAGGGGTTCTCTGCAGAGAAGCAGTGAATCAAGAGGTTAGCAGTGTTTATTGATTTAGTAATTCGCACGCACTTTTCCGGATAGATTATCTTCCCGGAGACTCTGACAGCAGCAGCCAGCCGATAATGCAATGCGGGGCTATAGGGCTTGGGGCTGCGGAGGCAGCAGGGGGGCGAGTGGGGGAGGAGAGGAGCAGAGAGGCCAGAGGAGGATGACTGAGCCTGGATAAGAAGAGGAAGGAGTATGGTCTGCATCCTCCAGGATACAACAATGAACATTTCTTCAAGGTGCCCCCAGAATCCCTGTAGAGATGAAGGCTTAGTCCCCAAGCTGTCCTGCTGGGAGTGCTGCCTGGAGCTGCCCTGAGACACTAGCCCTCCTGGAGACACCAAGGCCACACCGCTCCTCAGGAACAGTGGCATCCAATGACTAATCAACACCGGGACACACAAGTCCTGCAGACCCCCCAAGTTAGAACATTATGCAAGCCCACCCAGCTTCAGAAACCCCCCAGCCCCGGAAACCTCCTCCCTCTACCTAGCCCTGCTTCCTTCTCCTCCTCTCCACAGGTATGGATCACAAGAGCATGCCTGCCCTAGTAAAAGTTCTGTAGGCTCTGTCTGCTCCTCCTCTGTCTGCTCCTCCTGACTCATGGCCCCTGTCTGAGTGGAGCTTCAAAGCAAAGCCACCAGTACTGTACAGCTTTTTTTACTTTTGTTGCTACAGAGTGGTTTTTATACAAAGTGGTATTGTGAGATTAGGGAGATCTGTCCCAGTGGACTCTCTTCCTCTTCCACCTTATTTCTTCCTCTGGGCCTGCCTCACAGCCCCAGGACTTCTGTGGTTCAAGCTTCCTCCCATTAGGAAAGAAAGCTCTGGACCAGCTGCTTGGTCCAGGACCCGCTTGGATGTTACAGCTCCTGGTGAAGCTGGGCCAGAAGAGGACTGGCCAAGTGTGCAGTGTTGAACCAAAGGAAATATCTGCAGGGTGAGTTTCAGATACCAGGAGCAGGCAGCAGGAGGTGGGAGAGTTCATTGGCCCCAGATCATTTATATGTTCTAGCTTTTCCTTCCTCTACACCTTTGCTCATTATCCTACTCCAGTCACGAACTCATCCAAGGATAGACATGTCAGACAGTATGCTGGTATCAAGAACTCGAGGAAGACTCAGTGACAGATGGCCCTGCCCCAGACTACCTGCCTCTCCATCTTAGGGGAGATGCGTGTCTGTCTATCCATCCATCCATCCATCCATCCATTCATCCATCCATTCATCTATTCATCCATCCATTCATTACTATCCATCTATTCATTCATCCATTATTTACTTAATAATTACCTATCAAACACCTACTAGGTGCCATTAGTTTAGATAGATAAATGATAGATAGATAGATAGTCACTGCTGAGTTTTTTATCTTTCTTTCCCACTGACACCCCACTGAGGGTAGGAAAAGTGTCTATCCCTCTGGGAACTGTTCCTCTGGCCCAGTGAGTGGTACTGGCAGTCACTACTATCAATGTGGTGCGAGGAGAGATGGTTGTGGGGAGAGGGTTATCCTAGAAGTCCCATGGACGCAGCAGCATCTAAACTTGACCTTGAAGGAAGCATGGGCTTGGGGTTGGTCACAGGGGATCGCCTGGACTATCTGTCCTGCCAAACCCTAGGATAGGAGGCAGGCAGGAGAGTGTCTGTGTTGAGGGTTGTGGGGGAGACGAGTCCAGCCAGGACGCCCTTAGAGAAAGCATCCCTTCCTCTCTCCATTTACCATCTGGAGTGATGGGCACACTCATTCAGTTGCCCCCTCACTTGCTCAGACACAGGCTGCAGTGTGAAGGGCTTCCTGGCTACTAAGCCTCTTTAGCCAAGTATCCCCTGCCCTCTGAGCTCAGAGCTCCCAAATTCGTGCTGTGCTTTCAAGAGCCTGATTCACCATCCCTGCAGGTGCTTCTGGCAGTCCCTGGAAGGCGTCTCAGTTGTGGCTCACACACAGCCCAGCTGGCCATCGAAACCCGTAGGTCTACAGTACGGTCCTCTTCTCGCACTCAGTCCTGCATCCTCTGTGCCCCCAGGTTCTGCCAGCCGCCATCACTTCCTGCTGTCTTCCATCCCTGCCTCTGCTCCAAGCTCTTATTTCTCAATCAGTTAGGAACCTGGCAGGAGTCAGAAACTTCTAGTTATTTGAGGAGAGACAATTTAATGCAAAGAATTGTTAGCTGTGGAATTGAAAAGATTTAAAAGAGTACTTGAAGTTAGAACAAAGGCAGCAGCTGTAGGCAGCAGCCACCATCTCTGGGGCTGGAGACAACAAAGGAAGAGGTTAGGATTGTTAAAAGATTTGGAAGTTTTGAGGAGGGACCTGGAAGATAACTGGGGGTGAGGCTGGAGAGGCAGTCAGCTGGTGTTCACATTTCCCAGCTCATGAGACCCAGAGCTCTGAGGAGGGGATGCTGGGCAGCTTGTACGATGTCTCTGGCCAGGGAGTGGTTGATACATCTCATTCTGCAAAATGGAAAGTGGAAAAACTGCAATGTGGATTCACCAGCTGCTTTTGGAAGGAGCTGCTGCTGCCAGGGAGAAGAAGCCTTGCTGGGTGCTGCTCACAGAAGCAAAAAGCAGGCAGGGTGGAGCCGGTCCCTGCTTCCTCCTCCAGCTTCCATTTTCTCTAGCACCCCCTAATGGCAGAGCCTGTCAGGGAGCCACTGGCAAAGGAGAGCCCTGGTTTGCAGAGTCCTGCCCAGCATGGCAGAACCCAGAGAAGAAGGGCTGAGTTACAGCCCAGAGATATAGCTTAATACCAGCACTCCAGATGCTGAGGTGGCACCCCAGAGCCCCAGGGCGACAAAGCCAGAGAGACCTATGATAGTAGGGAGGATGATCTCTCTTATTTTACCCAAAGAGCTGCTGTGGAGCTCTTTCATCTTTCAGTGCTACAAGTAGGACACAGAAATGGGTCCTTGAGGGTGGGTTTGAGGACAGATGCAGATGAGTGACACCAGGAGGAATGCAGAAATCTGTCCTCCCTTCTAGGGATGGAAGTTGTGTAACAGGGACAAGCTTGTAACAAAACTGAAACACCCTCTAGAGAGAAATCATCCTTAGAGGTAAATCGACTTCTAGAGGCACATTTGACCAATTTGCCTAGCTTTTTGGAACCCCAGCAGTGGACAGAGCTGAGAGTCAAGGTGGGCCCATACAGCCACAATGGTGCTGTGAGGCAGGCAGTCAAGGGCTGTCCTTCCATTTCTAGAGCTAAGGAAACTGAGGTCCAATGGAATCAGCTTGTCAGATAAGAGGGTGGTGTTAGCTAAAGTCCTGAGCTGTTAGCGTGTTGGTTACTTGATTAGCTGATCCTGGCAAAGGAAGATGAAGATCCTGCTGGGCTCCCCATCAATTAATGGGGCTAGGAGCTCAGGCCAGCCTACACGCATCAGACTCCATGGTAGTGCTGGCTCTCCATCAGCACAGCCCCAGGTCGGGAACCTGAGGGCATGGACAGGCGCATCCCGTAATGGGCTGCTAATTGCTCTGATTGCAACTCCAGGGCAGTGTTTCTGGAACGGCAGAACTCTGACAGAGGAGGAAATACCAGCAGAACATTTTTGATGAATAATTCAGTGAGCTGAAATGGGAAATGAGAAAGTTTTCTTTCCACTAAAGTTGAATTTGAAAAAAAGAAAAAGAAAAGAGAAAATAATAATAGCAGCAAAGCTGAGCATTCTGGTCTCCTCACAGGAAAACTTCTTTGCATAACCATGAAGGACTGCTCTCTATGATCCACTCACCCCATCCACAGGACAGAAGCAGCGGGAGGAGCATACTCAGGTCACCTGGAACCGATGGTAAATTTGATTTCATCCCTTCCACCTTCCCTTTCAAGCATTTATTCTATAAATATTAATTGGGCAACAACCCAAAGCCAAGCACTGTGCTGGGTGTTAGAGATTCTGTAGTGAAGAAAATAGATATTGTTCTTGTTCTCATGGAATGTGTGTGTGGGCAGGGGCGGGTATTCAGACATTAGATTGAAAGTAACACTAGCCAATGATCTACAATTTGATACTGTATCAGTCAGGATTCAACCAGAAAGGGAGAAACTGAATATGTAGAGCAGAGGGAATTGAATGCAGGGAATGTGTTACTTATCTGGGTAATGAAAGTGCCAAGAAAGTCTGGGATAGTGGAGGAACCCAGAGGTTCACGGCAGGAAGTCCTTCAACAAAGGGACAAAGAGAAGAGGTGATGTTATCAGAGTGCAGGTCCCGGTACCATCTGAGGAGAACCGGAACCAAGACAGGAGCTGCCCAAGGGAGACTGAGACCATAGAAAAGGGGGTGCCTGGTGTGAGTGGAAGACACAAGGGGATCTTCAGCCTTTGGGCAGGTAAAATCAAAACTACAAGAGAAGGAAGAAAAACTTCACCTTCTCTCTTCCTCCTGCCTTTTTTATGTCCATCAGTACTTCCCAAAGGTTTAGCCACTGCAGAAGTCAGAAAGCAAGGTAGTCTGGGAAAGCAAGTCTGATCACAGGGGTCACTCCCCAGAGATATAGAGCTGGCCAGGGAAAGGGTGAGGCCATAGATCTGAGGGCAAACAGGCCAGGAAGAACCAGCATTCATTATCTGAAGGAAAAGAATAGTCCTTGGGGGGAGAATGAAAGGAACAGTATTATTAAATTGGGTGATCCTGGGAGGCCTCTTTGAGGCAGTTAAGCTGAAACATAAAAAATTACAAAGAGCTATCCAAGTAAGAAAGGGAGGGGAAGATGGGAGAGGAAGAGCTTCCCAAACATGTGCAAAAGCCCTGAGGCAAGTGAGGGGTGAAAGGGAGAGTGAGGAGAATTGAGGGTGGAGATATGGTTAGGCCCAGGTGACATTAAGGAGTTGTTTAGAGTTTCAGAGAAAGAAAAATTTACACCTGATTGCCTTCAATAGAAAAGAGTTTTTGAAAAGGTTTTCTTTTGTCTTTTAGAGACAGGGTCTCACTCTGTCCCCCAGACTGGGGTGCAGTGGCACGATCATAGCTCACTGCATCCTCAAACTCCTGGACTCAAGCAGTTCTCCACCTCACCCTCCTGAGTATCTGGGACCGCAGGCATGTACCGCCACACCCAGCTAGGTTTTGAAAAGTTTTTTTAAAAATTCACATAGTGTCTGTTTACTCTTACAAAGCAAAAAGGAAAAACCTTCCAAATGTTCCAAGAATATGTAAGCAAATTTCCTTTTGAATGGTGTGATGCTGTATTTACAGTAGTTCCCTCAGAACAGACAAAGATATTCCCTCACAGAATCTGTGAAGAAATACTTAATACAGTAGATTGATTCTTCTGGAGCAGTTTTTGTTTTTGTTTTCCAGATCCGCTAAGTGACCATCTATGGAAATGAGTAACAATTCTTGACTCCATTTCGCGTCTGCCAGTGACATGGCTGGCTTCTATTCCCTACCCTCACCTCCTATGAGACCCCATCAGGCTGATTTAAATGGCTGTGAAAGTGTGACTTGTTTTAAGTGCATCTAAAACCACACTTGTATGCACAGTTAATCTTATTTTATGCTACTTGTGAATACATTTTAATCTCTCTTACATTTTAATCAGATGAAATTTTTAGGAAGAGATTGTTCCATAAAATGCAAACTTCCATGGTGCTTAGTACAATGTCGTGAAAACACAAATGCATGAATATTTTATGAGTAATAATTCAGCAAAGAAATGTTTAATATTTTATTCAAAAATATTTGAACTGTATAAGTAGAATTATGCTAAGTGATATGGATATTAAAAGATTATTAGGTGATTTTATTTCTAGCCATGATGGAGTAACTGGGACTAGACTTATCTTCTCACTGTTAACTAAAAAAACAAACCAAATATATAAGGCAAGAGTTTTCAGACACTGGGCAACACCGAAAAAGATAGAACAAAATGAGCTTGTTACCACCCTGACTTTCTGTCTGGAGGCACTTTCTGCGGGAAAGGTGATCTCAAGTAGAGCATAGCTCTTTCGGAGTTGAAGAAATGAAATTGCAGTTCAGAAATGCTGAAGGGGCTAGAATTTGCAAGGCAGAGTACTGGAGAGGAAGAAGCTGCTTAAAGAAATAGCTCCAGAAAATTGCACAAGATCCCCTGAATCTGTTACTGAACACTAAATCATATAAGCATAGAGTGAAGATCCACAGAGCTGAGAAAAGAGCAACCAGGGAGCTGTAAGCTGAACAGTTTGCAGAGCTCACATGTGGCTGACAGACGACCAAATTCTGACTAGCTAGAGTAAAAGAGCTCTCAGACTCTCAGGCCTTCAGTGGAGACCTCAGGTGAATCACATCTTAGCAATGGGCTAAACAAACTTAGAATTCAAGCTATTCATGACCCACCCTAAGAAAGTTTAAAAGATTAAAAACAAACCTCAGAAGGATCAAGCTGATCTGCCAATAACTGCATGCCATAAAAAGTTCAACACCCCTTAAAGGTACACAAGAAAATCCAGCGCTCAATGAAAAATTCACAATATACATCATCCAGTCAAAACTTATTAGATATATGAAGAAACATAGCAATGTAGCCCAAAACCAGGAGAAAATTCAGACAGTGGAAACAGGCATGAGGAGATAGAGATTGCGGGATTAGCAGACAAGATCTTTAATAGGATTTTCAAGGATTCAAAAGAAGGCAGAAACACAATAAGGATTGAAATGAAAGATACAAAAAAACAAATAAAACTTCTAGAGATAAACAATAAAATATCTGAAATAAAAAATTCACTGGAAGAGATTAGTGGCAGATTAGACTGAAGAAAAAATGTTTACTGACCTTGAAGACGCAGTGATATAAAATATTCAAAATGAAGCACAGGAGGAGAAAGAGCCAAAATAAACAAATAAAGAATAAAATTGCAACTTATGGGACAATATCAAGCAATCTGACATATGTATACAGTAATCCCAGAAGGAGATTGCATAGACAGAAGAAAATTGAAGATACAGCCAAAATTTTCCATATTTAATGAAAATTGTAAACCCATAGGTCCAAGAAATTGAATGAATGCCAAGCAGGATAAACACAAATAAAACCACACCAAGACACATTACAATCAAGTTTTTAAAAACCCATGATTGAAAGAAAATCTTAAAACAACCAGAGTAGAAAAATACATTATGTCAAGAGGAACAAAGCTATGAACTTCACAGACTTCTATTTCGAAGCTATGCAAACCAAAAGAAAACAGAGTAATATGGTTAAAATACTGAAAAGGAAAAAAACTCCATCAACCTTGACTTCTATACCCCATGCCCCAATCTTTCAAAAATGAAAGCAAAATTAAGCATTTTTCCTTAGAGAACAAAGAAGTTAATTTGTCACCAGCAAACTTGCATTACAAAAGTATGTTGGGGTAGCTCTTAAGGCAGAAATAAATGATATGAGAAGGAAACTCATATCATCCCTCTACCCAAAGGAATAAAGAATGTTAGAAATAGTAAATACAT
Source organism: Homo sapiens (assembly GCF_000001405.40). Classification (NCBI taxonomy): domain Eukaryota; kingdom Metazoa; phylum Chordata; class Mammalia; order Primates; family Hominidae; genus Homo; species Homo sapiens. Next base: position 43,851,057 of record NC_000003.12, on the reverse strand, counting down.
GGATAAATATGAGTAGTTTTTTTTCTCATTTTTGTTGACTGTATAGAGTAAAACACTAATAATATATTGTGTGGTTTATAGCAAAGGTGTAAACAAGATGTGTGACAATAATATCACAAAAGATATATGGGGAAAATGGAGGTATGCTGTGGTAAGGTTCTTCCATACTATGCACAGAGTGATTTAATAGGATTTCAATATACACTGGAATAAGTTAAAAGTATATTTTGTGAACTCAAAGTTTTTAAAAACACAAAAACCAATAGGTATAACTAATAAGCCAATAGTGACAGTATAATAGAACATTAAAAAAATACTCAGTCCATAAGAAGTCAGAAAAAGAGAAAAAAATAGAAGGAAGAACAGATGGGACAAATAGAAAACCAACAGCAGGATGGTAGCTTAAATCTAACTATATGGATAATTACATTGAATGTAAATTGGCTAAGCGCTCCAGTTAAAAGGTAGAAATTGTTAGACCAGAATTTAAAAAGCAAAGCTTATCTATGTGCTATCTATAAGAATTTAAAAACACATACACCAATGGGTTAAAAGTTAAAGGATGGAAATGTGATATCATACAAACCCTAATAATGATAAGAAAGCTAGATAACCATGTTAATATCAGACAGAGTAGGATTCAATACTAGCAATTAAAGTAATACCAGAGATAAACTGGGAAAATTTGAAATTATAAAAGGTTCAAATCAAGAAATCATGATGAATCATCAAGAAATCATGAAAATCCTACATATATATCCATCTAATAACAGAGTTTCAAAATATGTAAATCAAGAAAAGACAGAAATGAGAAGAGAAATAGACAAATTCACAATTATGTTGGGAGACTTTGCTTCAGAGTCCCACAATTATGTTGGGAAACACTCTTTTCTCAGAATCCATGAGGCCAGGGAAGACTTGAAACATATTACCAAACAACATGACTTAATTTACATTGGTAGATCCTGCCATCCTACAACAGTAGAATATGCCTTTCAACTGCACATAGAACATTCTCCAAGATAAGCCATGTTTTGGACTATTAAAATTCTCAATGAATATGAAAGGATTTACTTAATACAGATAATTTTTTCTGACCAGTTTGAATTAAACTGAAAATTAACAACAGAAAGATATCTGGGAAATCCCCAAGTATGTGGAAATTAAACAACACAATTCTAAATTGCCCACTGGTCAAAGAAAAAAAAATGACAAGATAAATTAGAAATGAAAATTTCACTAGAAAGGCTCAATAACAGATTTGAGATAGCAGAAGAAAGGACCAGTGAACTTGAAGCAAGATCAGCAGTCACACAGGAAGAGATTGTCTTTCTTCTCCATCTAAATGTCATAACGGAATGATGGCTAGGATGACTGCAGCCATCTTTCTTTTTTTTTCCTTTATTTCTTCTAAAAAAAATACGGATACAGGTGTAGAACGTGCAGGTTTCTTACATAAGTATACATGTGCCATGGTGGTTTCCTGCGCCTATAAACCCAACCTCTAAGTCCCTCTCCTTACACCCAACCCCACAAAAGGCCCTTGTGTATGTTGTTCCCTTCACTGTGTCCATGTGTTCACAATGTTCAACTCCCACTTATGAGTGAGAACATATGGTGTTTGGTTTTTTGTTTCTGTGTTAGTTTGCTGAGGATGATGGCTTCCAGCTTCATCCATGTCCCTGCAAAGGACATGATCTCATTCCTTTTTATGGCTACATAGTATTCCATGGTGTATATGTACCACATTTTCTTTATCCAGTCTATCATTGATGGGCATTGGGTTGGTTCCATGTCTTTACTATTGTAAATAGTGCTGCAATAAATGTGCATGTGTCTTTATAGCAGAATGATTTATATCCTTTTGGGTATATACTCAGTAACGGGATTGCTGGGTCAAATGGTATTTCTCGTTCTGGATCCTTGAGGAATCGCCATACTGTCTTCCACAAAACTAATTTACATTTCCACCAACAGTGTAAAAGCGTTTCTATTTCTTCACAACCTCATCAGTATCTATTGTTTCCTGACTTTTTAATAATCACCATTCTGACTGGTGTGAGATGGTATCGCATTGTGGTTTTGATTTGCATTTCTCTGATGATCGATGATGTTGAGCTTCTTTTCATGTTTGTTGGCCATGTAAATGTCTTCTTTTGAGAAGTGTCTGTTCATATTCTTTGCCCACTTTTTGATGGAGTTGTTAGGTTTTTTCTTGTAAATATGTTTAAGTTCCTTATAAATTCTGGGTATTAGACCTTTGTCAGATGGGCAGATTGCAAAATTTTTCTCCCATTCTGTAAGTTGCCTCTTCACTCTGATGAGTTTCTTTTGCTGTGCAGAAGCGTTTTAGTTTAATTAGATCCCATTTGTCAATTTTGGCTTTTGTTGCAGTTGCTTTTGGCATTTTTGTCATGAAGTCTTTGCCCATGTCTATGTCCTGAATGGTATTGCCTAGATTTTCTTCTAGAGGTTTATGGTTTTGGGTTTTACATGTAAGTCTTTAATCTATCTTGAGTTAATTTTTGTATAAGATGTAAAGAAGAGGTCTAGTTTCAGTTTTTTTGCATATGGCTAGCCAGTTTTCTCAACACAATTTACTGAATAGGAGAGCCTTTCCCCATTGCTTGTTTTTGTTGGGTTTGTCAAAGATCAGATGGCTGTAGATGTGTGGTGTTATTTCTGAGGCCTCTGTTCTGCTCCATTGGTCTATATGACTGTTTTGGTACCAGTACCATGCTGTTTTGATTACTGTAGCCTTGTAGTATAGTTTCAAGTCAGGTAGTGTGATGCCACCAGCTTTGTTCTTTTTGCTTAGGATTGTGCTAGCTATACAAGGTCTTCTTTGATTCCATATGAAATTTAAAACAGTATTTTCTAATTCTGTGAAGAATGTTAATTGGAGTTTGATGGGAATAACATTGAATCTATAAATTACTTTGGGCAGTATGGCCATTTTCATGATATTAATCCTTCCTATCCATGAGGATGGAATGTTTTTCCATTTGGTTGTGTCCTCTCTTATTTCCTTGAGCAGTGGTTTGTAGTTCTCCTTGAAGAGGTCCTTCACATCCCTTGTTAGCAGGATTCCTAGGTATTTTATTCTCTTTAAAGCGATTGTGAATGGGAATTCATTCATGATTTGGCTCTCTGCTTGCCTATTGTTGGTGTAAAGGAATGCTTGTGATTTTTGCCTGTTGATTTTGTATCCTGAGACTTTGCTGAAGTTACTTATCAGTTCAAGAAGTTTTGGGGCTGACATGATGGGGTTTTCTAAATATAAAATCATGTCATCTGCAAACAGAGACAACTTGACTTCCTCGCTTCCTATTTGAATACTCTTTATTTCTTTCTCTTACCTGATTGCCCTGGCCAGAACTTCCAATACTGCATTGAATAGGGGTGGTGAGAGAGGGCATCCTTGTCTTATACTGGTTTTCAAAGGGAATTCTTCTAGCTTTTGCCCATTCAATATGATATTGGCTGTGGGTTTGTCATAAATAGCTCTTATTATTTTGAGATATGTTCCATCAATACCTAGTTTATTGAGAGTTTTTAACACGAGCGGATGTTGAATTTTATCAAAGGCCCTCTCTGCATCTATTGAGATAATCGTGTGGTTTTTGTCTTTGATTCTGTTTATGTGATGGGTCATATTTATTGATTTGCATATGTTGAACCAGCCTTGCATCTCAGGGATGAAGCCAGCTTAATTGTGATGGACAAGTTTTTTGATGTGCTGCTGGATTCAGTTTGCCAGTGTTTTATTAAGGATTTTCACATCAATGTTCATCAGGGATATTGGCCTGAAGTTTTCTTTTCTTCTTGTATTTCTTCCTGGTTTTAGTATCAGGATGATGCTGGCTTCATAAAATGAGTTCAGGAGGAGTCCCTCCTTTTCAATTGTTTGGAATAGTTTCAGAAGGAATGGTACCAGCTCCTCTTTGTATTTCTGGTAGAATTCAGCTGTGAATCTCTCTGGTCCTGGGCTTTTTTTGTTTGGTAGGCTACTAATTACTGTCTCAATTTTACAGCTTGTTATTGATCTATTCAGGGATTCAACTTCTTCCTGGTTTAGTCTTGGTAGGGTGTATGCGTCCAGGAATTTATCCATTTCTTCTAAATTTTCTAGTGTATTTGCATAGAAATGCTTATAGTATTCTCTGATGGTAGTTTGTATTTCTGTGAGGTCCATGCTGATATCCCTTTTTTATTGTGTCTGGTTGATTTGATTCTTCTCTCTTTTCTTCATTAGTCTAGCTAGCAGTGTATCTATTTTGTTAATTTTTTCAAAAAAGCAGCTCCTAGATTCATTGATTTTTTGGAAGGTTTTTCATGTCTCTATCTCCTTCAATTCTTCTTTGATCTTAGTTATTGTCTTCTGCTAGCTTTTGGACTAGTTTGCTCTTGCCTCTCTAGCTCTTTTAATTGTGATGTTAGGGTGTCAATATGAGATCTTTCTAGCTTTCTGATGTGAGAAATTAGTGCTATAAATTTCCCTCTTAACACTGCCTTAGCTGTGTCCTGGAGATTCTGGGACATTCTCTTTGTTCTTATTGGTTTCAAAGAACTTCTTGATTTCCATCTTAATTTTATTATTTACCCAGTAGTCATTCAGGAGCAGGTTGTTCAATTTCCATGAAATTGTGTGGTTTTGAGTGAGTTTCTTAATCCTGAGTTTTTATTTGATTGCACTGTTGTCTGAGAGACTGTTTGTTATGGTTTCAGTTCTTTTGCATTTGCTGAGGAGTGTTTTACTTCCAATTATGTGGTTGACTTTAGAATAAGTGCTATGTGGCACTGAGAAGAATGTATATTCTGTTGATTTGGGGTAGACAGTTCTGTATATGTCTACTAAGTATGCTTGATCCAGAGCTGAGTTCAAGTCCTGAATATCCTTGTTAATTTTCTGTCTTGTCGATCTGTCTAATACTGATAGTGGGGTGTTAAAGTCTCCCTCTATTATTGTGTGGGAGTCTAAGTCTCTTTGTAGGTCTCTAAGAACTTGTTTTATGAATTTGGGTGCTCCTGTATTGGGTGCATATATGTTTAGAATAGTTAGCTCTTCTTTTGAATTCTTCCCTTTACCATTATGTAATACCCTTCTTTCCCTTTTTTGGTCTTTGTTGGTTTAAAGTCTGTTTTGTCAGAGACTAGGATTGCAGCCTCTGCTTTTTTTTTTCGCTTTCCAGATAAGATGGGTCTCCTGAATACAGCACACAGATGGGTCTTGTCTGCTTATCCAATTTGCCAGTCTGTGTCTTTTAATTTAGGAATTTAGCCCATTTACATTTAAGGTTAGTATTGTTATGTGTGAACTTGATCCTGTCATCATGCTGATGGTACTGGTACAAAAACAGACACATATACCAATGGACAGAATAGAGAACCCAGAAATAAAGCCACACACCTACAGCTATCTGATCTTTGACAAAGCTGACAAAAATAAGCAATGGAGAAAAGACTCTCTATTCAATTAATGGTGCTGGGATAACTCACTGGCCATATGCAGAAGAATGAAACTGGAGCCCTACCATTCACCATATATAAAATTTAACTCAATTGATGTGAAACCAGCTGAACTATAAAAAATAAAAGAATCGAAAATAACAAAATTTAACTCAAAATGGATTAAAGATTTAAGTGTAAAACCTCAAACTATAAAAATCCTAGAAGAAAACCTAAAAAGCACCATTCTGAACATTGGCCTTGGGAAAGAATTTATGACTAAGTCCTCAAATGCAATTGCAACAAAAACAATAATTGACAGATGGGACCTAATTAAACTAAATAGCTTCTGCATAGCAGAATAAACTATCAACAGAGTAAACAGACAACCTACAGAAAGGGAGAAAACATTCACAAGCTATGCATCTGACAAAGGTCTAATATTCAGAATCTATAAGGAACTTAAACAATTCAACAAGCAAATAACAAATAACTCCATTAAAAAGTGGGCAAAGGACATGAACTTATCGAAAGAAGACAGAAGTGGCCAACAAACATATGAAAAAATGCCAACATCACTGATCATCAGAGAAATGCAAATCAAAACCATGATGAGACATTACCCCACACCAGTCAGAATGGCTATTATTTGAAAGTCAAAAAACAGCAGATGTTGGTGAGGCTGTGGAGAAATGAGAATGCTTATATACTGTTGGTAGAAATGTAAATCAGTTCAGCCACGGTAGAAAGCAGTTTGGAGATGTTTCAAAGAACTCAGAACTACCATTTGAATCAGCAATCCCATTACAGAGTATATCTCCAAAAGAAAATAAATCGTTCTACCAAAAAGGCACATGCACTTATACATTCATCACAGCACTATTCACAATGGCAAAGACATGGAATCAACTAAGTGCCCATCAAGGGTGGATTAGATAAAGAAAATATGGTGCATATACAACATAGAACGCTATGTAGCCACAAAAAATAATGAAATCATGTCCTTTGCAGCAGCATGGATGCGGCTGGAGGCCATTATCCTAAGTGAATTAATGCAGGAATGAAAAACCAAATACCACATGTTTTCATTTATAAGGGAGCTAAACATTGGGTACTCATGGACATAAAGAGGGCAACAATAGACACTGGGGAATACTAGACGGGGGAGGGAAAATGGGGCCAAGGATTCAAAAACTAACTATTGGGTACTATGCTCACCTCCTTGGTGACAGGTTCAATTGTACCCCAAACTTTAGTATCATACCATATACCCATATAACAAACCTGCACATATACCCCCAGAATCTAAAATAAAAGTTGAAATTATATTTTTTAAAAAAGAATATCATACTAGAGAAATAAAATATGCCTGGGTCCCTGGTAGCTGTGGAGTCACCATACCAGCTCTTATCTGCAGGTCTCCGGACTTGCTGTATGTGACAAAAATAAATAAATCGCTACCTTGTTTAAGGCACTGTTCCTTGGGGTTTCTGTTATATTGAGTCAAATCTAATATTTATTGATAACCTTTGTTCTCTTCACAGGTGTATCTCCAGGGTCTTACAACAGCAACTGGCTCATCACGGGTATTCAGGTAATAGTTGCTGAGTAAAAGTATGGGGCCCAAGCTCCCCTGCTAACTGATGAGGGCACTGGACCCAGGGAAAGGAAAAAAAAATTGCCCCTTGCCATATAGCTCATAAGGGGCAGAGGCAGAATCATGTTCATTGCCTGCATTACCCCGCATCCCTGGGGGTGTGGCAGAAGGAAGCCACCTGCTCATCACCTCCACCCCAGTTCAGCTGGCTTTACCCTCTATCCACACATGCCACACCAACCTGCTTGAGGAGCATGGTCTTCTGTGGATACAGCAGCAGCCCAGTCTGCCCTGCCTAGCTGCTGGCCAGGATCCACCTAACTCTACCATACTAGGAAGGGAGCTCATCCCTGGTCTTTGTTCCTTACCTTCTTCTGGATGACACCTCTCCAGCAGGATTTGCCACAGGCACAGGGTGTCCCCACCACTTGAAAACATGGGTGGAGCCCAGCCAGGGGCTCAGAAATGTCATCCTGCCCACTTGCACCTGGCGCACGACGAGGACCATCACCCTATCTTCACATCTACTCCAGACATGGATAGTCTCTAACCAAGCTGCCCCAAGAGACTCATGCTGTTGCCCCTTGCAGGTTAGCAACAGGCGTTGGGGCAGAGGGTGTGCCTATGATGTCCTTAGGCAAACTGTTCCCTGGCTGCCCACCCCTCCATACCCACAAATGGGAGAGAGAGAATCTAGGCCCTTGCACATCATCCATTATTATGCATATTCTTCTTCCCCTCCCACAATTCCTAGGTCTAGATTGTTAAAGAGCCAGTTAAGACTCTTGTCAAACCTGAGTTAGGTTGGAACTGTTAATGCCCAGACCAGGAGCAACTCCATTTAATTGACAATATCTTAGTTTATTTTTTCCCTTGACTGGCAGAACACAAGATAGTAGCAGTAATAATAATAATAGCTAATATTTACAAGTGCTTATGAAATTCCAGACATGGAGCTAAGTGTTTTACATAGAGTTCTCATTTAATTTTCACAATAACCGGATAAAGCGAGTATTATTCCCATTGAAGCTCAAATAGCTTGGCAAAGCCATAGTCACTATGGGAAGAGTGGGAATCCACTCTTTAGACTAAGCTCTTATTTTCATTTAATACCATCTCTCTGTGACAGGATTCTGTGAGGTACCATATCCTTATTACCTGTAGCAAAAAGAACACAACTCTTGCTTGTCTTCATTCATTCACTCATTCATTCATTATTTACTAAATACCTATCATGTGGCAGGTCTCATGTGAAATACTGGGGCTTCCAAAATACACACTCCATGGCCCCTGTGAGGGGTTGGATTTTGTTCAGCTCATCCTCACTCCCCTCCCCTCTATCTTGGGTATAAGGTACTTCATTGACTCCCTGACTTGGGGCATGGCCATGAGACCTGCTTGGTCAACAGGATGTGAGTGGATGTGATGTGACCAGAGGCTTCAGAAGTGCCTGCATGGGTGGGCTCCTCTTTAGCTCCTGCCATTCACTATGAGAAAACCATGCTCCAGGTAGCCACTGGTCTGAGGAGGATGGGAGACATGTGGAGCAGACCTGGATTCGACCTACAGTTTGAAGCCAAGCCTAGCTGTCCCGCAAAACTGAGACCAAAAAAAAAAAAAAAGATTGTTTTAAGCACTGAACTTCAGGGGGGTGATTTGTTATGTAGCATTATTGCAGCAATAGCTGACTGGTGCAGTTTCTGCTTTCAAAGGGACTTGGATGAGTGGGGAGCATGGACAGGCAGTTATAGAGTGACAAAAAGCTGGAATGGAAGGGCATGCAATGTGCTCTGGCCACACAAGGAGAGCACTTGCCCTGGCCTGGGACAGACTGAGAAATGAGAAGAGGGGGCTAGAAGACTTAAGAAGAAGCAGCCCCCATTTGCAGTGACATAAGAAGTGCACACCTTTCCTCCTAACTGGAACCCATGTGATAAGTGCAGGTGTCGTGTGTGCACCACAGACTCTCATTCTCACAGGTGAAACCAGGCGCTCATCTGAGACTGCCAAGGAGAGATTCACACCTCCTGGATACAAGAAGAGGAGTTTGATATACAAAGTACAAATTTTTTTGGAAGCCTTGTCTTTCCCTTTCCCCACTCCCTCTGCTCCTCCTGAAAATTTCCACTGGCTCCCTCCTTCTTGCTACCTTCTGGCTGGGCTACTCAGGAACCCATCTAGCCAGCATGTTGTGGGCCATCTCTCATCCCCAACACTTTGGCAAGGGGCTCTCTGGGTACCAGAAAGAGCCTCTGATGCAGTGGGGCAGGAGGCCTATCCCACCAAAGAGAAATGAAGTAAATTCTGTTGTACTTGCATTTTTCTCCCTCCACAGTGGGATGCCCTGAGAAGCCTGTGCCACTGACTTTTCACCTCAGAATGCCAAAGGCCTCCAGAGTCTACAATGACTTCTGGCCTGGCAGAGCTTTTGTCATGAGTAAGTTGCTGTCATCAGTCTAGACTGTGGGATCATGAACCCTTAGAGACAAGGATTTATACCCTGAGCCCCAGTGCAGGGCTCATGGCATGGCATAAATGACAGATGGACTAATTTTCTCTGAACAGGAAAGGGAGGCAGAGAGAGAGAGAGAGATTCTGGGGCCTTCCCAGCAACACCTCACACATATTTCTTGGTTTGGAACTGGAACCCACTCTGTTGTTGTCTTATTGTACTTCCTCATAAAATAAATACTTGGAGTTTACTTTTCATGGTTTTCTTGATACAGAGGACAGTCAACAGGAGACCATCTGTTGGGACAAATCCAAACCATTCTATACAAGCAGGTCTTCCAGCCCCTCCTATAAACACCATCAGGCAAATTGTTTCCAAATGCACATTCATTGTCTTAATTTGGGTTCCCCCAAAGCAGACTCAAGATAAGCATTTGGGCGCAAGCTGTTCATTTGAGAGATGATTCCAGGAAGTGAGTAAAGAAGTGGGGAAATGAGATGGGGAAGGAAGAGAAGCCAATCAAAGGAGTGGTAAAGAGTAGGTAATAACTGTAGGCAATGAGGGCCCCATTCTGTTGGGGACTCCAGAGAGACTCTGAGACGTACCTCAAAATGGTCCCTCCAATGGGGTGAGGAAGCTGGGGTATTTATCACCAAACCCCATCCCTCGCTAGTTGAGAATCACGTGTGGGTATTAGCTCTCTGGAACATCTGTGGGCCAGCACACTCCTGCAACCAGAGAACTTTGAAGTCCAGTAGGACAAGGAGATATGGACAAGGCACCAGCAGCATCTACTCTTCATCTTTTCCTCACTAAGGAACCTGCTATTGCTTGTTGTGTAGCCCTTGCAGAGGGCTTGCACTCTGCTCCCTGGTTTTCAGACCTCTGCATAAGCCAGCCCCATGCTTGCCATTCAATCCTGTCTCTCCCTTAGCCCTTCTCCTGAGCCAGAGAGGTCTGTTCATGGCTCCGAGCAGCCCTTCCTGCCTCCACACCTTTGCACACAATGTTTCTGCTGCCTGGAATGCCCCCTCTTCTTCTTCCTACTCCTTGAAATTCTGCTAGTGTATCTGGGTCTAGTAAAACTCTCACCCCATTACTTTCTGAACTCTTATTTTACTTGTCATCAGTGTCTCTGGATTCAGAACTTAAATTTTCTCAGTCATAGTTGGAGGAAAAAGTAAACCCATGTGGATTGATTCATAGAAGACTGATTGCTGTAAATACTGGCTAAAATGTTACAAAATCTGATTTTGGGAATCCTAATAATGAATCATACAAAGTACTGAGCATTTTACATACTCTAACTCATTTAACCCTTACAACAACACTAATGTTTGCTTTCAAAATCAGGAGAAACTGACACGTAGAGAAGTTAAGTATCTTGCTCATAGCTGTACACCTCACAGGGAAGGGGCCAGGATTTCTGACTTCAAAGCCTGAATTCTGAACAGGTTTGGTAGCATTTACTCCCCATGCTGCCATCTTCTGCTCCTCTCCCTCTAGGATGCTGGATCCAACACACAAATGGGAAGGAACATCACTTTAATAAGGGCCAGAATCTGCTACTGGCTTCATCAGCACAGGGCTCCCTGGTAAAATTGAGTTCAGCCACAGGGCTTAAAGAAACCTCCTGCCTCCTCCTCATCAAATCTGTAACGGCTGGCTCCAAGGAGCAGATCCAACCCCACCTACTGACATTGATGCCCACAGAGAAAAGGAAAAATAGAAAGAAAATGATGGCCATGCTAGCTTACCACAGAGACAGATGTCTGGCCTGCTTGGAGGGGCCAAGCCCCTTTACTCCCCCCAAGAACAGAGAGCCCACCTGGAAGTAAAATGTGTCCCCCGGGGAGTGTGACAATGGGAATGTTGGGCAAAGGCAACTGTGGCTTGAAGAATGACCATCTATCCCTCAAGGAGTCTCACATTGGGTAGCAGCCAAGAGACTCCTTCCAGCAGCAGTCAGGACAGTGGATGTGCACAGAGGGAGCAGATCATGAGAAGGAGAATGTGGTGACAGCAGCACCATGGCCAGGAAAATGGTCTTTTGAGTCCAGGAGAGGCCTCTTTTGTGGGAAGAGGAGCAGGGATAGGGCCCAGTAATCAAGCCAGTGAGTGTTTGGAAGTGTGTATGAGCTCACTGGCTACTTCACAAACCAGGTGCTATTGGTTATACAAACATAGGAAAGGAAGCGGCCTATTCTCTGGAACCTCCTTGGTATACTCTTTCTGGCCATGCAAAGTTCATTCCTGACCTGCCTTGAAGTTTGACATCCACAGTTTCCCCTAGGGTATAAGAATTCTATCCTCACAGTTACCAAGCAAAGAGAACCAACAGCTTTCTGTCCTTGGGAATGGTATTTTGAGCAGACTCAGAGGAGAAACTATCAAGGCATGCGGTCATGAAACTAAGTCAGTAGCATCTGTTGCTGAGGAGACCAGGTGAGGAGTGAGGGCAACCTGGGAAATGGAGGAGTTGGGTTTCCATGCCACCTAGAGGCAGTAGCAGGTGCAGCTGAGAACCTGAAATTTCAGGTTTGAGCTGCCTCATCTTTCAAGCAATTTAAAAATGATTTAACTATCATCCATAGATGACCTCTTCTTACCACATCAATTCTGCTACTGTCCAATATTTTAATTCTATCCTTTTTTGTTTTTTAACTCAATAAATTAGATATTATTATTATTGCATACACCAATGATTACTTATATTTACCTACACATTTATCAATTTATTTAATCATCATTCTGTCTTGTACCTCAGACCTACCTTCTGGAATCAATTCTCATCTTCCTTAAGAATATCTCTCCAAACTTCTTTCAATGAGAGATAGAATATATTCTCTTATATATAAATGGCTACTTATCTCTCATTATTGAAAGGCAGTTTTTTTCTGAGCATAAAGTTCTAGGTTGACAGTTATTTTCCTTCTGAATACACAGAGCTTTCCACTTTCTTCTAGCTTCCATTGTTGCTGCTGAGAAGTTAGTTGTCAGTCTAATTGTTGTTCCTTAATTTTGTAGAACATCAAAAAAAGAAAAAGAAAGAAAAATATCTTAAAAGAGAGAAAGCAGATTATCTACACTTTGATGTGTCTAGATGATGAATTCTTCTGATTTATGCTTGGGATTCATTGGATTTCCTGAATTTGAGGGTTAGTCTCAACTATTCTCTCAAGGAACTTTACCTCTCTCCAGTTCACTCTATTATCTCCTTCTGGAACCCCTATTAGATATTCATTACAACTTTTTCTTGGCCCTCATGTGATGTATATAATTTTTTACTTCTTTATCCAGAATTTACAGATATGATTTCTTCAAATATGTTTTCAAATTAACTTACTCTAGCTTCAACTGTGTTTAATATTTCATTTAACACATCCATGGATTTTTTTAAAATTTTAAGTTTAGTAATTTTATTTTTTATTTTCGGAATAAGTGAGACTTAAGTTGGTGTGGTAGGCAAAATAATAGTCACCCAAAGATGTCCACGTGCTGATCCCTGAAACCTATGGATATGTTATGTTATATGGCAAAGAGGAATTGGAGTTGCAAATGGAATTAAGATTGCCAATTAATTTACCTTAAAATAAGGAAATTATCTTTGGTTATCTGGCTAGTCCCAATGTAATCACAAGTTTCCTTTAAATGTGGAAGAGGGAGGCAGAAGAGCCAATGTCATAGTGATGTGGCATGAGAAAGATTTGACTGACCATTGCTGGCTTTGAAAATAGAGAGTCACCATGAGTCAAACAATGTGAGCAGCATCTAGAAACTGGAAAAGGCAAGAAAACAGATTCTCTCCTAGAGCCTCTGGAAGGAGCATGGCCTTTCTGATATCTTGATTTTGGCCCAGTGAAACTGATTTTGAACTTTTTGGGTTTTAGAGCTATGAGAGAATAAATTTCTGTTGTTTTGAGCCATCAGTTTTGTGGTAAGTTGTTACAGCAGCAGTAGGAAATTAATACAACCAGGGAATTAATGATGAAAGACTATGAGTACGATTGAGGAAGAGAATGAAGACAGAAACACCAACTGGGAGGCTACAGTACATACATCTTTTTCTGTGTTTCTGGCATTTGCAGGATGGCTGACAAAGTCTGGAAGACACTGAATTCCAGCCTCAGGAGTATTTTTCATCTGTATGCTCCCTGTTGTGGCTAATAAAAAAACGTGTGTTTTCATGGTTCCATTTTGCATCATTGTGACTTCATTTAACCATCATTCCTAGGAAGTTTTTGGCAGAATTTTAAAGCATAATGGGTGAGCTGGTTGATGGGTATATTGCTGATATGGTCTATCAGTCTGATATTTAATTAGATTGAATTAATACCAATTGGTGATTTAAGTAGTTAAAACCAACCCTCCAGGCTTGTCTTACAGGCATATGAAAGCAGTGCACATGTGTTCCTAAAACCGCAACTCCTGGACGAGACAGGAGGATTGCTTGAGCCCAGGAGTTCAAGACCAACCTGGGCAACATAGTGAGACCCTCATATCTGATATCAAAACCCTGCTTTGGAGGATAATCCCAAAAGGGTTCTTTCAGCTATTTAGTGAACATGTATTCATTGAGCAGGTGTTATGAACCAGGCACTGTGTTTAAGTCTTCAGGACACCTCAGGGGTCAACAGACTCCCTACCTTCATGACACTTTATGGCCTTATGGAGTAATCAGACTATGCATGACACAAATAATTGAGTAATTACTATTGTGATAAATGCCATGAAAGAGAATGCAGAGTGATAGGAGAGTGTATACCAAAGAGGCCTTCACTAGTCTGGGGGGCAGGGAGGCTTTAACTAGAAAGGTTATTTGGCTGGGACCCAATAAGTGAGTGGGAATTGATTAAGAAAAAATGTGGGAGGTGGACAATAATCCAAGGAGAAGTCCATGGGCCTCAGTGTTGGATGTTAGTCACGGGGGGGCAGCGACACCTCTGTGGCAATCTACTGAGGACACCTAACACCCAGCAGTCACAGTGAGGGTAGAAGTTTGTCCCCCAAAACCCAGCAAGGCAGCATCTTACACAGAGGACAGTGGCAGGGACAAGTGCCCTGGACAAGAGAAGTGAAGATGATCAAGGTGGAGACCAATATTAGATACTTCAGACTCAATACCAGCCCAACTTCCTCCACAATGGCACAATCACTTTCTCCACCTTTTCACTGCTTTCCTCAGGAAAAGGTTCCTACTTGAAAGTGAGGCCAAACATGGTGACTCATGCCTGTAATCCCAGCACTTTGGGAAGCTGAGACCAGAGGATTGCTTGAGCCCAGGAGTTCAAGACCAGCCTGGGCAACATAGTGAGACCCTTATTTCTACAAAAAAATTAACCAAATTAGCCAGGTGTAGGGGTACACACCTGTAATCTCAGCTACTCGGGAGGCTGAGGTGGGAGGATTGCTTGGGCCTGGGAGGTCAAGGCTTCAGTAAGTCATGATCACAACAGAGCAATACCCTGTCAAAAAGAAAGAAAAAAAAGAAGAGAAAAGAGAAAGAAAAAGAAAGAAAGAAAGAAAGAAAAAAGAAGGAAGGAAGGAAGAAAGAAAGAAAGAAAGAAAGAGAAAGAAAAAGAAAGGAAAGAAAGAAAGAAAAAGAAAGAAAGAAAAGAAAAGAAAAGAAAATTACACAGGTAATTTGAGCCTATTGCCATTTGAGATGCTGAGGAGACATCTGCAACACGCTGAGACCAATAACCTCAATCTGCTCCTGCTGGGGAGATGGAATGAATGAAGTCTATGATGTTTCCAGTTTATAATTGGTCACAAAACCAAAGTCCAAGTACAACTTGGCTCCACCCCACCCCCCATTATTGTTGTCCTTTTGTTCTCTGTCCACCAGCTGTGGGGAGAGTCTCTGTTGGAGATTTGCTAGGGTTGTTCACAACCATCCATTCACTGCTTCCAGTCCCACTCCTCAAGGGTGTGCACACACATGCATGCACACACACAGCCCTCAGACTGCAAAGGAAGGTGTGTAGAGCAGGTAGGGGAGATAGCAGTGAAAACAAAGACTTCATTTTCCTTATAAATCATACAAACAGGTGGGCAATGTTGAAGTTTTTGGCAACATATGGGTCTGAGTGTGCAGCTCTCTGCTTCTCCAACATTTCCTAACATCTCAAGCCTCATTTCTCTACAAAAGCCTCCGTTGGCCTCTATCCTGCCTCAACAAGGTGCCTTGAAATGCTGCCTTAGCCCCCGTGTTGAGTTGCAAATAATCAGTTTCTCTCATTCTCTCTGTCTCTCTCTCTCTCTCACACACACACACAATTACTCTGCACTCAGATAATCATGATGATTGATAGCAATAATAAAAACAACTAAAATTTATGGAACACTTACTACATGCCAGTCTTTGTGCTTTATGCACAGATTATCTCATTTAATTTACAACAATCCTATGAGGTGGCATTATTAATGTTATTTTCACCTTACTGAAAAGGAAACAGACATAAGAGGAAGTAATTTACACATTGCACAGGAAGCAAGTGGTGGAGCCAAGATTCTAACCCAGGTAGTCCAACCCAGACTCCCACCCCTAATCACCATGCCCACCAGCCCCAAGGATGTTGAGTGTGGATTTCACCTCCATAGAGGCAGTGACAACCAAATACATATCCCTGATCCTTGTAGAGAATCTCAGGTGTGCTGGAGACCTAAGGAATATATTCCCACACAGGGCAAAAACTAAGTATTGACACAGGCCTCAATCTACATGCAGGAAGGGGCTGACAGGGCTGCAGAAAAGGTCCCAGCTGTAGCTTCTTATCCACCCTGCTTTCCATGAGGTGCAGAAGAGGCAAGGATAGGCACAAAGCCGATGAGATGTAGGTGGAGAATCATCTCTTCTAATAGTTTTCTGTGCACTGTGTGACAAGAGCAACCACTGCCCATGACAACAGGCCTCCTTAGTCTTCCCCACTTATTAAAGCATAAAACAAAAGACTCAGACAGTCATCTCTGTATCATGGGATCTCAGTATACCCCAGACATATGGATTCACTGGTTTCCAAACTGGGTAGCTGAAGAGCTCGTGATCACTTCTCGCCTAAGAATTCCCAAACTAAGCCATTTCCTACTCACTGAGGCAAAGACTTTTCCCTTCATCCCATGGTAGTGGATGTTCACAAGAGTCCCAGTCTTTGCTTTCTACCCTTAGAGGGGCTGAAACCTAGGCCGGGAGTTGGTTCACAAATGCTATGTTGAGAGTAGGTACCAGAGTAAGGTGCAGCTGGCCAGAAAATATGCTTCCCAGAGACAGGTCAGAGCATGACTAGGGCCAAGTCTGCTCTGGACTATAGAAAAGCCATTTATGCCTCCCAATGCAAATACCTAGGTGAAAATAATTCAAATGTTTTGAAAGGTCAAAGCCTGATTTAATTAAGAAACAAAACAAAACAAAAAACAAAAAACAAAACACCTTCAAGAAAGCTATGTCTTTGATCTTGGATGATACTCAAGGGGAGGCTGCAAACGAAAATGGGTTACTGCGTTTCCATGTGCCGTTAGTGTGCTAATGTGCATTCTATTTTCATTTGTGTATGAGAAAGACAGATACAGAGAAAGGAATACATGACTCCTAAATGTAGTGATTTAGCAATGACTTGAATTGCTTAGGAATGTTGCCTTTGTATGCTCAGGGACTTCATAAAGACACCACAGAAGAGGAAGAAAACATTGCAGGCTGGTTTAAGGCATGGCAATCTAGAAAGCACAGGACTTGATTTACTTCCTTACAGATAGAGAATTCAGAGATATACAAGCTGGCCAAGATTTTTAAAACAATAATAATTAAAACATGGAGGCATCAGCATGTCTGCTTCTCCTCTTAAACCAAATACAAACAACAGGGAAAATGAAGACAGAAAAGAAAACGACATTTTTGATGAAAGAAAACAAAAACCAGCCAAAACCTCAAACCACACTCTTAAAGAAGAGCTGCTATCTGGAAAAAAAAAAAAAGAAAAAAAGAAACCTAAGAGAAAAGTTTGTATTCAGGTGGCTTAATTTGGGAAGTTACCCAAGGGACAGGCATAGGAAACAGGGGAGGAAGAAATGGATAGGAAGGGGAACTTGTACAAAGACATATTCCTGAATTGGTCATTGTTGTGGGTAACTGGGGCCTGCTCAGACTTTCTCAGGAGCCATATAGAATGTGCTTTGGAATTGGTGTGCCTGAGGAATGGAAGAGGATAGCATTTATCCATCAGCTTCTATTTCCGTTAGTCTGATATTGCTCCATGAGGTGTTAACTCACACACACTACTTCTGCAAAAAGCAGGCTGTTAGTGGGATAGGGTAGGGGATGAAAAGTAAAAAGCAGCCCTGAATTTGATGATACCAATCAAGCAAAGATAAGAACTGTTGATCATTGCAAGAAATGTATGGACCTTCAACCTGAGACAGGAGGACTTCTGGCTAACTTGAAGCAAATCCATTCCCTCTGGGCAGTGTTGGTGAGGAAGTATTTAGAGACCATCCATCCAAATTCAAGATGGCTTCTGACCCAGCTTATTTCTCTGATCCCTTCTCCACACACTGCGCAACGCCTACAACAATGGGCCGATGGGTAAATGAAAGCCTAAGACAAAATTTTGCATTCAGGTGGCTTCATTTGGGAAGTCAGTCCAGGAGACAGGCATAAGGAACACGGAAGGAGGTAATAGGTAGGAAGGGAAACTAGTACAAAGATGTATTCCTGAACTGGTCATTGCTGTGGGCAATGGGGGCTTGTTGAGACTTTATTAAGTAGCTAGCCTTCATTAAAAAAAGAGTAATAATATAAAAAGAAATAGCACAGGACCCATTTAAAGGTGCCACAAGAATAAAATAATGAAACAAAAATGACAAACAAAAAAGCAGATAAATAATTCATGCCTGAAAACATGCAATAAAGCATTAGAAAATGATTAATCAATACTTCTCTATGTAAAGCAAAATAAACATATATAAAGCTATAATTTTTAAAAAGCTCAAAGAAGAAAAATAAGCATACAAAGAAGGAGTGATTTGGCAACATTAAAAGATGAAAAGTCATCTAGCATATCTCAGAAAAAACAAAAGTGTTACAAAATAAAATTAGAAACAAAAAAGATGGACTATTGTGAAACACAGGGATAAGTGAGTGTAGCAAAGGTTTTTAATCTCCACATTCAAATGTTCCTCCAATGCAGTAAAGTTTTCTCCTATTATAACTTTGAATATTTTGTTATATTTTTCTAGTCTCTTTTTAAAAGCACATTACTGGCTGGGGGCAGTGGCTCACGCCTCTAATCCCAACACTTTGGGAGGCTGAGGTGGGCGGATCACGAGGTTGGGAGTTCGAGACCAGCCTGATCAACATGGTGAAACCCTGTCTCTTCTAAAAACACAAAAATTAGCCTGGCATGGTGGAGTGCGCCTGTAATTCCAGCTACTTGGGAGGCTGAGGCAGGAGAATCACTTGAACCCAGGAGGCGGAGTTTGCAGTAAGCCGAGATGGTGCCACTGCACTCCAGCGTAGGTGACAGAGCAAGACTCCATCTCAAAATAAATAAATAAATAAATAAAAATAAAAAATAAAAGCATATTAATTATGCATGTGTTGGTGCTTCTTTGTCTTCTATATCTTTCATTTATTTTGAGTCTTTTCACAACTGTATTCTATTTCATTTTGCTGATTTAATTTCACTTTTTTGATTGTATCTGAAGGGAAAATGGTAAAGTGTGATCAGCCCTAATACATATTCTAACAAATTTACTAGACTTAAAAGGTAAAGAAAGGTCTTATTAGTTTATAGAACACACACCCATACACATGCATAAAATATTATAGGAGATATTTATGTGTGTATGTACACATATATATTCATGGAGTCAGCAGGTAGAAGGAGAATCAGCTTTGCCTTACACTTGTCCACACAATATTCAATATTAGAAGAGAGTGGACAAATGTTCACGAAGTCATCGAGGAAAGAAAATATAATCATGAATTTATTCCAGCAAAGATGTCACTCAAGAGTAAATGTCACACAAAATCATGATCAAACATACAAGAATTAGGGAATAATGCCTTGTTTAATAAATCAGCCTTTTAAGAGACAAATGAAAAAGCCAGGGTAAAAGGACGGCTTGTAAGCATTGAACCCATTTACATATAGAACTAAGGCTAAACTAGGGAAATGATCATTACAGAACAGAATATAAATATTAGAAACCATGATACTATGAAATAATATTACTGATGAAAATTGAGTGGTGGAGGTTAATTAAGATTCAGTGGTGCACAATAGTGTAAGCACCTCAGTTTCTTCAAATTTCACAGAGCACAGTCCATCAACACATTATATGTAACAAGCTAACTAATAAAGGTGTCTGTGTGATATTTAAATTATGCAAAATAAACAAGTAAGACAACCAAAAATAGTAACATAATTAATGCAACCCTAGTGGTGGATGGACTCCACCATAAGGAAGGTACAGAAAAGTATAAGTGTGACAATTACTCATATGTCATATTGGGAAATAAGTAAACCCTACCTAGAAGGGATCTCTTAAAAATAAACTTATCATATAAAACTACAAGGTAGTTTTCATAGCGTCATTAGAAAAAAAATTTTAAAAATAGATTAAATCCAAACTTCCCAAATTATTAGAAGGACAACACTCATGCACATGAGCAAAATGAAGAGACTATAGACCATTTAGTGAATGATAAAAACAGAGAGCATGACACACAGTGATATGTCCAAACTCTTCTATCATATAAAGAAAATGTAATAAGATATATTTACTTATCAAAAGATAAAAGATCTCCAATGAGTTTTTTTTAAAAAACAAGTTATATATGTGCTGTATATAAGAGAGAAAACAATAGAGAAAAATCAATAAAACTAATAGGTGGTTCTTTGAAAAAATATCTAGCAAGATTGGCAAAATAAAAAGAAGACACGGATTACTAACACCGGGGAAAATAACAAGAGCTATCACTATAGATCCTAAAGAAATGAAAAATAAGTGATATGGTTTGGCTCTGTGTGCCCACCCAAATCTCATCTCAAATTGTAATTCACATGCTTTGAGGGAGGAACCTGGTGGGAGGTGATTGGATCATAGGGATGGTTTCCCCCCATGCTGTTCTCATGATAGTGAGTGAGTTCTCATGAAATCTGATGGTTTAAAAGTGTGTGGCATTTCCTCACTCCCTCCTTTCACCATGTAAGACATGTTTTGCTTCCCCTTCACCTTCCACCACGATTGTAAGTTTCCTGAGGCCTCCCCAGCCATTTGAAACTATGAGTCAATTAAACTGCTTTTCTTTATAAATTATCCAGTCTCAAGCAGTCTTTTATAGCAGTGTGAAAACAGACGAATGCAATAAGGGAATATTACAAATATTACATTGTAATATTTGTATTTGTAATACAAATATTATAAATAGACTTATGCTAATACATTTGACAACTTGGAAGAAATGGACTTTCTTGAAAACCACAATAACCTGTATGAAACCATTAGAATTTTGAATTCATAATTTTTTTTGAGACAGGGTCTCACTCTGTCACCCAGATTGGAGTGCAATGGCATTCTCACAGCTCACTGCAGCCTTGACCTCCAAGGCTCAAACAAGTCTCCCACCTCAGCCTCCCTAGTGGCTGGGACTACAGGTATGTGCTACCATGCTCGGCTAATTTTTTTGTATTTTTTTGTAGAGACGGGGCTTCATCAGGTTGCCCAGGCTGGTCTCAAACTCCTGGGCTGAAGTGATCCTCCTGCCTTGGCATCCCAAAGTGGTGGGATAACAGACATAAGCCATTGTACCTGGCCTTGAATTCATAATTTAAATGCTCTCCCAAAATAATCATCATGCCCATTGTCTCCAGTGGTTTCAGTGGAGAATTTTACCAAACATTTAAAGAAGAATTAACACCAACTCAACAGAATCTCTTCTGGAAAATAAAAGAAGAGGATCTTGGGCATGAGAGAAAAAGAGGAGTCAGGGATGGTTCCAAGGTCTTTGGCCTGAAAAAATGTGGCAAGATGGAGCTGCTATCAAACAAGATGAGTAAGACCGGGGAGGCAGTAAATGAAGGGTGAGCCTCATGATACTGCAATATCTAGAGGATTGGCTTTACTAATATTTTGCTTAGGATTTTTACATTGGAGTTTATAAGTGAATTTGGTATATAATTTTATTTCCTTGTATTATCTTTGACTATTTTTCATACCAGGATTATACTGCTAGTAAAATATATGTTATAATCTTTGAATCAATGTTGTTTATAATCTCGAAACCTCCCCACTTCCAAAGGTATCATATGCATTTTCTAAACCTTCAAGGAATCTTAGGCTATCCATTTCAATTTTTTCATTGGTTGATTAAATATTTTAATTCCTGTTTGAGTCTATTAATACTTTTTAATTGCTGATAATTTACAAAATTATTAGAATAAATACATTTATTCATTCTCAAAATATTTTTAAAATTCTACATCTAAAGTTTTATCCCTTTTAAGCCTAATATTATTTGGTTTTGCTTCTCTCTTTCTCAATTACCCTCTTATAGTGCTTAGGTTTTTCTATCTTTGATGATCCTCCATTCCATTATGATGTGTGTGTGCAGTTGTCAATATATTATTATCTACATGGCTTGGTATGTGATGAGCTTTTCCAATCTGAAGACTCATATCCACCTTAATTTATTACGAAATATTTCAAGTAGACAAAAAAGCATAGAGAATAATCTAATGACTATACATGCACCCATCACTACATATAAGTGGTAAAATGTTGCAAATACAATTGAAGGTCTGTGTTTACCTCTTCTCAATCACTTTTCCTCCCATATTTTTAGCAATAATCACTATCCTAAATTTTGTTAATCAATTCCATGTATGTCCTTATATTTTTCTACAGGTAGATATATCCATAAGCAATATATAGCAATGTTTTCCATATTTTTAAATGTCAAATAAATTACATATGTATGCAAACTTCTGTAACTTTGGTGCTAAACAGTCTGGTTTTTTAGAACATTTCATTTTTTGTGAGTAGCTCTGGTTCACGCAGAGCCTCCTAAATGGCATGCTGCGTTTCACTAGGGATGGGCTGCAGTTACTGACCCCTTGGCCCTCTGGGCAGCCAGTTGGGTCCAGAGGTTGCGAGAGCCCCTGGACAGCTGCCCCCAGAGCCACTGGAGGAGACTCTGTTCCAGGAGCTAAAGAAGCTCAGTGGGCCTGATTCAAAGCAGCGACAGGGAGGCTTTGGGGGAGGGTGGGGAGCCCTGGCAGATGCAGCTCCAGGTGGAGAGCTCATCTGTGTCTCCCTGCCTTCTCAGGAGTTGGATGCAGACCTCTATGCTTCATCCTGTGTCCTTTAAGTGGTAAGTAAGCAGGTGCAGGTGTCTGCCCTAACAGTGCATGTGCAATCTGCACACTAGAGCTTCTGCCCTATTCTAAAATGCTTCATATAAAAATGTTTCCTATTTTTTAAACAGACAACCTTTACAAATCTCTCTACTCCAGAACAACAGAAGGACCTTAGAATGTTTTTAATCTAACAACCTGTCCCTTCTTAAAAGTTATTTTTATCCAGCATTTTCCTCCTTGTCTCTCTTTTGTACTAAAAATTATTACCTCTATTGCTGTTGTACTATAAAGTCAATATTTGTTTAGCTTTACCCACATGTTTCTGCTGAGCTGCTGCTAACCCATATAGCATTTTTGTGCAAATTGGGAAAAGGTGTTTCTCTTTCAAAACACTTTATTTCCATCTGTGGAAAGTAACATTCATTCAGTACTATACATATACCACACAGTAACAGAATACATAATAAACATAGAAGCTACACTGTGTACGGAGCAACTGGCACCCCCAGATGTGGCACCCCTGTACAACCACACCTGGAAGTCCTGGGTTTTCCAGCTCATTAAGCACCATTCTGCATTGTAGCTTAGTTCTCCATTCTATTCAATTTCCCTACAAAAATGACATCCTTTAGATGTTTCTTAAGTTCAGTTCTCTAGAAAATAAATTCCTCTGTTTTTGTTAGTTTATAAATGTTTTTATTCCACCCTTGTGTTTTGTCATAGGTTAAGGTAGTTTAAAACACCATGTTAATAATTTTTTTCTCAATACTTTGAAGATAGTATTTCATTATCTTTTGTTCTTATTGCTATTAGTGCAGAATCTATGATCAATCTAATAGTAATTCTTTGTAGGTAATCCATTCTTTCCCTTTGCTTGATTTTAAATTTTTTGTTTTATCTTTGGAATTGACTACTTTTTCAGAGTTTCCTATGTAATTTAATTGCACTTCCTAAATCTTAGGGTCTATTTCTTTCATCAACTTTGGAAAATTCCCTGTTTTATCTCTTTGAGTGTTTTCTCTGCTCTGGTAGCTTTCCTTTCTCTGGAATTAAAAGTAGGTATATATTAGACTTTCTCATAAGGTGTATATTAGACTTTTTTGTGTCTCTTAACTGTATATTAGACTGTTTTGTGTCTCTTAACTTATTTCATATTTTCTATCTGTCTCTCAGTACTGTGTTCTTGCCTCATCTGTCTTTCAATTTATCAGTTCTCTCTTTAGCTGTGTTTAATCTCTGATTTACCTTATCTACTGAGAAATTAATTTCAATGGTCATATCTTGAATTTCTAGAAATTCTCTTTGTTTCATTTCTCAAATATGAGAGGAATTTTTCACAGCATAGTATTCCTCTCTCATGTTTTCTATTCCATCTTTAATTTTAAAAATATTTTAAAAATACTTTATGTTCTATATCTAATTATTCCATCATCTAAAAGTAATTGGGAGATTCAGTTCTGCTATTTGTTTTTTCAACTAACTCAATCTTGATATCTTGATTCCTTATGAATTTTGTAATTTTGAATTTTGAGCTCATTGTTAGTGGGTATTTGGGAAAACTTTTTGACGACTGGCTTACTCACATGCTCTTCTAGAATGTATTTACATCCCTACCAGTCACCCTAGAGATGTTACCAAAATGAGATTGATGTTATAATTTTTTTAATGGAAAATTTCAATTATACTAAAAAGTAAAGAGAATAGTAAAAATAACTCTCTCTTATGCCCCTTGACTGCTTAAACAAGAAAATATTGTGGGAGGGACACTGCCCTAATTTCCAGGCTCAAGTCTTAAGAGACTGGTGACATCCAATACCTCAAATACTCTTTGGAATACAGACAGCATGCAGTTAGGAGCCCAGTGATCAGTGGAGGGGGCCAGCTAGGGAGGCAGGAAGCTCCCAGCTGACAGTTTCCCTGAGCTCTCAGTCAGTCACCAGCACCAACCCACCAGCCAGGCGAGAGAGTCATCTGGAAGTGGGTCCCTCAGCTACAGTCAAGCTCCCTGAGTTGCTACCACAAGGAGCGGAGAGAAGACATTGACACCCGAGGCATGCCTAAATTGAAGCAAATAATTTTTGTTGTTTTAAGGCACTATACCTCAGACTGTCTTATTATCCAGCAATAGATAACTAGAAGAATATTATTATTAAAACTTGTCCTATGGAGCAGTAAAGTCATATTTGTAGTATTTTTTTTTACCAGATTTCTGCTTCTTGTGTATTAATTCTTCTTCCAAGAAGGTAAATAAACCGGGAGTTCTTAGCTGTATTTTTTTGTTTTTTTGTTTGTTTGTTTTGGTGTCACAGAACCTCTATAGGAAGAGGAAGCTAAATTGTTCTACCAAAAAGACACATGCACATGTATGTTCACTGCAGCACTATTCACAATAGCAAAGACATGGAATCAATATAGGTGCCCATCAACAGTGGACTGGATAAACAAAATGTAGTACATATACAGCATAGAATACTATGCAGCCATAAAAAAGAATGAAATCACGTCCTTTGCAACATGGATGTAGCTGGATATCATTAGCCTAAACAAATTAAAGCAGGAACAGAAAACCAAAGACTGCATGACTGCATGTTCTCACTTATAAGTGGGAGCTAAACATTGGGTACCCATGGACATAAAGATGGCAACAATAGACACTGGGTACTTCAAAAGCGGGGAAAAGGGAAAGGGCTGAGAAACCACCTATTGAGTACTGTGCTCACTACCTGGGTACCAGGTACCCCAAACCTCAGCATCATGCAATATACAAATGTAACGAACCCGTACATGTGCCCCCTGAATCTAAAATAAAAGTTGAAATTGTTTTTTTGAAAAAGAACCCCTGGATGAATTATATCATACATTATCAGAATAATGTTTTTAACTGCATAAAACAAAATATACCAATTAAGTAGAAATAGTTACCAAAATATTGACATTTTTGATAGAGGAATGTGTGTGTGAAATAATAGAATCTGGTAGTGGGTTTAATAGCTAGCAAAAATTTAAAATATGATGAACAAATAACTTTTGAAGATATCAGTAACACTTTAATTAATATGGAAGTATCTGTAATTTCTATAAGTGGGTCTTGCTAATACAGCTGCGGTTTTCTACCTACATGAAATATTGAGGAAAATGCTAATTTTCTGTTAGAGATTAGTGAAGATAAGGAGGTCATTTTTCCCCATGCATGTTCACAGACTCTCTGAATTCTATTATTATACTTCAGGTTAAGAACTCTGAACTACCCAGTTGTATGGCCATTGAATAGTCTTGCATTACTCAGTAAAGGCTCTGAAAATAGTATTTGTGTGAAAGCATAAAAAGATGATAGAAGCTATCTGGAAAACCAGTCTTCATCTATCCACTCATTAGTCTGAATTTCATAAGCAACAGGGAACAATGTGATTCCTTTGAAAGTTCTAGGATGGTTACATTTTCCTGCCACCAAGGGCTTTATCATGTGGAGTCAGGTAGCATCAGCCTAAGCACACCTGTGCACACACACATACACACATTCACACACACTCATACACTAATATGTTCTACTTGAGCCCAGGATAATTGATTCACTATCACTGTCAAATGCAAAGTCACCTGTCACCCACTTGGGATGGGAAATTACTTTACTTTCTGATGATGTGTGATGCTGAGCCTACTAAGAGAGAAGTCTCTAATACTGGTGAGAAACTCAGACTTGCTTAAGCAAATAAACAAACAACCAACAGAAAGTGAGTTAGGAGAGTGGTGGAGTGGGCACTGGAAGATGCACAGAAGCCTGGAAGCATACAGTAGCCAAACCATGGGAAAGGTAGAGATATGGGTGGGCCTCAGGAAAAATTGCAACCCAGGGCTGGGATGCAGAACACTACTCTTTCTTCTCTCATGCTGGCTTTTCTGCATGTCTTCTTCATTCCCATCTTTTGGTGCAGACTGGCTTCCCTTACTTCTCAGTCAATGTGACAAAAAACATGGAGAATAAAGGCTCTAAAGCTTTATGTGCTGTAGTTTTAGCTAAAAGTGGAATGAAACTAATTTAGCTCTCTGGATCCTATAGCCAAAATTCACAGACATGCTCTGGCCAATCAACTGTGGCAAAGTGCAGGGTCATGTGTTAAAAATTGCTCCCATAAGTAACCATGCACATAGGAAAAGAGGTGGGGAGAGGCTCCCAGAAAAGTGGAGCGGAGGAAGGGCAGGCCAAGCAATTTATCCAGCATAGTCATAATGAAGATATAGGGAGGAACAGCCACACTCAATTCATATTCTTTTTGAAGACAAGCCCTGAGCCCATGATGGTGGCTTGGAAACTCACGTGCTACAAAATGGAATGACTCCTATGCTTGTGGGTGGACCAGAGCAGATCTCATGATCTGCTAAGAAAAATTTTTAAATAAATCTAAGGAATGCATCTTCATGACTATATTTTTTGGCACATATAAGAAATATGTCTTTAAGACCATATACTTTTGTAAGAAAGGTTTGGTGGATTTTTTGAACCCTCAAATCTGAGAGAAGTTCTTCTCAGCCTTGCTTTAGTGAAGGAAAGCTGGGGCTCTGAGACAGTGTCTATGAGAGTAGGAGCTCTAGGCTGTCTCCCATTAGAAACCTATTTGGGGAACTGGAGAAGAAACAGTGATTTTTTTTAAATAATCTGAAATTTATACTGTGTCCCATGGCAGTGGTTCTCAAACTTTCAGTGTCAGAAACATTACATTTAACATTTCTTAAGGTCTTCAAAGAGCATTTTTAATATCAGCTATAACCATGGATATTTACCATGTTAGAAATTGAAGCTAAGAAATTTTTAAAATATATTTATTTTCCTGGTTTATTTTAAAATAACAATAATAAAACCATTCCATGTTAATGTAAAATAGTATTTTTATAAAAATATTATATTTGGGGGCTGGGCACAGTTGCTTATACCTGTAATCCCGGCACTTTTGGAAGCCAAGGTGGGAGGATTGCTTGAGCCCAGGAGTTCAAGACCAGCCTGGGCAAAATGATGAGACCCCCGCCTTATTAAAAAAAATAAATAAAAGACTATATTTTTTAAAACAAAAGAATATAATGAGAAGAGTGATATTATTTTACATTTTTGCAAAGCTCTTTAATGTCTGATTTGAAGTAGAAATGTAGTTGGAAAAGACAGAAGTATTAAAATAGCCTTTTCACAAAACAGTAGCTATTCTTCGGTATTATACTAAAACTCAACACATTATAGTTTGTTCATTTATAACAAATCGATGTGGAATCTAAAATTATATCAATAAATTTTAAACATTCTGTTACATAAAAATTGAATTAATCTAACATTAAAATCATATACTGTTATATTAAAATCTTCCATCTTAAATGGCTCTTTTATCCAGGGTTAATTTTGTAGCATCATGCATTGGTTATTTGGAAAATATTGGTTAAATTGGTTATGCAGATTTTCCAAATGTTGAAACATTTCATTGGTATGCATTGATGGATATGCAGTATCAAAAAAACCACATATGTTAATATCATTGCCAGTCTTTTGAGAAAAGTATTTAAGCATCGGGACACTGTCAAGCTCAGAAAGGCAAATACAAATTTTCCAAAGTCTAATTTTTGCTTGAAAGCTTAAATGTTATCAGTGGTAACAAATACCATCAGTTATTTTCCTTAAAATGACATACTTGCTGAATTAGAGAGAAAATGTCTGCCAAATACCTAACTCTATAATTAGTTAATTTAATTAAATATTGTGTTCTGTGAAAAAAGTGGCTGGTTCATCTCACAACTAAAATAATCACACAATTGCTTTTCCTCAGGATGAGCATTGCATTTCAGTATGCAGCGTAAGTGCTTTATGTGTACTTCCCATTTCATCACATAGAGTACTTAAAAGACACATACTCAGGAATTGTGTTTCAATAAAATCAATAATTTTTACTGGTTCATCAAAGATATCCTAAATTTCCACTGGCATCCTTTTCCTGCAAGTTCAAGGAGGGGAAGAATACAACGACCACGTGCACAGTTTGGTACCACTGCCTCACTTCATGTTAAGGCACCAGGAGCGTCACCTACTCTTACTTGTGTACCATCAGTGCAAACATCAACTCAGTGAAAAAAGGTAAATGAAGTCTTATGGTTATTACAATAATTGCTTTTGGCCAGGCACAGTGGCTCACACCTGTAATCGGCACTTTGGGAAGCTGAGGTGGGAGCTTGAACCCAGAAGCTTGAGACCAGCCTGGGCAATATAAGGAGACCCCATCTTTAAAACAAACAAACAAACAAAAACTAGCCCGGTATGGTGGCATGTGCCTGTAGTCCCAGTTTCTTTTGAGGGTGAGGTGGGAGGATCGCTTGAGCCCAGAAGATCAAGGCTGCAGTGAGCTGTAATTGCACCACTGCACTCCAGCCTGGGCGACAGAGAGAGACCCTGTCTCAAAACAAACAAACAAAAATCTCTCAGACCCTTCAAAAGATTTCAGGAACCCCTAGGGGCCACAGACCATACTTTGAGCTTCACTGATCTATGGTTTATATTTTCCTATAAATGTCTTTTTTGGTGCTCACAGATGCCCTTTCAGATGGGTGCTCCTGGGACACCCCTTGTAAGGATAGGAAAAATGAGTCTCTGGGAAATTTACTGTCTTGTCCCTGGCCTCAGAACCAAGAACCAGGAGGGACTAGAAGGGAATATTTGTCAATACTGTCATGAGCATCAAGAAGGAAAGCACCTTGTCTCCATCCTGACCGCACCTGCGAATCCCCTGGGCTGCACATGGCCAGACTTAGAAGGTGAGGAGGATGCCCAAACATGGGTGTATGTGGAGCAGCCCGGCATGCCAAGGCGACAAGCCATCCTTGCAGGGGGACCTGAGGAACAAGCCACCGGTGGAGTAAACAATCCTCCCCATCAGCGTCTCGATCTCTAGTGGACAACTCTTGAAAGATTCTTGGAGGTTGGCATGACTGCCTCCTCTCTCCATCCATCTCAGGGAATGAAGGGTCTGCAAGAGCAGGAGTGGGGAAGAATAAGACAGTAACTGTCAGTCTTTGAAATAATAGTTATTATTTTAGTCTTCAAATGGCCTAAGATTTCTCTAACCGACTAGTGTCAAAAAGCACAGCCCAAGCCAGAAGATAGGCCCGCTTCCCATGGCTTTCCTACAGCTACACTCAGGGGTGGGGGTGCTTGGAAGATATCTAATTCCATGACCTTTGTGTTGCTGCTCTGCCGGCACATTCCCAGATGGCCTGGGAAACCAAAGGAAGGAAAGAAACACAGGCCACCAAGCATCCCTGGGGCTTCCTACATGGGCCACATCATGGATCAGCAATGGGGAGTGGGTCAAGGCCAGGGGAATCTGTGGGGTAGAAAACCAGAATAGGGGGCACTATCTTTGGCAAGAAGGGGAGAAATGAGAGAGATCCTGGGTAAATGACACCTACAAATTTCCACAGGGCTGAACACTCCGTTTTCTCTTTTTATGTGGCCTGTCCAATATCTGTATCTTTAAATCCCTGTAGGTATGAGCTCCAGTTCTTGTAATCTAAAGGATCCCCTGGTGGAAAGAACTGATTGTCTAGACAGGCAGCAAATGAAATGGCAGTAACTGAAATAAGACAAGACTAAAAAATGTTGGAGATTTCCTAGAGCCTGGACAAGATAAGTGTTCAATTCCAACTCTTCTTCAGACCTCATTTTCCAACCCAGGCAGAGATGACAAAGAGGCCACAGAAAGTTGGATCCAAAGCTTTGATGTTCCCTAAACTTTTACCCTTGTCACTTGCCTTAAGGAAGTTTCAGCTTTTGATAAACAAGCTCAGCAAGTCTCAGGATACAAAATCAACATAAAAAAAATTGCTAGCATTCCCATACTCCAACAGTCAAGCCTAGAGGAAGGCAATTCCATTCACAATTGCCACAAAAAGAATAAAATACCTAAGAATATAGCTAACCAGGGAGACAAACGCTATCTACAATGAGAATTACAAAACACTGCTCACAGGAATCAGAGATGACACCAACAAATGGAAAAAACATTCCATGCTCATGGATAGGCAGAAGCAATATCATTAAAATGGCCTTACTGTCTAAAGCAATTTATAGATTCAATTGCTATTCCTATCAAACTACCAATGACATTCTTCACAGAACTAGAATAAGCTATCTTAAAATTCATATAGAACCAAAAAAGAGCCCAAATAGCCAAGGCAACCCTAAGCAAAAGTAACAAAGCTGGAGACATCATGCTACCCAACTTCAAACTATGCTAAAGGGCTATACCAAAACTGCATAGTACTGGTACAAAAACAGACACATAGACTAATGGAACAGAATAGAGAGCCCACAAATAAGGCCTCACACCTACAACCATCTGATCTCTGGCAAAGCTGACAAAAACAAGCAATGAGGAAAGGACTCCCTATTCAATAAATGGTGCTAAGATAACTGGCTAGCCACATGCAGAAGATTAAAACTAGACCCATTCCTTACACCATATACAAAAATCAACTGAACATGGATTAAAGACTTAAATGTAAAACCCAAAACTATAGAAACCCTGGAAGACAACCTAGGCAATACCATTCTGGACCTAGGAATGGGCAAAGATTTCATGACAAAGATGCCAAAAGCAATTGCAACAAAAGCAAAAAATGACAAA
The DNA here is from genome assembly GCF_000001405.40 of Homo sapiens. Taxonomy (NCBI): domain Eukaryota; kingdom Metazoa; phylum Chordata; class Mammalia; order Primates; family Hominidae; genus Homo; species Homo sapiens. The sequence goes on along the minus strand of NC_000003.12, from coordinate 43,819,551 downwards.
TGGGATCTAATTAAACTAAAGAGCTTCTTCACAGCAAAAGAAACTATCAGCAGAGTAAACAGACAACCTACAGAATGGGAGAGAATTTTTCCAAACTATGCCTCTGACAAAGTTTTAATATCCAGCATCTATAAGGAACTTAAATTTACAGGAAAAAAGCAACCCCCTTAAAAAGTGGCCAAATGACATGAACAGACAGTTTTCAAAAGAAGACATACATACAGCCAACAAGCATATGCAAAAAAGCTCAACATCATGGATCATTAGAGAAATGCAAACCAAAACCACAATGAGATACCATCTCACACCAATCAGAATAGCTATTATAAAAAGTCAAAAAAAATTAAAAATTTTGGCAAGGTTGCAGAGAAAAGGGAATGCTTATTCACCATTGGTGGGAGTGTAAATTAGTTCAACCATTGTGGAAAGCAGTGTGGCAATTCCTCAAAGAACTAAAAATAGAGTGACCATTCAACCCTGTAACCCATTACTGGGTATATACCCAAAGGAATATAAATCATTCTACCATAAAGACACATGCACACTTATGTTCATTGCAGCACTATTCAGAATAGCAAAAACATAGAATCAACCTAAATGCCCATCAATGGCAGATTGGATAAAGAAAATATGGTACCTATACACTGTGGAGTACTACACAGTCATAAAAAAAGAACAAGATCATGTCATTTGCAGAAACATGGATGGAGCTGGAGTCCATTGTCCTTAGCAAACTAACGCAGTGACAGAAAACCAAATACCTCATGTATCTCACTTATAGGTGGGTGCTAAATGATGAGAACACATGAATACATAGAGAAGAACAACAGACACTGGGGTCTAACCTAACAGAGGATTCAGGGTGGGAGTAGGGAGAGGATAAGGAAAAATAACTAATGAGTACTAGGCTTAATACCTGGGTGATGAAATCATCTGTACAACAAATCCCCATGGCACAAGTTTACCTATATAACAAACCTGCACTTGTACCCCTGAACTTAAAAGTTAAAAAGTATGTTTCAGCTTGTATAAAAGGGAAGGAGAGGGGCAGGGCCAGTAGTTGTGGTATTATTCATCTATCCCTTCAACAAATATGATTCTGACTATACAGTGGTGGATTTATGGGCTGGTAGATATAAGTGGAGGCTGGAAGGAAGGATAGGGAGTGGAAGGAACCAAACTCACAAAGTCATAGACAAAGAGATTTTGTCTGTGTTCAGGGGACTTTGAGTGGCTCAGTGTGGCCAACTTTCAGAGTGGAAATGCACAGAAACTCTTGTGTAGCATTAATGTCATTAAGCAGCACTAACCTGGTGTTCCAGATATGCATCTTTCCATTTTCGGGACTTAAGAGCCATTTGAGGACATTCTGCAGTCTTGGAGGAGGGAAGAAGAGAAAAGTCGCAGCACAAGGCACAAGACAGAGTGACAAGTAAAAACTGGCCCCAAGGGGACAACACCAGGGCTCAGTAATTGTTTCTACCTCCTCAGTTCCTGGAAGCACAAGGTGGAGGTTGACTCACAAGAGTGAGTTTGTTGGTGCATGAAGTCAGAGCATGACACACAGAGAAGCTGACTTAATCATGGGTCCTCAGAGCCACTGGGTCATATCTCCTCAAATATCCCCTTACCAGGGACTCTGTGAGCCAAGGCCCAAGAGTGGAGAAGACAATGCACTGGCAAGAGTATGGACAGACATACAGGTGGGACAGAGTCATGCCAGCATTGAAGGACAGGTCCCAGGTCAGCTGCAGCACACAGGTGCAGAGTGGCAGAACCAGCTCGTTTAGGGGTCTCAGGGGTCTCAATGCCCATGCCAGGCTCTCTCTGCTCCATATTGCCAGAGGAGACCTCTTGCTTAGAAAATGGAATTTTAATGCATTGTGGAGTGGAGGAGGTTGAAGAAAGAGATACTTTCAGCATGTAAGGCTGCTGCTTGGGTGCTCTCGTGTTGGCAGGGCACTGGAAGGAGGAGCTCTGAGCACTCAAGGTAAGAAGGATGTACTAACTGGAATGGAAAGAGAAAACACAGAGGGGCACATAAGTAAAATTGAAAGAAGCATATACTTTTTAGAAACAGTTTTTCTACTTTCCAATGGCCTTTAGATTTGGTTTGGAACAAGGACAAGCACCACTAAGCATCATTGTGATGCTATTCCATTCTCAAAAGGGGCAAGTAAGCCGTGGAACGATAGGTATCATGCATATCTTCCAGTGCTGTGAAATTGTGCTCCAAGACATGCTGCATGGGATGAGAGGACACAGCCAGGAGAGCATCTGCATTGGCCACATGCCTGTTTGCTCTCACAGCCTTCCCCACCCTGGCCCTGCTCTGTCTTGCATCACCACTTCTCATTTTCACCTCCTCTCTGCCTCAGTGGCATCTCCAGGGGAGGCTGCATCTACTTTGTGGCTCCAGCTCACTGTGGTTCTGGCTTCCCCTGGGTGACCCACTGATGGCACCAGCTTCCTGTTAGGTTAATCTCTGGGTTGACACTTTCCCTTGTTGCTTGTGTTAAACTCCCTTTGTTTGAAATTCCTGGAGTGGTTCCTATTTTCTAGACTAGCCATTGACTGATACAGCAGTCCTACTTTTATCTGTCTTATACGTTGGGATTTCACATAACATTTAATCAGGAATAAAAATTTCTATTGGAAAAAAGAGACTAAGAAACATTTGAATATGACCATTCTTGTTTGGCCCAAATGTAGATGAGACACCTGAAGACCAAAGATGTTAGTAAGTAGAACAAACACACAGGGAGAAGTTTGCTGGTTGAGGTTTGCTAGTTGTCCCTTTATTGGCTTTTTAAAATTACTAAATAAAGCAAGTAGTGCAGAAGTATATAAAGTAAAAATTGAAAGCAGGTCCTACATCCGAGACTCATGACCTTGAGGTAACCATAGTTTGGTGTGTTTTATTGGCTTCTTGAATTTCTAAGTAGACACACACACACACCCCACATATACATATGCATATGCATATGCATATGCATATACACTTTTGAAATAGGGTCACTCTGCATATCCTGATCTTCAACTTCCTTTTTTTCACAGAACAGTATATTATGGATGTCTTTCCATGTTAGCATCTATAGATCTACTTCATTTATGTTAGCAGCTGCAGAGCATCCTGTTGTATTGAGGTTTTATAACATTATCTGATGAGTTTGAGTTCCCTATTAGCTAATAGTCATTTTTTGCCATTACTAGAAAATAGATATTTTGCTATTACAATCCATTGCAATTACAAAGAAAGTTGCAGTGACTTTCCTTGTACCGTGCAGACAGCTTTGTGCTCATGTGTGTCTGTGTAGGGTGGGTACCAGGAAGTAGAACTTTGGGTGCAGAGGTTAGGAGCCAAAATGCCTCCAAAAGGCTGTTCATATTACATTCCCACCACCAGTGAGACAGCTCATTTTCCCACATCTTCACCAACAGCGGACATTTTACTTTTTCACCAATTGAGAAAAGCTCTCCGAGGATCACTTAAGAAGCATTCACAGGCCTGCCTTAAAATATCCACCAGCAAAGGACAACACCTTTGGCAATGACAGAGAAGCAAGAAATTGCCCCTTTATGCACTCCACTGGGGATTTCTTAACAGATGTAAGAAGAAGCCTTCCTAATATTCAGTCTTGACTGTATGTGTATGTTGACTGTGTCTTCTAGCAATCCGATTGTTCATGGTAGAAAATCCAACTGTAAAAATGAAACTAGATGTAGATCTAATTCTTGTTGTTTTGGAAAGTTGTCTTGTCTCTTGGATAGCTTTTTGCTTTATTGTTTATTCTGCAGTTTCGCTCTAACGTATTCAGGCAGAATTTTTTTTTTTTTAATCCTGCATCTAAGTCAGTGTGACTTTTGATCCTGGGTATTCATGCCTTTCTTCAGGTCTTGAAAATTCTCTCTCATGATCACTGTGAGATTCGTCTTGGAAAAGTCCTCCCCAATGATGAGCCCATAATTATCTTTCTTCAAACAGAAGCCCATGTGCCCCATGGTTAAAGTAAAAGAGAAGTCTGTAGGAGGTGCCTGAAAAATTCGGGTAGACCTCCACAAGGCAGACAAGCCCCAACAGGAGGCAGGCCAGGAGTGATCCCTGTAGACTGCACAAGGTGGTGGACAAGAACATGAGGACCTTGGGGAGCAACCTGAAGGAGCTTCGTCCCAGCTGGAGCTCGCTATACGTGTGATTCTGAGCAAGTCCACATAGAGATGATTATGGTGCCCACATGGCACTCTGCCATCTTAACATGATACTCCTCTATGTTCACAAAATACTATGATACCCCAACCCTGTCAGTAAGTTTGTTTTTATTACTGTTCCTACTTATTGATGAAGAAATAAGCCCATCTAGGGTAAGTGGTATAGCTTATCAATAGTATATCTTAATCTTTCATAAAAACCATGTTGAAGATTTTTTTCTTTATACTTTCCAATGTCCCTTATGTAAGTACCCTTCAAAATAAATTCCATTGAGAATTTAGCTGCAGATAAAAACCCAGATAATCGGAATTATATAACCTGGATTTATTTTCCCATTTTATCGTGGCAATCAGAAAATGATGGAATATATTTAGTTCTCAATCTTAGTAGTTACGTATTTTGGCATTTTGCACTACGGACTAGGAAAGAGAATAAAATGTAGAGGGCATCGTCCGTGCCCTTCAGCAATTACAATTTTGTGGGGCAGCAAAAAGGTGGCCCAAGACACATACAGTGGATATTGGGTCAGGACATCCCTAGGCAGGGCAGCCTGGTTCATTTCAAGGTACTTGGACTGGTGTGTCTGATAACCTCTGACCCTCATGCCCACAATTTCCATGAAGGAAAGGTGGTGTGCCAAGTGTAGCCAGGAAAGAAGTGCCCAGAACACTGGCCTTTTGTAAACACATGTCAGACAGGAAGCAAAAGAGAAGAGAGGAAGGCTTTCAGGCAACTCTGTGTGGTGCAGGGTCAGGAGTTCCATACCTGGGAGCCTCCCAGACAACAAAGTATTCCCTCTACCAATCTCCCAGCCAACTCCTGGGACTGAAATCTACAGGTGAGAAAGTTTCAGCTTGCCAAGAGAGGCCAAACTCGAAAGAAGGAAATTAGGGCATGTGAATGGGCTGGGGTGACCTCAGAGGCCAGACTCTCCCAATTTCGTCTGCAGCAGTTTCTGCTTGGCTGGGCTTGGGAGATTCAGGAGGTTTGTTGCATTTCAGTCAGGCTGCTCTTCCAAGGCATCCAAGCCTACTGATGAACCCTGCTCCTTGTGGTGCAATGGGGAATCCTCTCTCCAGATCATCTGCATTCCCAGGTGGGAAAATAACCATGGGGAAGGCCTGGACCCTCTGGTTCCAAGGCGTTGTCATTCTCACAGGAAAGCTGTTTGCTCTGGCAAGTGAAGCCTGAAGTTGATTTATGGCTCATTTTCAGTACACAATACTGTAATTTTGTGAAATGATAGCAGTATCGATTCCAGATTTTCTCTTTGCTGAAACCCAGTACTGTGGTGCTAAATGGAGCCTCAGAGCAAGTAACGGCACTTCACACTTGATCGATTTAATCAGTCTGATCCTCCACTTTGATGCAACTGCCAAGGGCTGCCTTAAGAGGCTGGGGTCTTGTTGTCTGGTTCCAGGATCTCAATTCTCCAGGTGGGCCCTGACTATGAAACAGGGCTGACTCCCCAATAAGGCAGAGGGTCTGAACAGGATGGCAAGGAACCTATTCACTGCAGCTATTGGGAGAGTCAAATCCACTGTGAAGAATAAATTTAGGGTCTTCCTTACATTTCCTGTCTTGTTCTAGTCCAGATCTCAGGACAGGAAATGAAGGATGACATTCAGGGTTGAAAACAAAACAGAATGATTGAATGAGTGAATGAAAGAAGGAATGAATGTGGTGGATGAATGAGAGGGAAAGGAAGAAAAAGAAGAGAGGAAAGGAGAGAAGGGAAGAAAAGACAGAGAAGCCAGGAAGAAAGGGAGAGTGGCAGGGAGGGGGGAGTAAGAAGAAATCTTATTAGTCCAGAATGAGTGCTGTCAAGGCAAAATGAGTCATGATTTTGAATAGAGTTGATTTATCTTCCAGTTCCAACGTTAGTTTGAAATTAGGATTCTTTATGGTGGGGTTTGGCAGGGGAGTGCCATGATTTGATTTGCCTTTCAAAAAGCCCTCTCAGGCCTCAGAGTGCATATTGGGTTGGTGAGGAGATAGAGAAGAGGTGGGGAGACAAATTAGAGGGTGGCTCTGGCCCTCCAGGCAAGAAGTGATAGTGGCTTTGCCCAAGGTGGAGAAGGAAAGCATGGTTGGACTGGTGTTTAGTTTGAGGTAGAGCAGACGCGGCTTGGTGACGGATAGATTCTGAAGAAGGAAGGACAAAGGAGATGACTCCAAGATCATAAATAGAGGGGCCATGTCCTGATAGTGGGAAGCGTGAAGGATTGAGGAAGAGAGAAAGGCTTCCTTCCTGACTGAGGCAGCTGGGATGCACTCTTCTTAAGAAGGGATTGCCCCATTTATTCCATCTTGGTGTGTAGACTGTCTACCAGCTCCCATGCCAGCTGCTGGAGTGTGTGGACTGAGTGACATTGAAAGGGGTTGCCCTGCTAATGCCAGGGCTCCACATCCTGCCAACGAAGAAGGCTACAGATCATTAACATGGAGGGAGAAGCAGAATGGGACTGAACCTTGGAGAAATATATTAACATCCACTGCGGTGGCCTCAGAACACTTGGGAAAGAAATCCTGAGTTATTGCAGGGCTTATAATGGAACCATGATTTTGATAATTTATTTACATAACCTACTTTTAAAAGTTGGGCAGTCACATTCTTTTGACCAAACTGTTATAAATCTTGTTTGATCCTCAAACCAGGATTCCAAAGTTGGAAGGAGCCTCAGAGGTCACCTATTCCAAATGCCTCCTCTCCACCTGAATCCCCTTGAAGCATCTCACCAGGGATGGCCATCCTAATCAGGCTTTTCCAGGCATCATACAAGCAGTTCAAGGCAACAGGGCCCATTCCTGCCACCGTAAGAAGGAAAGGGAGTCCTTCCAGAACACCCTTTTCCATGCCCCACTTCACTGCAGCAGTAAGATCCCCCTTGGCAGATATGCTTGACTGATTATGGAGGGTTTCTCCCAGAAAATTGCCTGGAAGTCACATCTGGTGGCCACAGACATCATGAAACCTTTTTGAAAAGCAGTTTTGCAATATCAACCAAGATGCTTTGACCCATTAAATCCACCTCTGGGAATTTCTTCTAAGGAAATCTTCTGAAATACTTCAAAAGGTCATATGCACAAAGATGTTCACTATTGAGGTGTTTAAAATAATAAAATAAATAGTGGAACCTAAGTGTCCAATCACAGGGATTGAGACGAATACATTGTTGTATATCCAACCAGATAATTAGGAAGCTGATGGTCGAGTTCATGCAAAAGTACCCATTATCTTATATGGACATTTGATCTATTTTAACAATGTCGTTACTTCAGCAAAATTAAATTAATTCATGCTTTTGTAAATTCCCAGAACCCTAAGGGATTGTGTTGTGAAGTGTTGTTGTGTTTTTTAATCAAATGCATAATGGCAGATGGTAATGAGAGTCAACACAATTTCTGTAAGGTTGCTGGTAGAAAAGAGGCCAATGAAAGGAACTTTGATCATTCCTACAGTTTCTAGGATGAACAGCATGAACATGCGACCTCTCACTCCTCTACAGATTCCTCTGGTCCTCTGAGTCTGAAGGTTACAAATAGTCCAATGTTGAGTGAGACTCAATTTTCTCATCTGAGAACTGGGGTAATCCCTGACTTCATTGGATTGTGGTAAGGGATAAACAAACTGTGGGCACTTGATACCATGCTCAGTAAAAGCAAAAGTCCCACCACAGCCTCAAGCAGAGGACAAAGGCCTTCTGCAGTGACTTCCAGGAGAAGGAGACCTGCTAGCCATGCACTGAAGAGAGGAAAGTCTACAACAGTTGATCTTTATATTCTCTTCTGTTGAAAAGCATTTGTTCCTTACAAAAACACTTGGCTACTCATTTAATCATCTTGACTAATCCTAAGCCTAAAGCTGGAGGTGAGCAGTGGCTTTACCAGGGGCCCAAGCTCTCAGCACTCTAGGGGATGAGCTGGACTAAATCTCATTCCAGGATGAAATCCAGCATGCCTAGTCCAGCCCACAAGCTCAGACCCCCAAGTTCAGCCTGCGTGTCTTCCCATACCCTTCTATCCTGTCCCCTCACTGCTGTCTTGCAGCAGTTCTCAGCCTAAGGTAAGAGCTGTCCATTGAGCAGCTCTCACTGCTAAATTCCGCCACCTCCTCACTACTGGATGATGGGATTATTCACCTCCCTCCTCTGGTCCTAGAGCTGAGAGGCTCCTGACCACCCCTGTCCCAGACAACAGGGGAGACATGCCAAATACTTTTCAAATTCCCACTCTGAGCAAAGCCCCCTGTGAAAAACTTGAGAAGAAGATACAGGTTTGTGTTTATTTCTCCCCAAATGCCTGTCAGTCCGGCAGGGGCAAGAAGCCATGTGCTGTCATAAAAGGCAGGAAGTGAGTCCTGTCATCAATTAGGTCATATTTGGACAGGTAGGAATGGGAAGGGATGGGCAGGCATTCCAGGTGGAGGAAACAGCTTCTTGAGTAAAAGCATGGGTGCCAAACACTGGGCCAATGGCCTGGTTCCATTAGCTGAAGCATGGGGGTGGAAAGAAGAGATGCGAGAAGGCTGGAAAAGTGAGCCAAGGCTGGGCTGCAGAGGGCCCTTAATGTCATGAGGAGGCACCTAGACAGCATCAGCTCCAATAACAGCAGAGCCTCTGGCATGAAGGACTGATGGCTATATGATTGGGGCAATGGACCAATACCCTTTCAAGACCTCTCTCTGCCTGATATGAGGTTCTGTCCCCCAAAACAACATGAGTTAAAAACCACAGGCAAGCAACCTTGCGGCCAAATGGGCCAAGGATACAAATTACCGTCTTGTAGTAAAAGTAACCAGGGGAGCCAATCCACCCAACTGAAGGTGTGCAGCATCCCCGAGAGTCAGGAGAGGCAGTCTGGCATCATCAGTCATTGTAAAGACCAGAAAGGATGACCCACAAACTCCACGTCTTTATATTCATCTTGTAAAACAGTGGCCCTATAAGAAGAGGACTTGGGCATCATAATTGGTTTTACAAAAATGTTTTCACATGTAACATTTTTACATTTTGCTTTATTACCTAACAACACACCATGGAAATTTCTCAAATAAATATATGCCATTCGTTGTAAGATTGTGCATTATTCTATAATACAGCTGTATTATTCAAATAATAAAAAACTAGGAAATACCACTTCCCTATTATTGGGCATTGATTAATTTCCCCTTTTATGTTGTATGTAAATTTTTTTTTTTTTTTTTTTGAGATGGAGTCTTGCTCTGTTGCCCAGGCTGGAGTGCAGTGGCGCAATCTTGGCTCACTGCAACCTCTGCCTCCTGGGTTCAAGCAATTCTCCTGTGTCAGCCTCCTGAGTAGCTGGGATTACATGCACCCACCACCAAGCCTGACTAATTTTTGTACTTTTAGTAGAGATGGGATTTCACCCACCATGGTAGCCAAACTGGTTTTGAACTCCTGACCTCAAGTGGTCCACCCACCTCGGCCTCCCAAAGTGCTGGGATTACAGGTGTGAGTCACTGTGCCCAGCTGTTGTATGTAAATTTTGAAATATATAAATGTCTTTATACAAACTGCTGCTTGTATTTTTATGGGATAGAGTCCTCAGAAAGATAATGTGCATCAAATAGTATGTACATTTTAAATTTTAATAAATATTTCCAGAATTGCTTTTCAAAACAACTGTCACAATTCTTTTTTTTTTTAACTTTGTGGTTTTATTTTTTAATTTTAATTTTAATTTTAATTTTTCCATAAGTTATTGGGGTACAGGTAGTATTTGGTTACATAAGTAAGTTCTTTAGTGGTGATTTGCGAGATTTTGGTGCACCCATCACCTGAGCAGTATACACTGCACCATATTTGTAGTCTTCTGTCCCTTGTCCACCCCTGCTCTTCCTCTCAAGTCCCCAAAGTCCACTGCATCATTCTTACACCTCTGTGTCCTCATATCAGTGAGAACATATGATGTTTGGATTTCCATTCCTGAGTTACTTCACTTAGAATAATAGTCTCCAATCTCACCCAGGTCACTGCAAATGCTGTTAATTCACTCCTTTTTATGGCTGCATGGTATTCCATCATATATATATATATATTCCATCATATATATATATATTCCATCATATATATAATATATATTCCATCATATATATAATATATATTCCATCATATATATAATATATATTCCATCATATATATATAATATATATTCCATCATATATATATTCCATCATATACATATATTCATCATATATATATATTCATCATATATATATATATATCACAGGTTCTTTATCCACTCGTCGATTGATGGGCATTTGGGGTGGTTCCACGATTTTGCAATTGTGAATTGTGCTGCTATAAACATACATATGTAAGTATCTTTTTTGAATAATGACTTCTTTTCTTCTGGGTAGATACCCAGTAGTGGGATTGCTGGATCAAATGGTAGTTCTACTTTTAGTTCTTTACGGAATCTCCACACTGTTTTCCATAGTGGCTGTACTAGTTTACATTCCCACCAGCAGTGTCAAATTGTTCCCTGTTCACCACCATATATCTACTGTTTTTTGATTTTTTGATTATGGTCATTCTTGCAGGAGTGAGGTGGTATTGCATTGTGGTTTTGATTTGCATTTCCCTGATCATTCATTAGTGATGTTGAGCAATTTTTTCACGTTTGTTGGCCATTTGTGTATCTTCTTTTGAGAATTGACTATTCATGCCCTTAGCCCACTTTTTGATGGGATTGTTTATTTTTTTTCTTACTGATTTGTTTGAGTTCATTGTAGATTCTGGTTATTAGTCCTTTGTCAGATGTATAGATTGTGAAGATTTTCTCCCACTCTGTGTGTTGTCTGTTTACTCTTTTGCTGTGCAAAAGCTCTTTAGTTTAATTAGGTCCCAGCTATTTATTTTTGTTTTTATTGCATTTGCTTTTGGGTTCATGGTCATGAAATCCTTGCCTAAGCCAATGTCTAGAAGGGTTTTTCCAATGTTATCTTTTAGAATTTTTATAGTTTCAGGTCTTAGGTTTAAGTCCTTAATCCATCTTGAGTTGATTTTTGTACAAGGTGAGAGATGAGGATCCAGTTTAATTCTCCTACATGTGGCTAGCCAATTATCCCAACACCATTTGTTGAAAAGGGTGTCCTTTCCCTACTTTATGGTTTTGTTTGCTTTGTCGAAGATCAGTTGGTTGTAAGTATTCGGGTTTATTTCCGGGTTCTCTATTCCGTTCTACTGGTATATATGCCTATTTTTGTACCAGTACCACTATGACCTCATAGTATAGTTTGAAATCAGGCAGTGTGATGCTTCCAAATTTGTTCTTTTTGCTTAGTCTTACTTTGGGTATGTGGGCTCTTTTTTGGTTCCATATGAATTTCAGAATCGTTTTTTTTTAATTCTGTGAAGAATGTTAGTGGTATTTTGATGGGGATTGCATTGAATTTGTAGACTGCTTTTGGCAGTATGGGCGTTTTCACAATATTGATTCTACCTATCCATGAGCATAGGGTATGTTTCCATTTGTTTGTGTCGTCTATGATTTCTTTCAGCAGTGTTTTGCAGCTTTCCTTGTAGAGGTCTTTCGACTCCTTGGTTAGGTATATTCCTTTTTTGTGTGTGTGGGTTTTTTTTCCAGCTCTTGTAAAAGGGGTTGAATTCTTGATTTGGTTCTCTGCTTGGTTGTTGTTGGTGTATAGAAGAGCTACTGATTTGTGTACATTAATCTTGTATATGGAAACTTTGCTGAATTATTTTATCAGATATAGGAGCTTTCTGGAGGAGGAGTCTGTAGGGTTTTCAAGGTAAACAATCATATCGTCAGCGAACAGTAACAGTTTGACTTCCTCTTTACCGATTTGGATGCCCTTTATTTTTGTCTCTTTTCTGATTGCTCTGGCTAGGACTTCCAGTACTATGTCGAAGAGGAGTGGTGAGAGTGGGCATCCTTGTCTTGTTCCAGCTCTCAGAGGGAATGCTTTCAACTTTTCCCCATTCAGTATTATGTTAGCTGTGGGTTTGTCATAGATGGCTTTTATTACATTAAGTATGTCCCTTATATGCCAATTTTGCTGAGAGTTTTAATCATAAAGGGATGCTGGATTTTGTCGAATGCTTTTTCTGCATCTATTGAAGTGATCATGTGATTTTTGTTTTTAATTCTGCTTATGTGGTGTATCATGTTTATTTACTTGCATATGTTAAACCATCCCTGTATCCCTGGTATGAAACCCACTTGATCATGGTGGATTATCTTTTTGACATGTTGTTTGATTTGGTTAGCAAGTATTTTGTTAAGGATTTTAGCATCTATGTTCAAGGATAGCTGTCTGTAGTTTTCTTTTTTGGTTACGTCCTCTCTGGTTTTGGTAGTAGGGTGATGCTGGCTTCATAGAATGAATTAGGGAGGGTTCCTTCTCTCTCTATCTTGTGGAATACTGTCAAAAGGATTGGTACCAATTCTTCTTTGAATGTCTGGTAGAATTCTGCTGTGAATCCATCTGGTCCTGGACTTTTTTTGTTGGTAATTTTTTAATTACCACTTCAATCTGGTTGTTTGTTATTGGTCTGTTCAGGATATCCAGTTCTTCCTGATTTAAGCTAGGAGGATTGTGTTTTTCCAAGAATTTATCCATCTCCTCTAGGCTTTATAGTTTACGTGTGTAAAGGTGTTCACAGTAGCCTTGAATGATCTTTTGTATTTTAGTGGTGTCAGTTGTAATATCTTACGTTTCATTTCTTAGTGAAGTTATTTGGATTTTCTCTCTTCTTTTCTTGGTTAATCTTGCCAATGGGCTATCAATTTTATTTATCTTTTCAAAGAACTAGCTTTCTGTTTTATTTATCTTTTGTATTTTTTTGTTTCAATCTCATTTAGTTCTGCTCTGATCTTGGTTATTTCCTTTCTTCTGCTGGGTTTGGGTTTGGGTTTGGTTTGTTCTTGTTTCTTTAGTTCCTTGAGGTGTGACCTTAGATGTCAGTTTGTACTTTTTTAGTCTTTTTGATGTAGACATTTAGGGCTATGAACTTTCCTCTTAGCACTGCCTTTGCTGTATCCCAGAGGTCTTGATAGATTGGGTCATTATTGTGGTTCAGTTCTAAGAATTTTTCAGTTTCCATCTTGATTTCGTTTTTCACCCAGTGCTCATTCAGGAGCAGGTTATTTAATTTCCATGTATTTGCATGGTTTTGAAGATCCCTTTTGGAGTTGATTTCCAGTTTTATTCAACTGTGGTCTGAAAGAGTGCTTGATATAATTTCAATTTTCTTAAATTTAATGAGGCTCATTTTATGGCCTATCATATGGTCTATCTTGGAGTAAGTTCCATGCGTTGTTAATGTTAGTACTGTCAATGTTAATGTTGTCAATGTTAGTATTGAAATGTGAGCTGAAAATTCTAAAAATCAGAGTGCCTCCTCTCCTCCAAAGAAATGCAGCTCCTCGCCAGCAGAGGAACAAAGCTGGACAGAGAATGACTTTGACAAGTTGAGAGAAGAAGGCTTCAGACAATCGGCAATAACAAACTTCTCCAAGCTAAAGAAGGATGTTCGAACCCATTGCAAAGAAGCTAAAAACCTTGAAAAAAGATTAGATGAATGGCTAACTAGAATAAACAGCATAGAGAAGACCTTAAATGACCTGATGGAGCTGAAAACCATGGCACGAGAACTACGTGATGCATGCACAAGCTTCAGTAGCCGACTCAATCAAGTGGAAGAAAGGGTATCAGTGATTGAAGATCAAATGAATAAAATGAAGGAAGAAGAGAAGTTTAGAGAAGAAAGAGTAAAAAGAAAAGAACAAATCCTCCAAAACATATGGGACTATGTGAAAAGACCAAATCTACATCTGATTGCTGTACCTGAAAGTGACAGGAAGAATATAACCAAGTTGGAAAACACTCTTAAGGATATTATCCAGGAGAACTTCCCCAACCTAGAGAGGCAGGCCAACATTCAGATTCAGGAAATACAGAGAACGCCACAAAGATACTCCTCGAGAAGAGCAACTCTGAGACACATAATTGTCAGATTCACCAAAGTTGAAATGAAGGAAAAAATGTTAAGGGGAGCCAGAGAGAAAGGTCAGGTTACCCACAAAGGGAAGCCCATCAGACCAACAGCAGATCTCTCGGCAGAAACTCTACAAGCCAGAAGAGAGTGGGGGCCAATATTCAACATTCTTAAAGAAAAGAATTTTCAACCCAGAATTTCATATCCAGTCAAACTAAGCTTCATAAATGAAGGAGAAAAAAAATCATTTTCAGACAAGCAAATGCTGAGAGATTTTGTCACCACCAGACCTGCCTTATGAGAACTCCTAAAGGAAGCATTAAACATGGAAAGGAACAACTGGTACCAGCCACTGCAAAAACACGCCAAATTGTAAAGACCATCAATGCTAGGAAGAAACTGCATCAAGTAACGAGCAAAATAACCAGCTAACATCATAATGACAGGATCAAATTCACACATAACAATATAACCTTAAATGTAAATGGGCTAAATGCCCCAATTATAAGACACAGACTGGCAAATTGGATAGAGAGTCAAGATCCATCAGTGTGCTGTATTCGGGAGACCCATCTCACATGCAGAGACACACATAGGCTCAAAATAAAGGGATGGAGGAAGATCTACCCAGCAAATGGAAAACAAAAACAAGCAGGGGTTGCAATCCTAGTCTCTGATAAAACAGACTTTAAACCAACAAAGATCAAAAGAAACAAAGAAGGCCATTTCACAATGGTAAAGGGATCAATTCAACAAGAAGAGCTAACTATCCTAAATATATATGCACCCAATACAGGAGCACTGAGATTCATAAAGCAAGTCCTTAGAGACCTACAAAGAGACTTGGACTCCCACACAATAATAATGGGAGACTTTAACACCCCACTGTCAATATTAGATTGATCAATGAGACAGAAAGTTAACAAGGATATCCAGGAATTGAACTCAGCTCTGTACCAAGCGGACCTAATGGACATCTACAGAACTCTTCACCCCAAATCAACAGAATATACATTCTTCTCAGCACCACATACCACTTATTCCAAAATTGACCACATAGTTGGAAGTAAAGCACTCCTCAGCAAGTGTAAAAGAACAGAAATTATAACAAACTGTCTCTCAGACCACAGAGCAGTCAAACTAGAACTCAGGATTAAGAAACTCACTGAACACTGCTCAACTACATGGAAACTGAACAACCTGCCCCTGAATGACTACTGGGTACATAATGAAATGAAGGCAGAAATAAAGATGTTCTTTGAAACCAATCAGAACAAAGATACACATACCAGAATCTCTGGGACACATTTAAAGCAGTGTGTAGAGGAAAATTTATAGCACTAAATGCCCAAAAGAGAAAGCAAGAGAGATCTAAAACTGACACCCTAACATCACAATTAAAAGAACTAGAGAAGCAAGAGCAAACACATTCAAAAGCTAGCAGAAGGCAAGAAATAACTAAGATCAGAGCAGAACTGAAGGAGATAGAGACACAAAAAGTCCTTCAAAAAATCAATGAATCCAGGAGCTGCTTTTTGAAAAGATCAACAAAATTGATATACCGCTAGCAAGACTAATAAAGAAGAAAAGAGAGAAGAATCAAATAGACACAATAAAAAATGATAAAGGGGATATCACCACTGATCCCACAGAAATACAAACTACCATCAGAGAATACTATAAACACCTGTATGCAAATAAACTAGAAAATCTAGAAGAAATTGATAAATTCCTGGACACAGCCACCCTCCCAACACTAAACCAGGAAGAAGCTGAATCCCTGAATAGACCAATAACAGCCTCTGAAATTGAGGCAATAATTAATAGCCTACCAACCAAAAAAAGTCCAGGACCAGACAGATTCACAGCAGAATTCTACCAGAGGTACAAAGAGGAGCTGGTACCATTCCTTCTGAAACTATTCCAATCAATAGAAAAAGAGGGAATCCTCCCTAACTCATTTTATGAGGCCAGCATCATCCTGATACCAAAGCCTGGCAGAGACACAACAAAAAAAGAGAATTTTAGACCAATATCCCTGATGAACATCGATGCGAAAATCCTCAATAAAACACTGGCAAACCAAATCCAGCGGCACATCAAAAAACTTATCCACCATGATCAAATTGGCTTCATCCCTGGGATGCAAGGCTGGTTCAATGTACGGAAATCAATAAATGTAATCCAGCATATAAACAGAACCAAAGACAAAAAACACATGATTATCTCAATAGATGCAGAAAAGGTCTTTGACAAAATTCAACAGCCCTTCATGCTAAAAACTCTCAATGAACGGGGTATTGATGGGACATATCTCAAAATAATAGCTATTTATGACAAACCCAAAGCCAATATCATACTGAATGGACAAAAACCAGAAGCATTCCCTTTGAAAACTGGCCAAAGACAGGGATGCCCTCTCTCACCACTCCTATTCAACATAGTGTTGGAAGTTCTGGCCAGGGCAATCAGGCAGGAGAAAGAAATAAAGGGTATTCAATTAGGAAAAGAGGAAGTCAAATTGTCCCTGTTTGCAGATGACATGATTGTATATTTAGAAAACCCCATCGTCTCAGCCCAAAATCTCCTTAAGCTGATAGGCAACTTCAGCAAAGTCTCAGGATACAAAATCAATGTGCAAAAATCACAGGCATTCCTATACACCAATAACAGACAGAGAGTCAAATCATGAGTGAACTCCCATTCACAACTGCTTCAAAGAGAATAAAATACCTAGGAATCCAGCTTACAAGGGATGTGAAGGACCTCTTCAAGGAGAACTACAAACCACTGCTCAATGAAATAAAAGAGGACACAAACAAATGGAAGAACACTCCATGCTCATGGATAGGAAGAATCAATATCGTGAAAATGGCCATACTGCCCAAGGTTATTTATAGATTCAATGCCATCCCCATCAAGCTACCAATGACTTTCTTCACAGAATTGGAAAAAACTGCTTTAAAGTTCATATGGAACCACAAAAGAGCTCTCATTGCCAAGACAATCCTAAGCCAAAAGAACAAAGCTGGAGGCATCATGCTCCCTGACTTGAAACTATACTACAAGGCTACAGTAACCAAAACAGCATGGTGCTGGTACCAAAACAGAGATGTAGATCAATGGAACAGAACAGAGCCCTCAGAAATAATACCACACATCTACAACCATCTGGTCTTTGACAAACCTTACAAAAACAAGAAATGGAGAAAGGATTTCCTATTTAATAAATGGTGCTGGGAAAACTGACTAGCTATATGTAGAAAGCTGAAACTGGATCCCTTCCTTACACCTTATACAAAAATTAACTTAAGATGGATTAAAGACTTAAATGTTAGACCTAAAACCATAAAAATCCTAGAAGAAAACCTAGGCAATACCATTCAGGACATAGGCATGGACAAGGACTTCATGACTAAAACACAAAAAGCAATGACAACAAAAGCTGAAATTGAGAAATGGGATCTAATTAAACTAAAGAGCTTCTGCACAGCAAAAGAAACTACCATCAGAGTGAACAGGCAACCTACAGCATGGGAGAAAATTTTTGCAATCTACCCATATGACAAAGGGCTAATATCCAGAATCTACAAAGAGCTTAAACAAATTTACAAGAAAAAATCAAATAACCCCATCAAAAAGTGGCTGAAGGATATGAACAGATGCTTCTCAAAAGACATTTATGCAGCCAACAGATACATGAAAAAATGCTCATCATCACTGGCCATCAGAGAAATGCAAATCAAAACCACAATGAGATGCCATCTCACACCAGTTAGAATGGTGATCATTAAAAAGTCAGGAAACAACAGGTGCTGGAGAGGATGTGGAGAAATAGGAACACTTTTACACTGTTGGTGGGACTGTCAACTAGTTCAACCATTGTGGAAGACAGTGTGGCGATTCCTCAAGGATCTATAACTAGAAATACCATTTGACCCAGCCATCCCATTACTGGGTATGTACCCAAAGGATTATAAATCATGCTGCTATAAAGATACATGCACACGTATGTTCATTGTGGCACTATTCACAATAGCAAAGACTTGGAACCAACCCAAATGTCCATCAATGATAGACTGGATTAAGAAAATGTGGCACATATACACCATGGAATACTATGCAGCCATAAAAAATGATGAGTTCATGTCCTTTGTAGGGACATGGATGAAGCTGGAAACCATCATTCTGAGCAAACTATCACAAGGACAGAAAACCAAACACCGCATGTTCTCACTCATAGGTGGGAATTGAACAATGAGAACACTTGGACACAGGATGGGGAACATCACACACCAGGGCCTGTCATGGGTTGAGGGGAGAGGGTAGGGATAGCATTAGGAGATATACCTAATGTAAATGAAGAGTTAATGGGTGCAGCACACCTACATGGCACATGTATACATATGCAACAAACCTGCACATTGTGCACATGTACCCTAGAACTTAAAATATAACAAAAAAAAATTAAAAAACATTCTTGGCTTGTTTCCACTTTTGGGCTGTTACAAGTAATTCTGCTAAGAATATTCATGCACAACTTCAGTTGCTTCTACTTTTTGGCAGTATGAATAACATTGCCATGAACATTCATGTACATCTTCTGTGATTATGTTTTTATTTATCTAGGGCTTATACCTAGGAGTGAGATTGTTAGGCCCTAGGGTAACTCCGTGTTTAACGTTTGAGAAACTGACAGACTCTTTTCCAAAGCAGCTGCACCATTTCACGTTCCTAATGTATGAGGGTTTCAATTTCTCCATATCCTCACCAATACTTGTTATGATCTGCCTTTTTTATTATACCCATCCTAACAGGTATGAAGTGGTATCTTATTGTGATTTTTATCAGCATTTCCCTAATGACTAATGATGTTGAGTATCTTTTCATGTGCTTATTGGCCATTTATATGTCTTCTTTGGAGAAATGTCTATTCAGAGATCCTTTGTCCATTTAAAAATTGGCTTATTTGTCTTTTTATTGTTGAGTTGCAAGAGTTCTTTATATAATCTGGATACAGGTCGCTTATCAGGTATATAATCTGCAAAAAAAAATTCCCATTCTGTGGGTTGTGTTTTAATTGTCTTGATGGTGTCCTTTGAAGCACAAGCATTTTTGTTTTGATGTAGGCCAATTCGTTTATTTTTTCTTTTGTTGCTTGTGCTTTTAGTGTCGTATCTAAGTAACCACTGCTGAATCCAAGGTCATGAAGTTTTAATTTATGTTTTGTCCTAAGAGTTTTATAGTTTTGCCTCTTATATATAGGTATAGGATCCATTTTGAGTTAAGTTTTCTATGTGAGTTGAGATAGGGGTCCAAATTCATTCTTTTGCATATGGATATCCAGTTGTCCCAGCAACATTTGTTGAAAAGACTATTCTTTTCCCATGTAATTGTCTTGCATTTCTGCTTCACTGATTCCAGTTAGGAGTGGAGGTTCAGTTCCTTACTCAACAGGGTAGTGGGATGAGGGGAAAAGGGAGAGGATTAAGGCCAGTAGTGTGGAAAATCAATTGACCATAATGTAAGAACTTTTATTTCTTGGATCTCAATTCAATTCCATGGATCTATATGTCTCTCTTGTGACAGTACTACACTGTCTTAATTACTATAACACTGTAGTATGTTTTGAAATTAGAAACTTTGTTCTTTTTCGAGATTGTTTTGGCTATTTTCGGTCCCTTGTATTTCCATGTGAATTTTAAAATAAGCTTGTCAATTTCTGCACATAGCGCAACCTGAATTTTGATAAGGATTATATTTAATCTGTACATCAATTCAGGCAGTATTAT
The DNA here is from genome assembly GCF_000001405.40 of Homo sapiens. Lineage (NCBI taxonomy): Eukaryota > Metazoa > Chordata > Mammalia > Primates > Hominidae > Homo > Homo sapiens. The sequence continues at coordinate 43,799,563 of NC_000003.12, read as the reverse complement.
TATCTTAACAATACATTATATGTCTTCTGATCCATGAACATGGGAAGTCTTTCTATTGATTTAGGTTTTCTTTAATTTCTTTCAACAATCGTTTGCAGTTTTTAGAATTCAAGGCTTGCACTTTTTTGTTAAATTTATTCCTAAGTACAGACGGTCCTCAGCTTATGATGGTTCAACTCACAAATTTTTTGACTTTACGATGGTGTGAAAGCAATATGCATTTACTAGAAACTGTACTTCTCTCACAATGCTGGGCACCTCCCAGTCAGCCACACATTTTTGACTTACGATATTTTCAACTTGTAATGGGTTTAGCAGGATGTAACCCCATTGTAAGTGGAGGATCATCTGTATTTATTATTTTTAATGCTTGTGTATATTGGATTTTTTTATTTTTTATTTATTTATTTTATTATTATTATTATTTTTTGCCCAATGCCATTCTCAGATTGTTCATTGCTGGTGTATAGAAATTTAGTTGATTTTTGTATATTGGTCTTGTATCTTGCAACCTTTTAAAACTCATTTATTAGTTCTAACTTTTTTACTCTTTAGGATTTTCTATATATAAGATCATATCCTCTGCAAAAAAATATAGTTTTAACCTCTTTCTTTTAATCTGGATTTCTTTTAATTTTTTTCCTTACCAAATTGTCCTAGCTAGCACCTCCAGTATAATGTTAAATAGAGGTGGTGACAGCAGACATCCTTGTCTAATTCCTGATCTTAGGGAGAATGCTTTCAGTATTTCACCATTAACTATAACATTATCTGTGGGTACCATACAAATTTAACAAAACAGCTTTAAGTTTCTGGGCTTTCTGTCTAGTTAAAACAGACTTTTCAAAGTTAAACATATGTTCACCTAAAATTTCCTCTAGAATTTTTATAATTTTATTTTTAATTTTATTTGTTGTATTTTTTAGTTCTATAATTCCTTTTTGGTTCTTTTTTTGTAATGTCTATTCCTTCGCTGAGAATGCCTATTTTTAAAGTTGTCTTATGAGAATTTGTTAAAACTTGATGTATTTTCATGATGGCTGCTTTAAAATTCTTACCAGATAATCCCAGCATCTAATTCATCTCAGTATTGATGTCTGTTGATTTTTTTTTTCATTCAAGTTGAGATTTTCCTGATTCTTGGTGTTATGAGTGATTTTTCTATTGTATTCTGGGCCTTTGGGATATTCTGAGACTCTGGACCCTATTTAATTCTGTTTTTAGCAGGCAGTCCACATATTGAGGTGTAGCATACAGAGCCCTTCTTTGGGCTGCACTGACATTACCTCAGCAAAAGTAGAGCACTGATCCTCGCTCATTGCAGAAAGGTGAGGTAGAGGTTCAGCTTGCCCCTTGGCCCCACTAGAGCTTCTTAGTGAAAGTGGGGTACCCACTGATACCACCTCATTGCCGTTAAGTAGCTGTGTAAGTTCGGTACCCCACTGGGCCTGACAGGCACCAGGAGAGGAGATGGGGGGAACAGAGTCCTATCTCCCACCACTCACTCCACTTCATGAGGCCAGATGGGTGTGGAGGTTCAGTTTTCTCTTGGGCTGCTGACACCAGGGGGAAAGGATAAAAGATAGTGGGGACAAGCCTTGCCTGGCACCACCTCTTTAAGTCAAGCATTGCTGGATGAGGACAGCGGATCATCTCACCACGGGACCCTTTTGACATTGCCCAGGCAGGGGCATTAGAGCACTGCCTACCTCTACTGGGTGAAGGATGGAAAATCAGCTCCTCTCTCAGTCCCAGAGCGGAATTGGAGTTACCAACTTTCTCTAAGTGGGGAATAGATCAGCTGCCTGCAGGAGAATTGGAGCGCCACCTCCACTTCCACCCAGAAGCTCACCAGAAGGGAATCAAAGCACAGAGATTATTAGACAGCCTGTGTTTTTCCTACCTTTCAGAGTCTTCCTATGCTCATTTGTTGTGTTATGTCCAGGGCTTTTTAGTTGAAAGAAGGAGGACTTAGGAGAAATTAATCTACTTCATCTTGGCTGGGAATGGAAGTTTTATTATTTTGTGTTTTATGTTTCAGTCTTCAATACATCTGAAATTTATTTTTGCATGAGGTGTAATGTACGGTCCAACTTTATTTCCTTTCTGATGGATAGCCAGTTGTATCATTCTAATTTATCAAAGAAAGCATCATTTTCTTATCCAATCTAAATAATACCTGTTCTGTATATTAAATTCCAATATATGCTGGGATATATTTCTAGCTTCTTTATTCTGCTATCACCATACTCTTTTGACAACAGGAGTTTTGTAGCATATTTTACTGTTACGCAAGGCAAGTACAACTATTGTTTTTATTTTTAGATTATTCTTGGATATATACCCTTCTTTATAAACTTCAAGATCATTGTGCTGTGAAGGTTAACTTCAGCACGACTGGAATTGGCTTGAACTGTCTTACTGAAATAAGAGATGAATCTTCATGGCATTCACCTCTAGTCAAGGTATGAAATGTTCCAATTAATAATGTTGCCTTGTAACCATGGTCTACACATATCCCTTCTGTTCATGTTGCATCAACTAAGTCAAATTATATGGTCATGCTTGACTTCAAAAGGGTGGGAATGTAATCCCGCTATGGGGAGGGCTTTGGGGTGTCGGTGAATATTAATCCACCTGTTGTATTAGTCTGCTTGGGCTGCCACAACAAAATACTACAGACTAGGTGGCTTAAACATTTATTTTCTCACCGTTCTAGAGGTCTAAGATCAAGGCGTCAGGGTTGGTTTCTGATGAGACCTCTCTTCCTGGTTTGCAGACAGCCACCCTTTTAGTGTCCTCACATGGCCTTTCCTTGGGGCTCGCTCAAAGAAAGAACTCTCTGCCATCTCTTCCTCTTCTTATAAGGATCCTAATTCTATGAGATTAGGTATCCACTTTTATCTCATTTAACCTTAATTATCTCCCTAAAAGCCTCATCTCCGAATATAGTCACATTGTGGGTTAGGGCTTTAACCTATAAGGGTTTTTTTTGTTTTTTGTTTTTTGTTTTTTCCGGCAGGGAGCAGTGGGGAGGAGAAACGATTCAGCCCCTAACACCTGTAATGTGTTATGGGATGCTATGATGCATTGTTCAGATCTCCCTTCCGTACTGGGGCACAGTACTGTGCTGATATTGCCACAGCTGCTGACTCACAGCTGAGTCCCTCTCCAGGAACTGCCCTTGGCCAAAGGAAGAGGCCTCACCCAATGTCATACCCTATTCTTGGGGCATCTTGCTTCAACTGAGACAACTCCAGGGCTCAGCTGTAGGACCAGCTGAGGTCTCCATGGCAGCTGCATCACACACAGCCCGACTTCTCCTCCACCGACTGCTGCTTTTCTCCCTTGTCCCTCAACAGAGGTTGATCCTAATTAACTCCCAATAAATTCATTGTGTGCCAGTCTCCATCTCAGAGTCTGGTTCCTGGGAACCTGACCTAGAATGAGCCATGTCCTCTCGAGTCCGAAACAGGCTTTTAACCACTAACCATTTTCAGTCTGTGGACACTTCTCTCTGCTCCAGCTGTCTCTCACCTTTCTGAGACCAGACCTGGTCAGTCTGGGGTGGGATTATCATAATCCCTTACCTCTCTGTCCTGGAAGATGCACACACATCAGCATCTGAATAAAACTTCGTAATTACTAATCTATTGAGACTACAGGATTGCAAGTCCGTGACTTCACCTTTATTCTTTATAAGGAACAATTTGAACATATAGGGCCACTAATTTCCTCCTCCTGTTCTCAAACAGGAACTTGAGACCCACGTAGAGTTCCCTTTGCTCTATCCTTCAGAACAAGAAGGTGGCTCTGTCCCTGGGACAACCTGGAAACCCTGGGGCAGCCCATTATCACACTTGGGGCCGGTTGATCATTGTACAGAAGGGAGCATGTTGCAACCCAAGTCATAAACTCATGGCAAGTACTAAGCAGTTAAGTACAAAGCAGAAATCTTAAAATCCCAAGGTAATTATCTTTTCTGTCTTTGAGCAGGAGACTGGGTTCTCCTTTCCTCAGGCCCCTCAAAAAGAAAACTGTATATTACATTGTAATTCATCTTTGAAATACTTGGAAACTTCAAGTATAATTGCTGATTAATGGGCTGGAATGTACAATTAATGTGCCAGATTTACCATCACCATGGCCCTGCAGTCGCCCTCTTGGGGACCTTCTGAAACCAATGACTTGATAGTTAATGGGGGCAGGGATGCTGCACATGGAGCAGAATGGAGAGGAGAAAAGCAAGGAACAACAAGATTACTTTCCAAAGACTGTTATCCATCATCATATGTGTACAGAGAGGTATCTACATGTGCACACCAATGAGGTTAAACATTGGGCATCCCACCACACCTGAGTCCATCTGGTCAGCTTTATTTGGCAATTTCTTGCTGAATCTCAGATCTGAACATTGGATAGACTTTGAGAACATCATCTGAGGGGTGGGTTGGACTGAGGGCCTCTGAGTCCCTCTTCAGCTGCCTACATGACAGGGAAACAGGAAGAAGCTGGTCCCCTCCCCACCATGTCTGTGAAGGTGGCATCTCCAAGGTCTGCTTGCTGTTGCAACTCAGAGACACCGTGAAATCAGAGGCCCAGAAGCATTGCTCAGGTTTGAGTCATTCTCACTGCCCAGAAGCCCTCAAGGTTGGAACAGATTTCCCCTGAAATGTTGCCTGTTGGGTTGTTTTATCATCAAGTCTGTTATGATCCAGCCTCAAGTCAGAGAGAAGATCCACTCTTTCTGGTCTCTTGAAAAACCAGAAAGTAATGAAGTAATAATGGCTGACACTTATTGAGCTTTGCCTGTGTCCCAGGTGCAACTGTAAGGCCTTTGGCTGATTAATTTATTTAATCCTCACCTCAATCCTATGAGGTGTCTTATTAGCTCATCCTGCAATGAGAAAACTGAGGCATAGAGAAGTTAAGTAATTTGCTGGGGTTCACGCTAATATTAAGTATTATGTGTGGTTTGTGGGGAGGGGGTGCCACTAAGCTTTGGCCCCCAGGAGCCTTGTTTCAGAGCTTGTCTTCCTTGCTATGGTATGCTGCAGGGAAGCATACCATAGCAAACTTTTTAAAGGACTTTTTGGTTTTTTTTATTTGTTTGTGTTTATGTGTTTAACTGTAACACTTGTTTGCAAGCTTTCCTGTCTCCTTTGGGTTCACAGGTTTCCCTTTTAAACTACAAATATCTCCCAAGAGAGCTTTGAGGTCACCAGCTTTGCATAATTCAGTATGAATTCATGACCTAGCTCACCTTCTGCAGCCAGTGACCTTTCTCTGGATGACAGGTCTGGGGAAGGGGAGTGAATTTTGAGAGCTGGGAAACATCTATTCGGAAAGAGAGATCAGCTGTGGAACGGGACACTGCTCTGCGAATCAAGACTCCGGACAACCAGGGGCCATGCGGAGGGCACTAGAGGCTGGGGAGGGGCTGCTACAGCCCAAGAGGACTTCTGAGAAAGAGGGGAGGTCACCAGAGAAAGACTGCCCGCTTTCCAAATGTGTAGGGAGGCATGGGCCCCTGAAAGCCGTCTCATCTTCTGTGTTCAGTCTGTGCATTCACCCTGGTTGCTGCTCTTCAGCCTCATGTTCCAGGTCCTGGACGTTTCAGTTTATACTGGGGCTGGTGATCCAGGTTCAGCTATACCACACCTGTCCCTGCAGAGGATACAGTTCCTCACACACAGGTGGCCACATTCTACATTGCATCTCCACTCTGCTTCTCATGCCCTGCCCCCACCTCTATAGCCACACTGATTAAACCAGGGGAGGGCACCTGAAGCACTCCCTATATTCGGGTAGACACCTGAATTCTCAGCAGCTGCTTGAGATGGTTTCCCACATTCTGATACCTTCCCACCTCTGGCATTGTGTCTCTCTCCTCTGCTCCAGGACTTTTTCTGGCACAAGGAGCTTGGTCAGATCAATGGGGTTGTGGAGGAGGGAGACATAATGCCCTGGGGTCATGCCTCAATCAGTTAGGGACTGGAGTTGGTAGATAAAGGCTCCAGCCTCCTGCTCCTGCATGGGGAGAATTCTGTGGCAGGTTTCCTTCAGTATGGCACAGGGTCCCCAGCAGGATGGAGCCTTCCATGCTTTGGATATAAATTGCCCCTTAGCACACTTTTGTTAGCTTTCCTCCCTTCCCGATCTCACTTCCCCATCATCCCAGCAAAACTTGAGATAAGAACTTGGGTGCAAGCAGTTTATTTGTGGGAAAGCAAGGGAAAGAAGAGAGGAAAGCCCAAAAAGGGTTCCTTAATGAGCAAGTTGTTTCCAGGCCGTGTGGAGATTTTTGAGTGAGTGCAGAACCCTGCTCAGTGCTGTCCTGTAGAAGAACAGGGAAGCTGTGAGGTTCACCTACTCAGTCCCTCCCCTTGGTGGTGGAGAGCTGCCACTGGGAGGGAGCATTACATTCCTGGTACTTTTGTGCCAAGGCTGCTCTGAAGCTCGAGAAAGCCTTCAGGCAGGAAGAGCCAGAAAGGAGGTGCTGCCTACAGGGACCTTCAGAGTGGGCCTTAGGAGTGTGGGTGGGGTGCCAACAGGAACTGATACATCTGTGAGTTTATGAGGCCTTGAAGCTAAAGCAAAGCAGAGGCTTAAACAGCAGAGGCTTATATTTTATCAGAAACACTGACCCCATGCCCTATTTTTGCCTCTAATGGTTCCACTTTATTTCTGAATATTGGCACCAAGAATTTGTTCTGCATTTCTGGGGACTCTAGAGGCAGAATCAGACCTTCCTGAGCTGATAAATACGTTCTGTAAGACCTGCCTCTCTTTCATTTTACAGAGGATTTGGGTCTTTGTTATGGTGAAAGGAAGTAAAAAAACAACTCAAATAAATGGAATACTTATTCCAGCACTAAAGATTACTATTGCGGGATATTGCACCATATCTTTTTTTCTGGTGAATTATTAATTAAGCCTGTTTTTGTTTAATGCCTGCTAATAATTTCTAAAAACAGATCTACAACTTCAGCTGTAAATGCATGTCCATGAATCACTCCACTAAACTCAATTGTATGGTTAGCAAAAACCTCTGACGATAGAACAACCTCATCTTTTCAACCTTCTTCTCTGGAGGCCCTGCAGAATGGCAGACAGACCACAGTAAGACCCAGGAAGGACAAGAGAGGGAAGTTGAAATAAAGCTTTCCAGGTCTTGAACATCCTTGTTCAAGGAATAATGAAGAGAATGAAAATCTGGAAAAAGGACATTGAAAGAAGTGACTTTCTAACTGCTAACTTTGAGTCCAGGAGAGGAGCAACCCCACACAAAGTTCATCAGGCAGCATCAGATGCCCAGGATTTTCCTCATAGCAACCCTAAGGGATAGGTGCTCTGATCCCTAATTCACACAGTGGAAAACTAAGGTTCAAAGAGGCCTGATAAAAGGCAAAGCTAGGGCTCAAACCCAGGACAGTGTGGTGCCAAAGCCTTGGTCTTCCAAGGACTCTACTGCCAATCAAATGGCTTTAAAGTTCACATAGTTTCTTTCCCCCATGAGGGAAAGGAATAAAAAATTCACCCTGTTCCCTCAAGAAGGAATCTTGGGGATAGAGATGAAGCAATTGGCAAGGGCTATTTTGAAAATCCTGTCAAGGAGATTCTGACATCTGCCCCAATCCTTTCATTAGGAACCATTGATTTTCTGCTCAATAAACTGACCCTATCCCAAATGCCACTGGATTAGATCAGTGTCTTATGGAGTCACTCATTCAGTGGATATTGATTTAGTGCCCACAGTGGCCAAATACTGTGCTAGACACTGAGGGTCCAACAGGGACCCAAATCGGACATGCCCCTTGCTCACAGTCCACTGCAGGGATAAGCATGAATTGAATATAAAATCATCTCTGTGATGCCGTAAGAGTCCACCTCAGGGAATGCGACCTCGGGAAGTGATGACTGAGTTCTGATCAGAAAGTGAAGTAAGAACTAACAAGGGACAAGAAGAAGGAACATTCCAGACAGAGGACCCAGCATGGACAAAGGTCTGGTGGTGGGTGCTGAATGCAGACCACTGCATTCAGAGGGAAGGGGTGAATGTGTGGGACATGACAGATGGTGGCCAGGCTCTGCAGGGTCTCAAAGTTTGTGTTGAGGGGAACAGTGGGAAGACAAGCTGGGCTGTAAGCAGAGGTGGACATAATTCATTTCCCATTGTGAAAAGATCCCCCTGATTGCAATGTGAGGACCATGGCAAAGAGGACCAGAAGGGAGTCAGACAGGACACAAGCTCACCAGTCCAGAGATGGTAGCAAGCACCCAGGGCAAAGGAGAAGAGCAGCTGGGCAAGGGAAGAGCAGCTGGGACTCATGTGCCTGTGATGAAGAGTCAGAGCCAACACAAGAAACATTTAGAAGGTAAAGTCATCCAATCCAAGGGATGGACTGGACAACACCAGCATTTGGAGGAGGCAGAAGAAAACATCAAGGATGTCTCTGACATTTGCAACTGGATGGATAAATTGCAGTTCACTAAGATGGGGAAAGGTCCTGCTATAGTTTGGGTGGGGGCTGGGGGAATCACGTGTCCAGTTTGACCTCTGAAATGCCTTTGAGATTTCCAAGAGAAAATGTCAAATAGGTAGTTGGAAAGATCTAAGCCTCACAAAACAGTGTGTGAGTCATCCCTTTTTTTGTGGTGGAACTTCGAGCTGCGGTCCTGGATGGGTGCTAGAAGGAGAGGAAGCCTAGAAGGACATTGTCTCCTTTGCAGGCCTATGTGCCCACCCAAAAGACCCCACGCTGTCAGAAAAGACATCACCAAAGGCAAGCCTAGAAGTAGGTGATGGTGTGGGCTCCAAGGGAGTGTGTCCGGAAGGTGGAGATGGTCAAAGCGCTGCATGGTACTGAAGTACCATGCGCATTGAGAGTTGAGAAATGTCCCTTGGACCTTGGACTGGGCAACGTGAAACTCAGGAGAGCACCTATGTCTAAATGAAGGGGAGAAGCCAGGCCAAAGTGGGCTGAAGTACCAGCAGGAGAGAGAAAATGGGGTCAGTGAGCACAGCTCTCATTTCTAATTAGTTCGATTGTGAAGGGAGGACACAGAGGGAAGAGTGGGGAAGAAGAGTGTGGTGGGAGAGAACCGTATTTAAATAGAAGAACAGTGGCAGTATTTACAAATGAGGGAAAGGCTCCAGGGGCATGCACAGAGAGGTGGGCGCCCACAGCCCTCATGAGAGCCCTGCAGCAGCAGCCAGTTTCTGGCAAACACCAGGGTGTATCCGTCTGTCTTCATGCCTCTCCCAATGCCTCCTCTGGCCCCTGGGGAGCTTGCTTGCCTGTGATGTGCAGCCTGGAAATGCAGGGGTTGATGTCCCCAAGCAACCCTCAAGCGTGTGGGGTGGAATTAGGTGGGTCAGTGCCTCAGCCTCCCTGTCCTCAAGCAGGATGCTTCAAAGCTGTGCTCCCTGCAGTCTCCCAGAGGGTCCCCAAAGGGCGCTGAGCCCCACTTGCCCCTAGTTTTAGGTCATGTATCAACTACTCTTTACTGGCTACTCTTTCTCTCCCTTCCCTGCTTCACTTCCTCTACTTTCTCCCTAAACTTCCAGGGATTACCCAAGTCCACATCTCAGGGCCTTCTTTAGGGGCACCTAAGCTAGGATGGGGTAAATGTCCTAGGGAGGCAGGAGGCATTGGGTTGCCAACTGGAGGCAGAGGAACTCTTCAGTTTTTTCACGTGGAGAGCGAGAGAGCAGAGGGGTGAGTACAGGCAAGCTTCTGGGTTTGCTGTCAAGAAGAGCGGTGAGGCCAGGCACGGTGGCTCATGCCTGTAATCCCAGCACTTTGGGAGGCCGAGGTAGGCAGACCATGAGGTCAGGAGTTTGAGACCAGCCTGGCCAACATGGTAAAACCCTGTCTCTACCAAAACTATAAAAATTAGCAGGGCGTGGTGGCGTGCATCTGTAATCCCAGCTAATTGGGAGATTGAGACAGGAGAATTGCTTGAACCTGGGAGGCAGAGGTTGCAGTGAGCTGAGATTGCACCTCTGCACTCTAGCCTGGGCGACAAGAGCAAGACTCTGTCTGAAAAAAAAAGAGGAAGAGGGGTGAGTCCTCACTGATGTCTTCACATGTCTGTAATGGGGTCGGCCAGGCCACCTGCTGGAAAAGAAGCAGGGAGAGGTAGGTCAGAAATGTGAAGTTTCTAGAGAAGGTTGAAATAATTTGTGTGAGAGTGAGATGCCCCAAGAAAATAGGAGGGTTTCTAGGAATGCTGAGGGTCCTGTTGAGGCTGGTAATCAAGAGTTTGTGATGGAATCAACCTGCCCTGTTGTGTACATTTCTCCAGCAGCCCCCAGCTGCTCTCAGGCAGGGGAAGAGAAAGTGAGCAGGTGGGCTCCCCAAGAGGGGCCACATGGGCGGTAATGCCAGAAAGAGGTGTTGAAATCATGAGCCTGTGTTGGATAAGGAGGAGAGAAAGAAAGGAGAGAGCTGATGGAGTAAGACAGGGGCTGGAGACTCTTTCTGCAGAGGGCCAGGCAGTGAATGTTTTAGGCTTTGGGGTCACACTGTCTCTGTCACAACTACTAGGCTCTGCAGTTGCAGCAAGAGAGCAGCTGTAGACAGTACCTGCATGGGCAGACTGTGTGCCAATAAAACTTTACTCACAAAACAGTCAGCCTGTAGGCCCCAGCTCACTGAGCCCTGGAGTAAGATACAGAGGAGGGGCCGGTTGTGGTGGCTCATGTCTGTAATCCCAGCACTTTGGGAGGCCGAGGTTGGTGGATCACTTGAGGTCAGGAGTTCGAGACCAGCCTGGCCAACATGGTGAAACCCCATCTCTACTAAAAATACAAAAATTAGCCGGGCATGGTGGCATGCACCTATAATCCTAGCCACTCGGAGGCCAAGGAAGGAGAATCACTTGAACCCGGGAGGCAGAGGTTGCAGGGAGCCGGGATCATGCCACTGCACTCCAGCCTGGGTGACAAAGTGAGACTCCATCTCAAAAAAAAAAAAAAAAAAAATACAGAGGAGGGTTAGGTTTAATGTCTTCAGAATTATGAGGCTTTAGTGAGGATGAGTTCCAGGGTGTGGCTAGGAGGTGGCTGGAAGGAACCAAGGAGATCATTACTGGCAAGGTGGAGATGCTGGCAGGCCTGGGAGTTGGATGATCATCCATGAGAATACAGACATCTCCCAGGAGAAAGATAGAACTTCGGGCAGGACAGGGAGTGGAACCCAGGTTGCCAGTCATGGATGAATGAAGGAAGGGCCTGGAAGTTCAGCAGATGACAGCAGAGAGGGGTGGCTGAATAGCATGCACTCCTCAAAGAAGCAGGGCTGGTTGGCTGGGAAGGCAGTCATCATCTGGAAGATCCCAGAGGGATAAAGGCATAAAGGGGTGAAAGATGTGTTTGAAGCAGGTGAGCACCAGGCCTGGTGGCCAGGGGGTCTTGTGCCACTGATACATTTTCTATAGAAATTAAGATCAGTTTTCCCTTCAGGAGCCCAAAGGAGCTGCTGACTTCTGCTGCTGAAAATATCTACATTCTCTCCCCATTTCCAACCAGGGTAATCTTTCAGAAGCCTATTTCTGACTGCCTCTCCCATGGCCCTAGAATCTTCTATGGTGCACCACTGCCTACCAAGTAGATCCCAAAACTTCTCAGCAAGACATTGAAATCCCTCACCATTTGTCTCCCACCTACTCTTCTAACTCACTCACCCATCATGCTTCAGCAAACCAAATATCGAGTGTTACCCATACCCGCTCCACAAATTTTCACTTTTTCCTTTATGTCTTTATCAGAAAGACTTTCCACTTCCATCTCTCAACCCCTGACCCATTCTTCCAGACCCAGCTGCAGCGATATGTCCACAATGAACCTCTCTCTGGGACCTCAGCAGAAGGTGATCTTGTTCCCATCTCTGTGCTGCCAGAATGGAATTTGGATAAGATTACAGCCTACACAGGCTAAAAATGTGGGGTCCCTTAAAACCTGACCTTTTCAAACTGTTTGTTCAACACTGGGGGGTGATGTGGAAGGGGCTGAGGATGCAGGTTGCCGACAGCCTATACTGGTGGCCCCAGTGTGTCAGCACCAGCTCCCAACTCAACACAGCACTTGGCAAAGCAGGCGCCCTTCAGCGGTCCTCTGTTGTTACCTGCACTGGCCCTTGAGTATTCTCCAACCCACACTATCTCAGACTATTCCTCCCAGCTGTGCAAATCTCTCTTTGAAAGAAATTCTGCTAAATATCTTTTTCTCCTTCCCATGGTGTTCCCTGTGAGTTGCAGCAGCTCTAATGGGCCAGCAGTTCTTGGCCCCTGCTGGAGCCACCGCCCCATCTCTACCCCCAGCACATCTCCCCTGCTCCCGTGCACTGTGGTTTGGGGCTGCCTGTGGCTCCTACTCAATTATGACATCACTACTCCATGTTTTCACCTCCACACTGCCTTGCACGTACCTGGTACTCAGCAGAGGTTTACAAAATATTTGCAGAAAACATCTGAGCTGGCCCTGTGGTTGTCTCATCCTCTCGCTCCCACAGGCACAGCTCACTCTGCTGGTTTGGACGGACCCTCAGAGCTGACCCTGCATAGCTGAGGGAAGCTTAAGTCATGGGAGCCTGGGAAATATGGCATTGGCCCCAGCAGCATGTTCAAGGAGAGCAGTTGCTATAGGATGACACCACTGAGACTTCTGGGGAAAAGGACTCTAGTCCGAGATGGTACCCACCAGTGTCACAGCGCTTGGCCCCTCTACCCTTTTAGGGAGCAGGAACCCCAAACTCACCAGGCTTGGTCCAGTCAGTCTCCAAGCCTGCAGCCCCAGCTCCCTCCCAGAGGGCTCACCCAGGCCAAGGGTGCTGGACCTTCAAAAGCACAGGACCGAGGAAGTGGCAGCAGCTCCACTGAAGGCAGCTCCTTCTACCAACCCTCTCAGGGCCCCTTGGGGCAGATTTTGCCTTGGAGACTCAAAACTTCGGTGGTGTGGACTCAGCTCCAGGCAGGTCCAGCTCCCTTCCCTGGACTGGAATAATCTGGAGGCACCCACAGGGGCCAGCTCCCCTCATCAATTCTACGTCTTCCTGAAAATGTACTTTTAAGCCCCTTAATTGCATTTCAGAGATAACCCTGCAAGCAAAGTGGCAGGAAGAGAAACTATAGAGAGAGGTTGGTGGTCAGGCCCTTTGTTTTAAATCAATCAAACATCTGTGACTAATGCAGCTTTGGGCTGCTCCTCAGGAAGCATTAGCCCTATTAGTAGGGGCTGGCAGGAACACAAAATAAGATATTTATGGGCTGGGCACGTGTGCATTACCGTGGGGACCACAGGGCTGGAGTGGGGCTGGGGAGGAGAACAGCACGGGTCAGCATGTTTGTGCAGTTCACCTTGGGGGCCCATGCCCAGCAGGGTGGCAGAGAGCCCCAGGTTACTCCCATGGTGCCCCACACACCTGGGCACTTTCACATGTTTCTGTCTGCTCAGTGGAGAGGACTCTGACTTTCTGCCCTAGCTTTGACAACAGTTGGAAAACTATAGCAAGTCATCCTGTCACTCTGGGCTCTGGGCTTCAGTCATGAAGTATAAGGAGACATTTGTCCTCTGAAGTGCCTTCTCTGAGCTCTGAGCACATAAATGTGTATGATGGGTTGGGGAGATATTTTGCTACTTAAAACCACAACTATCTTCTCGGAAGGGAAGCCTCTGGTTTAACACAAAGCCCTTGGGTGGTCTGAGTGTCAATTGGCTTGGAGCTGTGTTTGGGAATAAGGAGGGAGTGACAGGGAGAGACAGGACTGCGGTGCGGGCAGGAGGAGGAGCAGAGAGTGGGACTGGAAGGGAGATGACACACTCATAGTGTGAAGTGGGATGAAGCAGCCGTGAGAAATCGCTGGTTAGAGACAGGATGCCTGATGCTGACGTGGAGCTATTGAGAGCAGTGTTTAACAAGGCTCTTCCCAGTCCACAAATCGTTAGTAAAGGTTCTGTTATAAGCAACCGCCTTGTGCTTGTGGTTGCTTTGGGAATAGAATCAAGAAGGAGTTGTGCTTTGTGATGGATAAAAATAAGGGTGAAGGTAACAAAAGAGTCACTGAGACAGAGCAGGGAGCACAGAGTACAAGAATTTCTCGAAATCTTGAACCAGGCTTCAAGGGTGGTCCCCAGGATGGGAGTGAAGCTGCGCAGCCTCAGCTGACATTGGGGTTTACACAAGCAATGCAAGATAAAGGCAGACCTGCTTCCCCCACATTTGCTGAAAATTAGTGACTGACTCTGCCACCTCATCTTTGGAGTGATGGAAAGATCCAGTGTGGAAGCTGTAGAGACAGACCCGACTGGGTTGCCACTAACTCATCCCATGACCTTGGTTAGATATTTCCTCAGTATCAGGATCCACTTAGCAGGCAGAAAAATGCTTTCCTCCCAGGACTGCTGTGCCCACTAAATGGGAACACGAATATTTCTTAGGCACTGCATCAATTAACTGCTGTTGTTTAACAAACCACCTGAAAATTTGGTTGCTTAAAACAATCATCTTTTACTCCAGTTCTGTAGTTTGGGCTGGTCTCAGCTGGGTGGCTCTTCTGTTGGTCTTGCCTGTGAAGCTCATGAAGCTTTATTCACCTGAGGTTGGACTGGGCCTGGGTGGTCCAAAATGTCCTGACTTACAGGTCTGGCGTCTGACAAGCTGTTGGCAGAGTTGCCTTGGTCAGAATCCTTTACACGGCTGCTGGGCTCCAGGAGGGAAAGCCTCAATGCACAAGAGCCTACCAAGCCTTTGCTTGCATCACACTGGCTGATGACCCATTAGTCAAAGCAAGTAACGTGACCAAGTCTAGAGCCCATGTGGGCAGGGATTGCGCATGGGCCTGGATAACAGTGGGTGTGCTTTGCTGGGGACCATGATGGTAATAATCCACCACAAGCACTTGGCAGAATGCTTGGGATACAGAAAATCTCAAGGAAAGCAAATGCTATATTCATCTGTTTCTGTATTCCAGCATCATCTTCACCCTGGACAGGGTCAGGGGAGCACTGGGAGGTATGTCAGTGCAGGCCTCGCCCAGCTCAGCACGGGCTGGCCCAGAAAGCTCCACGGTTATTCTTTATTTATTCCCTCTCAGTACAGGTGGTGTGGTGGACTACCTGGGTGGGGCTAAATCCACACCAGCAAGCCCAGTCTCATTAGCATGCTCCTTCCTTGGCCTTCCCAAGGCACCATCACTGGGTATGATAATAGAACCACAAAACAGTGTGTATGTAACAATGGCCTGCAGTTCCCGGCACTCAGAGCTCCCTGCTTCCCAGTTCCCTCAGAGAAGAACACAGCACTCAAGGTGGAGTCAGGCTAGCTGTGTTCTGCTCTGGAGGACAGTAGAACAGGCACAGGGACCTCTCACCCAGTGCACCTGGTGCCAGCTTGCAGCTGTGCCCACTGGGTGTGAACCTGGCCGGAGTAAAGACCGTGGGTGTGGAGCCAGACTTGAATACTCTCAAGCCTCCTTCCCCACCTGCCATCTCACTGATCCAATTGGTCCCACCTCCAGCCACACCTGCCTGTTGGGGTTCCTCACACCACCCCAAGCTTCCTTCATCTTGGGGCCTCCACACCCAATGCACCCTCTCCCCTAACAGCCTCCATCTTCCCTTGGTCAGCTCCTCCTCTTCCTCTAGGTCTCAGCACAAATTTCCCATCCTCCGAGATCTCTGCCATGTCACTCATCCCTCCAAGCTGAAACTGACCATCTGGCATCCTCTCTTGAAGCACCCTCTAGTTTTCCTTTGTGGCGTTTTATCTCAATTTGTCACTGTGTATTTACTTGTGTGAATATCTGCTAAGCATCTATTTCCACATCTCATACTCAGCTCCCTCCTTGAGAGCAGGCTCTGCCTCTGCTTTGTGCATCAGTCTATCCAAGCATTTGTGGGGTGCTGGGAATACAGCAGGCACTTAGCAGATATTTATGAGTTAATTAACAGATATGCATAGAGCTTGACTTATGATTATTGATGAATTGTCATGAATACTCTTGCAGACAGCCTGGGAAAGTGTAACAAGAGTCAGGAGTAAGGGTGGCTGTAGAAAGTGCCAGGGCACATCCCTGTCGCTCTTATGCTCTGCCCCGCTCAGGAAGGCCCCAGCTCCCAGCCACCAGTTTCTAGCTGCAACCCTGAGTGGGGATGAAAGAGGGGATGAGAGATGCTGCATTAGGAGCCCAAAGCAGAAAAGGCACTTCTGTGGGGAGCTCACTACAAAGGGGCCCCAGTGGAGATGGCACAAGCTAGGGAGAGAAAAGAGAGGTATGGGGGCCAGATGGTGTGGCATGTGGTTCCTCTGTGCCCCTCATCTCCTCCCCTCCCACTCCTTGACTCAGCTCTTTTCTCTTATCCAGCTGATGATGAGTCTTGACAAAGTAGGCTCCTATAGCTAAGATGGGCCCAGGAGAAAGAAGGGAGCCGCTCCCTTTCCTCTGCAGGTGCCTTCCTTCTTCTCTCCTGCCCATTTTCATCTTCCCCCATTTACTGTAGTTGGAGCCTCTCTGACCTCACCAGCCTGTGGGTAATGGTGGGTTCTGGTCACAGATGGACACTGGGCCTGGACAGAGACTGCTGTGTGCCTCCAGGCTGAGGGTCCATGCTTCACTCCTCTCCCCTTCAACCCCAACGATCTTCCTTCCTGGCCCCTCAGACTGAGTGCCATGAGAGCTCCTCCCATATGCCCAGACAGCCCCAGATGTGGTTCCTGTCACATGGTTCCCCCGCTAGGCTATTGCCACCAGACTGTGAGGAGGTGACTCTTTCCTTATCCCTGGGGGTGCCCAGGCACTCCTTCCTTGCACTGAAACATCCCCCTCCTGTCACTGGCCCTAAGTCAGCATTGTCCCCAAGAGTTTGGCAAGGGCTGTCACACCCTCCCAGGCCCAGTCAGGAACCATAACCCTACCTCAGAGGAGCCAGCCTTCCAGGGAATGAGGCCACTGTCCAGGTGTCCCCAGGCAGGGTCACTGCTTTGCCTCCAAGAGCAGAAAAACCAAGTCCAACCCCAGACTGTTCCATCATAAAGCCCATGGAGGTTCTGTGAAGCCCAAGGACTTAGCAGAAGAAGAGAGAAGGGAACCTGGGCCTTGGGTCCTCGTCCAGGGTCTTGGCAGCTTTGCACTCCTGGGAGTGATGTCTTGGCCACCCTGCAACTCCCCACCCTCCTGTAAGTAAGTTTACAGAAACCTCAACAGTGACTGAGAACAGGAGGGTCTTGGAGGGCAGGGAGACAAGGACACAAGGCTTGGAGCAGGGTAGGGAGAGCCTCACCAGGGAGATGTTTCTTGCTCTCTATCTCATCAGAATCCTGGTACATTCCAGGCAGGCTCTCAGCAAAATTGTTTGGTGAACAGTCTCCTTCCCCTCAGTTTTAGGTGTCTCCAGCTTCATGCAGCCCTTCACTCAAGATTCATTTCTTCACTCACTCATTGCTTCAGTGCTGGAGCAGGCACCAAGCCAAGCCTCAAGTTTCACAATGCAAAAGCCACACACAGTCTGTTGGGGGACAATGGGCAAGTAAACAGATCCTCACACAGTGGATGGGAGGCTGTGGGACTCCCTAGAGGGGTATCTACCCTGATGGAGGGGGCTGGGCAGAGGAAAGATTTGGGGAGGTGCTATGTCTTAGAGAATAAGTTAAAGATTATGCCAGCAAAGAAGCATGGGAAATTCTGGAGAGGTAGGCAGGTCCACAGAACCTTGTAAACTGTGTCAGGGAGTTTGAACATGTCCTGAGAGCCATGGGGAGCCACTGAAAGGCTTTGAGCAGACTAGTGTGGCCAGATCTGAGATTTTTCATTGTTACTCTGGCAGCAGGGTCAATAATGCAATATAGAGTATGAAGCCTGGAGCAGGTGTGTCTTCAAGATTTCAGCCCCTCTAGCAAAGCTCTCAATGCTAAATCCTTACCTGCCCCCTACCCTAGGTTACCAGTTTCTAGTGGTTTCTAGGCCAATCTCTCTCTAACACTCCCCCTCCCTGCTGTATCAACATTTAATCACCCTGAGTCTCTGAATTTGGCATGTGCCCATGGCACCTGTATCCATGAGTGGTATCACCTACCCAGAAAACTATCTAAATACCATCAACTTCTCTCTCTTCCTTATAGCCACATGATCCATTCCCAAGTCCTGGTGATTCCATCTTCTAAATTATCTCTTCACTTCATTCCAGCTTTTTTTTTTTTTTTGGCTTCCTTGATCCTGGCCATCACCTTGTGCATGAATTTCTGTATTTATGCAAATACAAAATACAAAAAAAAATCTGTATTTGCATAAATACAGAAAATCATGCAAAAGATGAATGTAAAGTCCTTCGTATTAGTATCTACATCATGTAAAGGCCTTTGTTTTAGTCAGGGTAGACTAAATGATGCTGCAATAACAAATCTCAATGACTTAAAGAATGAAGGATTTTCTCTCATTCATACTGCATGTCCATTGTGAGTCAGATTTTTCTTTTTTCTTTTTTTTTTTTTTTGAGACAGAGTCTCGCTCTGTCGCCCAGGCTGGAGTGCAGTGGTGCGATCTTGGCTCACTGCAACCTCCGCATCCTGGGCTCACGCCATTCTCCTGCCTCAGCCTCCTGAGTAGCTGGGACTACAGGCGCCTGCCACCACGCCCGGCTAATTTTTTGTATTTTTAGTAGAGACGGGGTTTCACCATGTTAGCCAGGATGGTCTCAATTTACTGACCTCATGATCTGCCCACCTTGGCCTCCCAAAGTGCTGGGATTACAGGTGTGAGCCACTGCGCCCAGCCGCCCAGATTTTTCTTAAGCACATATGCGATCATCCCTGATTGTCATATATCCTTTCTACTCCAATATTATAGTCCTTATTCCTGAAGGACTGTGTCTGTTCTAAATTCTATCTCCCACAACTGACTCATTGCCTGGCATAAGGAAGTCAGGAAAAAATAATTGTTAAGTGAATGAGAAAAGATACAGCTCACACTGAGATATTCATCTTCGACAATGACTTATTACATTACCTTTGTTTTGGCCAGGATATAGGTGAGGATGTATATAACAGAGATACAAAAATGATAGGTGCTTCAATGAACTAGAGGTATATATCTTGCTCATATAAAAGTCCCAGCTGTATGAGGGCTCTGCTCTGCAAAGTCACTAAAGCCTGGGCTCCTTCTGTCTTGCTGCTCTGCCATTCCTAGGTATTCCCCTTGTCCTCATGATCAAACATGGCTCCCCTGTATAGCCAGCAGGAAGGGTAAGAGAGGAAAGAAGACACTCCCTTTCCCATCAAATGGGATGACCCAAAGTGTGTGCAAATCAATTCCCTTCATTTCCTATTGACTAGACCTTAGTCACATGGTCATATCTAGCTGCTAGGAAACAGGATATATGGTTAAGCTGGTCAGCCATGGCAGACCATTGAAGGAGAGATTCGGGACAGGAAGTTTTATGTTGCATCCTCCAAAGATTATTACTTTCCTGTGGCTTGCCCTATCAGGGAGCTGTGGGCCAGCCAGGAGGCAGCACATGCCCAATCCCAGGCCCCTCCCTTTGTAAGTTCCAGTTCTACCCGACAGGGACCTGCTGACAAAAGACAGGGCTGGAGAGCCAGCCTGAAGGCCCTGGGACCCTTCTATCCACATAGCAGGAGAAAAGTCAGCTATGCCAAGAAAAGGCTGGTTGGGTATCCGAGATCACATGCCAAGGTAGTCTCAAGCCCTGTCAATCTCACCTCCTGTATCTTGTGTTTGATCTTGCCTCCACCCTACTATTGGCTGATGTCTTATTCCATTTGTGTTACTAAAGGAACAACCTGTGATTGGGTAATTTATAAAGAAAAGAGGTTTATTTGTCTAACAGTTTTGCAGGCTGTACAAGAAGCATGAAGCCAGTATCCTTCACTCATGGCAGAAGGAGAAAGGGAGCCAGCATTTCACATGGCAAGAGAAGAGGACAGAGAAGGGGAGAGGAAGGAAGCACCAGGTTCTTTTAAACAACTCATGTGAACTAATAGAGTGGGAATCCACTCATTACCATGAAAAGGGCAACAAGCCATTCATAAGGGATCTGCTCCCATGACCCAAACATCTCCTATTAGGCCCTGCCTCAAACACTGGGGATCAAATTTTGATGTGAGGTTTGGAGGAGACAAATATCCAAACCACATCATCAAGACAGCATCATTTCCAACCTGGATGCATCCACAGGCTTCTGGCTAGTCTTCCACCTCCCTCTCAATCCCACTATCCCCTCTCCAATCCATTCTCCACCTAGATTAATCTGATAATGCTACCTCCCAATAACACAATCTCCAATGCCTTCCCCTACCAAATCTAGTAAAACCCAAAGACTTCACTTCAGCCCTTTGTGGCATAGCCCTTCTGCAACTTCCAATATCACCTCCTATATTCATTTTCAATCCTGCATAACAAATTAACAGAAAATTTACAGCTTAAAACAAGAAAACGTATTATCTCACATGATCTGTAGATCAGGAATCTGGTCACAGCTTAGATGGGTCCTCTGTTTAGGATCTCACAAGGCTTCAGTCAAGGTGTCATCCAAGTTAGGTTTTCATCTGAAGGCTCATCTGTGAAAGAATCTGCTTCCAAGTTCACCCAGGTTGTTGTCAGAATTTATTTCATTGGAATTGCAGGAACGAGGGCCCCAGGTTCTTTCTGGCTGTTGGTTTGAGCTGGTCCCCAACTACCTATGACATGGGCCTTCCAACACAGCCCCTTACTTCTTCAAACCCTCTCTAAAGCAACCCAGCTAGTAAGGCAGTCTTGCTAACATGATTACAAGAGTGACATCTGAGTGCCTTTGCCATTTTCCATTAGTTAGAATGAGTCAGCCGGGTATGGTGGCTCACACCTGTAATCCCAGCACTTTGGAAGGCTGAGGCAGGCAGATCACTTGAGGTCAGGAGTTCGAGACCAGTCTGACCAACATGGTGAAACCCTGTCTCTACTAAAAATACAAAAATTAGCCAAGCATGGTGGTGTGCACCTGCAATCCTAGCTACTCAGGAGGCTGAGGCAGGAGAATCCCTTGAACCTGGAAGGCAGAGGTTGCAGTCAATCAATATGCACCATTGCACTCCAGCCTGGGTGACAAGAGTGAGACTCTGTCTCAGAAAAAGTAAAATAAAAAAGAAGTGAGTCATAGGTCCTGCCCACACTCAAGGGGAGGGGATTATTCAAAGGTATGAGCACCAAGAGGAGGGGATCATGGGGCCACCTGCTCACCATATCTCCCAAGCACCACAGGCTCTAGCTGAGTGGCTTGTAATTCCCTGACCCTTGGAGCTTCTTTATTTCTTGAGGCCTGAAAACATCTTATTTTCCTTGCTTTTCTGCCTCCCTCCTCCCACCACTACATCCTACCCATCTAACTAATGCATTCTCTCCCTCCAAGCCTGAGCCACTCACTCCTGATAGGGCCTCCTGATTTTCCTACCTCCTGATCTCAATCTCAGGCTGAGAAGTGACCTCCTCTGGGCCCCTGTGGTGCCCCATTACCACCTTGGTCACTCTCTGCTCGATTGCCTGTTTGCCCAACTCATCACCTGCCCACCCTCACCATATACACTCCGTCGTAAAATCCCACAAGATAGAAGCTGTTTCTGTCATTTCTGAATCTCTAGAGCTGGCATTGAGTACAGCATATAGTAAGTGCCTAATAAATGTCTGTAGGATGGCTGGAGATAATTTTTACTGGAGAGGTCTAAAAGGGAGTGGCTGGAAGCAGTGGTATTCAGGTTAGGCCACTCCAGAGGGTAGCATCTTCCCTTTAGGAAAACACACACGGGATGGTGTTGTCCAACCTGTACTGCACAAATTGGTTTGTGGAGCACTGGCATTACCTGGGAGCTTGTGCAAAAGATAGAATCCCTGACCACATCCCATCCCACTGAATCTGCATCTGCATTTTATCAAGATCACCGTGTGATTTGCATATTTGTTGAAGTTTAAGAAGGCTGGTCAAAACATCAAGCACTTCCATCTGGTCTAATCTTGGGCTGCAAAAGCAATGGGGAGAAACTCAAATCACGTCTCTCTGCCCCCACCACCTCCAGGCTGTCCTTGCTGTTAATTTGTTAACTTATCTGGGAGTATCCCCCTGGGAGTCTTTAACAATCGCTCTAATTAGGAAGCCCTTGCTCTTCTCTGCTGGGGATCCTGCTGGCTGTAGATTCTACCTTGAACTCTGTTCTGAGTGGAAAGACCAGACAAGTGCTCAGGTGTGGGGCAGATAGAATTCTTCAGCAAGACCTGAAATCTAATGTGAAGTCTTGCTGATCTAGAGGATCTGAGAGGTCAAATCCCTCCAAAAGCAGTAATGACAGGGGTTATTGCCTTTCCTGTCTGTTCAGCTTTTGGAATCTGTGGGCTGAGTTCATGCATGAAGAGAAACATGATGTCTTATGGTAATACTTTGGGATGTACATGGTGCCCACCTTTCTGGAGAACGTGCCAGAACCTATCTGCCCCAGTGATCTGTGACTCTTGTTATTCAATACCTGCTCTAATTCACAGGGCTACACAAGGCAAGGCCCATGACCCCTCTGGGCCACAGCTCCTCATCTGAGTAGCCTGATTGTTGTGAAATATTGGCTACAGTTTGAGCTAAGAGAATATTTATTTATTTATTTATTTTTGAAATGGAGGCTTGCTCTGTCGCCCAGGCTGGAGTGCAGTGGCATAATCTTGGCTCACTGCAACCTCTTCCTCCCGGGTACAAGTGATTCTCCTGCCTCAGCCTCCCACGTAGTTGGGATTACAGGCACGCACCACCACACCCAGCTAATTTTTGTATTTTTAGTACAGATGGTGTTTCACCATGTTGGCCAGGCTGGTCTCGATCTCCTGACCTCATGATCCACCCACCTTGGCCTCCCAAAGTGCTGGGATTACAAGCATGAGCCACTGTGCCTGGCCCCAAGAATATTTCTTTCAGGGGGATCTTGTCTTTTCTGGTAGGAGAAACACGTTGAAAGACTATCTTATCTGAACAACTATACATGCAAAAAAAAAAAACCTAGAAATTGTCACCAACATGAAATTAATCACCCTAAAGCAACCCTTTGACCAAATCACTTCACTTCTCAAATGATTTCCAGGACTCCAAAGACCTGATGTATTCATCCTAATTCCCCATCAGGGGTCCCAGCCACATCTTCCACATCCCCTCTCTCCATACCCTGGGCCCGGGTCTGATTCTCCTGCCAGTCACGAAGCATGACTTGCACTTCTGAGTATGTGTGTGTGAGCTCCTGAAATCTCTCCTCCTCCTCCAGGAAGTCTCCTTCGATCACCTCCATCCCTCCAGCCAGTCATGAGCTCTCTTTCCTCTGGTACCTTTATCTGTGCTCCCATATAGCCTGGTAAGGAAGCTGCCCTTTGTGGAGTTCCCTCAGGGCCAGTCCCCTCTCCTCAACATTGCTTCTCCTCCTGCAGAGGCCAGCACAGTGCCTCCTCACCATGAGAGTGTTTCTCACATGTTTCACTAATACACCTTTAATGGCAGAAGACAATGTTGAAGCCCCCTGAGTCCTCTCAGGAAGCAGCCTCCATCTCTCATCCCTCCACAAGCACATTTCTTTGCTCCTGCTTTAACATTAAAATTCATGAACCTTTGCATTGCACATAATCATATATGAGTGTTTATTTTAATATAAAAACCATGATTTCTCCCAAGTCTTCCAGCGCATGCAATACTCTGGGAAGATGGGCGGCTTCCTGTTGCCTCCAATGAGAGCTCTAAGTCTGACATTCCCACTGTGGAGTACATGAAAATAGGGCTGGACAGATAGTTCCAAGAGAAGGCCACCTCCCCACCAGGCCAGCTGAGCTTCAGAGGATGGAGATGGAGGGGTTGGGCTTTCAGCTTGTACCTTATTCCCCGGCAAGGCTCTTGACAACTTGCAAAACATCTTCACACCATGAATACCCTCTCACTTGAAGTCACAATGAAATGGAAGGACAGGGAGGGCAAGAGTTATTATCCCCACTTTACAGTGAGGTTCTGGGCTTTTTGATGCTCCACAGTTAGAAAATAATGAGGCAGAGCTAAAAACCCCTTTAAATTTTCCCAATACATGGAGTGTCCTGTTATTGGGACAACTGGTCAACCACTGCTACTGAGGCAGGAATTCTACCCTACACAGAGCACATGTGGAGCTCACTTGGAGACAGCTCAAGCCTCGTCTTCCTGAGGACAAGACCTATCCCCCTAACCAAAACATACCCCCCACCACCCTGACACACACCAGCCCCTGGGCTTGCAAACTCATGCTTCAAGACTAAAGTCCTCAGGAGCCCTTCTCTGACCCCTTCCAAAGGCCAGTAATTCTTGCTATAAACCTATGCCAGCCAAGAGGACCCCAACACGTACCCAGAGCTATAAAGCCTGCCTTCTAGCCACAGGGCACTGAAGGCAGCTTTCTGAATATGCTGAAGAGGAAGCTGGAGAAAGAAGTTTTTTCAAACAGTTCTTCACCTCCTCCACTGACTGTGCTTTCCTGGCCCACTTGGCATTCCCCTGCCTGCAGAGGGAACAGCTCCTAGTTACGGCACTCAACTGGAAATGATGGTGAGTGCAGCGGACCTGGCTCTTCCACAGAGCCCCCTTTCAGGGGAGAGCATGGATGGCAGAGCAGGGCATGGGCTCACCTGCTGGATTGTTGCCCTCAGGCTGCCAGGCAGCATCCTCCACGTGGGCCCTCTGAGAAGAACACTCTAGGGGTGATGTGCCTTTCTCTTTTTTTACTTTTTTTTTTTTTTTTTTTTGAGATGGAGTCTCGCTGTCTCCCAGGCTGGAGTTCAGCGGCTCGATCTCGGCTCACTGCAGGCTCCGCCCCCGGCGTTCACGCCATTCTCCTGCCTCAGCCTCCCGAGTAGCTGGGACTAGAGGTGCCCGCCACCTCGCCCGGCTAATTTTTTGTATTTTTAGTAGAGACGGGGTTTCACCGTGTTAGCCAGAATTGTCTCGATCTCCTGACTTCGTGATCCGCCCTCCTCGGCCTCCCAAAGTGCTGGGATTACAGGCGTGAGCCACCGCGCCCGGCCGGTGATGTGCCTTTCTATAGGAACTGGCAACCCAGGGACTCTCCCACTATGGCTCCCCCACCAGAGCCCCTGCCTGAAGGATGCCGTTGCCCACCCTGGGGTAGACAGTGACCTAGAGGGAGGCCACACACTGGAGGATCTTCCTTAGCAGAGGTCAGCTATGCCACACACCACTCTGAGACTCAGTTTCTTCATCTTCAAAATGAAATAAAATCATTGGATCCACTTAGCCTTCCTTGGGTCTTGGAGGTGGAGAATCACTTCCCCAAATTCATCTCCAAAAGTGATTAGATGAACTGACCCCAGGCGAGAGGAAGGAGATTTAAACCAATGCCCATAAATGGCCATAATCCTCATGGAAAAAGTGGATCATTTCAATACAAATGGGAAGGGCCATGATGGTGATCAGGCTCAGATGCTATGGAGGCAGACGAAGTCCCACAGTCCCCTGGGGAGGTGGTCCAGGGGCAGAACACCACCCACTCTGCTCTCCACCTCTGTAGGTGCCAGGATGAGCTTGCACTAACTCTGTGGCCAAGAGGGCGAGGCATATAAATGGGGCACAAGAAATGGAAGAGGTGAGAACTGTTGCCACTAGAGATGGCACACCCCCTCCATGACGACATGGGGACTCAGGCCCGGTGTCACCAGAGTGGCTTTCAAGAGAAGCAGGAAGTCTGGGCTTATATGTGAAAGTTCCCAGTTTTTAAAGGTGGGCAACTAGTTCCAGTAAAATAACAAAATCACCCAGCCAACTTTACATGAACCAAACGAAATTCATTCTCTCCATGTGCCTGTGATTGAGGGAAAGTGGGCTTCCTGGGTTCTCAGGGATCCAGGGAGGGAGGGACAATTCCACAGCCTCAATGTCACGAGGAGAGAATGCCTGGGCTGGGGAAGCCAGCGTGTGACGGATGTGGCCTTTGGGGAGTGGAATGCAGGGGAGAATAAGTCAGCAGGTGGGTCAGACAGCTCTGAAGCCTTGCTAGAAAGTTCTAGCCTGAAACAAAAAGCTGCCAGAGGCTCCCTCCTCCTCACACCTCCTCCTTGCCACCAGGGCTGGTCTCTGCAGGCCGGCAGCTACAGCAGGATGACTTGCAGGTTTTGCTGGCAGAGCAAGCTCCCGCCTGGCTGGGGCAGAGAGCAATTCCTCTGGCCACTGCCTGTCATGCCATAGCTGCTGGACCTCTCAAGTGACTGCCTGGGGTCTGGAGTCTGGAGTCTGGAGTCTAACTATGAGTGGGACTGGGGGGTCAGGCCCAATTCAGCTTGACTGGTCCAGCTCTCCCAGTCCTTAGCGTTCATCTTCCCTCCCCTGCCAGATGAATCTCCTTTCCAGGCTCTGCTTCCCCAGCGATTCCCAGACAGAGACAGTCCATCTCAGTCACTGGATATTGGCTAATTGATTGGGTTTTTCTGCTCCTGTTCCAGAGTCAATTGAGAAAGTCCTCAGACACCACTTTGAAGGGGAAAGATGACTCAGGTGGGATAATTTCTAATTGCCCTAAATTCTGCTCTCATGGAATTGGAAGGGACTTTGTAACACACCCCCAGCCCCTGCTTTCACACAGGGACCCCATTAAAGCATCCAGAGAGGCAGGAATCTACCAGGTTTCCCAAACCTTGGAAGAAAGGTCCCCTCCCAGTCACCTCCCCCTAGGGAGAAAAGTAGAGCATCCTAAGGGGAGAGGTCTCCGCCCCTGACCACGACCACAATTGTGAGACCTTCCTCTCTCCCTTCGCTTAACTGACAGAAATGTTTTCCTCTTTTTGAAATGTGGGAACAAGAAAGCCATTTCACTGCTAAAAAACAGACTTGGAAGCCGAGGATCAGGCCACCCTTAAGAAGGCTTTGTTGAGTCTCCAAAATATTCCACAAAGTGTTGATGTAAACAATGCACTACTAATTAAATGTTACAAAAAAAAATTCAAGTACACTGTTCCTTCCTCAAGTCTTTCTGAATCTGCAAACTTTAGACTTTAACCATGAAGTTCATCTTGCAAGTTTTAAACAAATTTTACTTAAGTTTAATCAAATTTTACTTAAGACACTTCAGTAGAACTCTCATTCCCCAAATAAAGAGTTTTAATACAGAAGAGCGGATGGCTTAAAGCACCTGATTTCCCTCTCATATAACCACTTGTGGTAATGAACTTAATAAGATAAAGGCATTGCCATTTTCCATTAAATTATATTGCTCTCAAAAGAAATCAAAATCAAAACTTTAAATATTTTAAAAATCCATTTCAAATCATGGACATTAAGAGATGTAATCTGGAATACTGCCTCCATTGCTTGACACATAAACAGACTTCAGAATATCACATCATTAAACCTAAGTTTTCTTTTAGTAAAATGAAGTTAAATAATAGTCTTTATGAATATCCAGAGACCTGTGCACTTATAATATGCACACCTGTTTGTATATTATACTTTAATATTAATCTATCTCTCTGTCTCTGTCTCTTTCTCTCTCTGTCACTCTCACTCTTTCATAATCCTTGTTCATACTCATCTCCCGGGAATACTGTGAGAATCAGAGGGGCTGATGTACTTGGCAACGATCTGTAGACCACCAAGCACTAGAAGAGGAAGAGGACACCCATCATCACAGAGCAGGTGGCCTCACACACCCACACCTATCAGAACTGGGACTGGCAAGAGGCAGTGGGACGGCATTTAGAGAAGAGGCTGGAAGAAGGCAGATTCCACCCCGCACCAGCTGTGCTGCTTAGGCAATTCTTTGACTCCTCTGTCCCAAGTGTATCTGCCTGTAAAGTGGGCACAATAACCATTGCTTCACAGGATAAACGCCAACAGGGTGGGCTAACTATGCAAATACATGACAGATGCCTCCTACAGCTGCCCACACTTCTTCTCCCCACCTACCTGCTGGCTTTAGTCCTTCCTTGTGCTCTCAGTGGCTGCTGCTGTCTGACCAGCCCCCTGCTGCCCCCCTGCCTGCTCCTGTGTGAGGGCACTTTGGGGCCAGATGCCATGCAAGATGACACGGAGGAGGCAAGGCAAAGCTGGCCCTCAAGGGTCCACCCTGGGGTCCTGATTCCAGGCCTTCTCAGGTTCCACTCTCCCCTCCTCTGTACACAGACCACTC
Organism: Homo sapiens; assembly: GCF_000001405.40. Lineage (NCBI taxonomy): Eukaryota > Metazoa > Chordata > Mammalia > Primates > Hominidae > Homo > Homo sapiens. The sequence continues at coordinate 43,771,394 of NC_000003.12, read as the reverse complement.
TCCTGCTCTCTTCGTTAAGGTGTTTAACCTTCCAAAGCCTCAATATACTTGTGTGTAATAAAAAGAAAAGAAATAACAGGTTCAAGAAACCAGACAGCAGCGTGAGGATAGAGGTGACAGCCTTCACTGTTGGAAGCATCTTTTCTTGGCTCTGAGCGGTAAAGCAATGCACCCAGGGTCACAAAGACAGAGGTGGCAGCCAGGATTTTAGCCCAAGTGGCCTGACGCCAAAGTCTTGTCTCCCTCTCAATGCAGCTGTGTAGTGGGGCTAGACCCCAGTCTTCTCCATCTTCTCCCCTGATGTCCAATCTAAGCACAAGCAAGGGGCTTGCTGTGGAACCACAGCTTCAGACAAGCCCCAGCCACACCCACCTCCACTGAACGGCCACCTCTTCCTGCCACTTTGATGCAGAGATAGGAGCTGTGCCAACGCAGAGCTGCCCACAGTGGAGAGGGAGTGGAGGGTGGAGCTGATGCTCGTCTCTCAGGACTGCTTTCCCAGTGCCAATATCTAGGTCACCCTCCTGATCCCCAGTGTGATGACTCACCACTCGCCTCTGTCACAGCCTGATAAAGAACTCGAGCCATTAAGAAATGGAACAAATTACTAAATGGGAGGCACAAGAGAAACCCAGGATTAAATTAGTTCATTATTCATAAATCATAAATGACTCTTCCTCTCACTGATGCTTGTCTCTGTCTACCTACTGGCCTTGCAAGAGCAACAGACTTCTATAGGCAGGAGGTCAGAGACACAGGAGGCCCAGGCTGAGGGCCCCAGGGTTGGCAGCCACCTTTAGGCAAAACGGCTGGGCTGGCCTCGGCCCGTTGCCTCTGAGCTGCTCTCTGGACTGCAGGGTCTTGGAACTGAGTCGCCGGGTTTGTAGGGCGAACACTGCAGTGCCTGCTCCATGGCCTGCTGTGCCATGGAAAGGTTCTGATACCTGAGGTGTCTAGTATGGTTGAGACACAGTTGTTGTGTGGGCCGGGTTGCCTCTGTGAAGTATGTCACCTCTGTGCACCGGATCATCTCTGTGGAGTGTGTCCCTGAGGGCCATATCACCTTTGTGAAGCATACCACCTCTGTGGAGCATGTCACCTCTGTGGGCCAGGTCACCTCTGTGGAGTGTGTCACCTCTGTGGCCTGTGTCACCTCTGTGGAGTGTGTCACCTCTGTGGTCTGTGTCACCTCTGTGGCTTGTGTCACCTCTGTGGGCCATGTCACCTTTGTGGGCCAGGTCACCTCTGTGGAGTATGTCACCTCTGTGGAGCATGTGACCCCTGTGGGTCATGTCACCTCTTTGTGGGCCATGTCCCCTTTGTGGGCTGTGTCACCCATTGGGGAGTGTCACCTCCTCAGAGCATATGACATTTCAGGGCATATGTCATTCCTGGAATGTGCCTCCTCTCTGACGGGCGTGTCTCATGACCGAGAGTTCCTTGATGCTTTTCTGTCCTGGCTGGAAAAAGGAGCAGCCTGGGCCCCTCCCGGGGCCTGCCGTGCTTGGAATGGAGCCAGGACGGAGAGGGACCAGCCAACCCAGTGCCAAGGACGCCAGGGCATCTGTTCCCCAGCCCGGAAGGAGATCCCGCCCCGCTCTCAGTCAGGCCCCGCCCTGCAGGTCTGCAAGCCTCCTCCAAGGAAGGCGGAAGGAGCCGGGGCCGTGTCTCAGGGAGCCCGAGAGGCGGAGCCCGGGAGGAGGCCTGAGTGGGCTGGGGAGGGAACGAACCCTACCAGGATACTGGAAAGGGACACGAGAGAGAGGAGCCGCCCCCTGCTGGTCACAGCTGGGAAAGGCGCTGCAATCAAACTCAGTCCCAGGGCACGGTGCCAAGGGAGGCGGAGGAACTGCAGTGGTTCCCGATGGACATCTTGTTGCTCTTAGTGTCACCCCAGCGCATGCATGATTCCTAAGCTATGGGTCAGGGAGTCCCAAACAAACAGCAGTGTTATTCTGGAACTACTTGGATGAGGGTATTTTCCTAACTAGAGCTTACTGGGATTGTGCAAGTGGCAGGGACTACTCTCTAGGTCACCCGACGTAAGGGGCCAGTTGTATTTGAAGGGTGAGCCAAGACTAGAACAGAGGTGAAGGGAGGTGAAAAGGTGACCAAACAGCTGGGTGCTGCAAAGTGCCTGACAGCAGGAGGTGGACACAGGTTCTTATGTAACAGCAGTAAGTGCCATATGCTAACAGCCTGCCATGTGCCAGCTGTACCCAGGGTCTCTGAACCTAGCAGTGTCCCTATGCACATCTCACAGGTGAGGAAAATGAGATCTAGTAAGTGACAAGTGTCTAAGCCAGGATTTTAATCCAGGTCTGAAGAACTTCAGAATCCATGTTTTATTCATGTCACTTCTGAATTTGGGCCCATTAGCAGGGCCAATGTGCTGGCATCTTAGCAGCAGCTAAAGCAGGCATCTGCAGCCCCCTCTTGGTCTTGCCACACAGTCCTGGCTACACTGACATTCTAATTGGGAGGAAGGTCAGATTTCTCCATTCTCCATATCCAAATTCATCTTGTCCACTTTGATTCTTGGATTTGATCACTTCCCACCCCACCTCTTACTTAACTGTTCCCTGGGCAAAATTCCAGCCTTAGCCAGAAGGGCACTGTTCCTACTAAAGTCAGAAGTCAGAACTTCCTCCCTTCAGCCTCTCCAAGCTCCTTCACAGCCGGCTCCTAGACTCAGCCTGCTGCTGACATGCACAGACAGTGCCCTGGCCCGTCACTGAAGCTCCCTGGGATCCCACAACCCATCTGACTCGACACTGATTTTTACAGCTTTGCAAATAGTTGCCTTAGTTCCCTTCCCCTGAATGCATTATAAAGTTAAAGGGAGAAAAAGAAGTCTTTAAAAAATCCCCCAGCTATCTTAATTAACATGCAGAATGCTTTTCTGGCAGTGCACAGGCTGTGATAAAACGGGAAGCTTCTTAACACAACATATATTTAATCTGTGGCATTCGCTTCCACATGAAATTCAATCAGATATTTTAAGGGAGTTAACAAGGGCTCTCAGATCGAACTGTGAATAAATGCAGGTGTGATAAATACACTCAAGCTACTGAGATGTTTTATCAAATGATAAAGGTGTTGAGTGGGGTGGGGTTGAAGGACAAACCTTAATTCTAATTCTGTACGTTGTCAAAGAGGGTAGGAGAATTTATTAGACAATGCCAGGGCGATCTAATGACCCATTGCCTCTGAAAAATCAATTAAACTTGCTCATTTGTTCTGTTTTTCCAGGAATCTTTAATTCAAGTCTGCCGTATGCCAGGCACGAGGGAGGCAGTGACCAACCAATAACGCAGTTCCAGTCTCTGCCCTCAGCCCCAGCTCTGCCTGATGAAACTCACAATCTAATAGGGAAAGGTGGATAATAAACAAGTAAACAAATGCAAATGATAATTTCCAATTGGGTTAAGTAACAGAGTAAATGAGAGGGTGTTCAGGTAAGACATCTGCAAGGAGTTGATACTTGGAGTGAGACCTGAAGGATGAGGAAGGGCCCGCCATGCACCAGGGAAGAGCCTGTTGATGTTTCTGAGACCACAAAGCCCTGGGCATGTTGGGGGACCAGAAAAGAGCTGGGACTTGGTGAGCAGGCAAGCACTATAGAACAGCATTTGGTCGCATAGGTAAGCCTAACCACATATCCTTTCTTTTTTCAAATTAAAGGTTTCATCTGCTACAAATCTGTGGAGAAAGGATGGTTTGGCTGCTGGTGTGAGGAGAATAGTTCACTACAGGGAGAAGAATAAAGCCACATCTTCCATCACATACAAATGCAAACACCTAACAGATCCAAGACCTCGCTATGTGAAAGCCAACAGAAATAAAGAGTTAATAGGAAGGAAGGAGGGGAATATCTTTGTGTTGTTGGGATGAGAAGGGTGTCTTAACATAATTCAAAAACATAACCCTCGGATGAAAACTGGGCAAATCTGACTATATCAAAATTAAGAATTTTTTTAAAAGAATGCTTTAGACAAAGAAAACAGATAGGTGAAGACTTGGAGCAGATTTTGCGTTGTCTAAAGCCAAAAGATAATATCTATAATAAGAGCTGGCAAACTACAGCCCACAGGGCCAAATCCAATTGGTCACCTGTGTTTGTAACTAAAAATAAATAAATAAAGTTTTATTGGAATACATCCATGCCCATTCATTTATACATTTATGTCTATAGCTGCTTTTGTGCTACATCAGCAGAGACAATATGACCTTCATAGCTTAGAATATTTAATATCTAGCCCTTTACAAAAAACAAAACCAACCAAAAAAAAAAAAAAAAAAAAAAAAAACCTGTGTCAACTCCTGATCTAGACTACAAGGGAAATGGGTAGGAAACTCACTAGAAAAATTGGCAAAGGCTATGAATAGCCAATTTGCTGGACAGGAAATGAGCTGGCTAACTAATACCTGATGAAATGACTAATCTTGCCAGAATTTAGAAGAGTGCAAATTGAAGCAATATTGAGATTCTTTTAATGCCTATCAGGTCTTTAAACATTGGAAAAGTAAGTGTGAGGAATACTTAGAGAACTAGTAAAGCATTACTTGTAAAGATGACTTCTGGTTGTGTATGGGAGGGTGCCTATGGAGGAGACTGGTGTGTGAGTCAATGGACTGAGTGAGGAAGATCTGCCCTCATGTGGTCAGCACCATCCAATCTGCTGGGGGCTGGAATAGAACAAAAAAAGAGGGTATAGGATTTCTCCTTTCTCTCCTAGAGCTGGGGATTCTCTGCTCCTTCTGCCCTTAGATATCATAATTCCAGACTCTATGGCCTTGGGACTCCAGGACTTACACTGGTGGTCCCTCAGGTTCTCGGGCCTTTAGCCTTGGGACTCCAGGATTTATACCAGCGGCCCCTCACGTTCTTGGGCCTTTGGCTTTGGACTGAGAATCACACCTTGGTTTTGAGGCCTTTAGACTTGGACTGAGCAACACTACTGGCTTCCCTGGTTCTCCAGCTTACAGATGGTCCAACATGGGACTTCTCAGCCTCCGTGATCACATGAGCCAGTTCTCCTAATAAATCCTCTTTCCTATATCTGTATGTATATCCTATTAGCTCTGTCTCTCTGGAGACCCTAAAACAATAAGTAATACCAAGTGCTGGTGAATATGAGAAAAAATAGGGATCCTGAAGCTATCAGTTAGAGTGGAAATGTGTCTAGCCATTCTGAAGAGCATCTTGGCAGCATTTGGTTGAGCAGCATGAAATTGCCAATATTGACCCTGAGAAGGATTCCCTGGGAAGGCCTCCTGTGCCCTGCTCCCCACCCTAGTCCACTGGACAACAAAGTCAGGCATGGGCATTGTTGACTGTGCACCCTGCATGGTGCTCACCTCCTCCTTCATTTCCAGGAGGATGCTATTGTTCCCTTTCCCTTTCACAAAGATCCCATGTATTGGGAAGGGAAGCAGATCCCACACCAGCTCCAGGGCTGGGCCAGATTGGGTCAGAAATGGGCACGTGGCCAAATTTAGGCCCCAGAGATTGAAGGCAAAATTTGTCAGCAGCTTTTTGGGAAGTTTTCTTTACTCTGCCAGAAGAGCTTCCAGAATCAGTTCTGTCTGTCTTCTCTTGAACATGAGCTGTAAGATGCAATGACTTTGGCACTCTGGGCCGCACATCTGCTTGGACAGAAGACGATGCCAATACCTGGAAGAGAGTAAAGCAAAAAGAACTGTCGAGGGGGGAGGCAGAGCTCAGATACAGACTAGGTTAGCCCTGACTCTTACTCAATCCCTGGGTTACAGCTGAGTGGTTCAGAAATGATTTAAGCTGGCTCATGTTACATTTTCTCACTTGCAGGGAAGGCACTCTGCCTGATAGAAACCCTTTGAGAGCTGTGGGGATTCAAGTGTTGAAGGAATCTGTGCCTCACCTCCAAGAGAAGGTTGGAAGGCAGCAAACTTCTCAGAGAACAACCTCCCTCCCACCCCTGTACCCCTTCCCCCACACACATACATGCTGGCCTGGCTCAGGGTGCATCTATGCAGTGAGGACTCACAGCCTAGAGTTCCCTGCATCCCCTGCCCCATGGGGTGGGACAGTGCCTAAGCTCCCTAAAGTGAAGATTAAGATGGAGATGCTTGTGGAAGTCATTTATCCAGGAGGTGCTTTAGGAGAACTACCCCAAAAGTGAGGGAAGCAAGGAAGGTCAGCACAAGGAGCCAGGCCAGGATGCGGTCCCAGCTGGAATCTGGCTGCAGCCTGATCCCACGTGGAGGTCAGGAGCACGAATTGCACCATTGAATGGCTCCCACCTGAAGGCAAGGGGTCTGGCCTTTTGTAGGTTCTCATCAGTCCATCATTAGCTTTATGCTGCCCTAAGGGAAAGACCTAAATGCCCCCTTCCAGATGCAGCACCACCCATTGGCCAAGGACAATTCTTGAGGCAAGCAGGTGTGACCGCTTAGCTTTCAATATTCAAGCTGCTGGGGCAAAAGTGCACAGGCCAGAAGAAGGGGTTTGGGCCACCAACTGTATCCAGTACAGTCAGTATGGCCAAGTAGCCCTCATTCCCCCTGAGAAGGCACTGAAAGAAGCGACAAGGGGAACTGGTGGCCAAGACAAGAGGAATGCAGCAGTGGATGCAAGGAAGACCAGAGGCTATGGAGGGACAGGATGTCACAGCAGATGTTAGTGTGGCAAAAAGCCAGCATGCATTGTCACACTAAGAGGATGTCATCCCAGTTGATACCAGGGTGGACAGATGACAATCAGGAACCAGATGCCCCCTAACCACCATGCTACATACCCTCTCCCCTGGCATTTTAGCCTAGGGACAGGGGGGAAGAGAAAAAGCCTTGAATTGACTAAAATTCAGTTTTTCACCACCAGGCAGAATGGGACTCCAGGACAGAAACCAAACTCAGCTAAGGGAAAAGTTACATTGGTTTGCGTACTCACTGATTTGCAATCACCACATGTGCTCCTACTAAAACATAAAAGAATGTCATTAACAGGAAAAGACTATTAGCAAGTTCATTAATCATGGTTCTTTTCACACTTTCATGGTCAACTACAATTCTGATGGCTTAAATTGAGGCCTCCCCACTTAATTACAGTGTTTACCAATTAACAGTTCATCCCCTACCATAGGCCTGCCCTGGCTTTCAGAAAAAGATAAAGTGCTCGAGTTTCACAAGTGTTCTTTGCAGGGGTTCCCCCTTACTTGGGCAAAGAGCCATGATTGGTGTTACCAGGACAATCATTTGTTGCTGAGTGAAGAGGTCCATTTTCAATGAAGTTACTAATGACTTGGCCTTATCTATGAACCCCAAGGTGACTGAGAGCATTGGTGACGTATGGGTCCCTCATAGGGCAGCCAGGTGGCCCTAGAATACAACTTCTCTTAACCACAGTTTTCTCATCTGTAAATGGGAATAAATACTAGAAACTTGGTCAAAAATGTAAATGACACATTCCATGTAAAATGCCTGGGAAAAGGCCTGGCACATAGCACTCAAAACTGGGTATTAATATGTTACATCTTAAACTTTTTTAAACTTTTATTGAGCACCCGTACAGAGAAGTGCATATATAATCGCGCACTTGGTAAATTTCCCAAACATGACACACCTATGTAACCAGCACCCAGATGAAAAAAGGGAACATCACCAGGGCCCCAGAAGCTCTTTCTCATGCCTGCTTCTGGTTAGTACTACCCCAGTGGTAATGATTCCACTGATTCCCAAGAGCATAGACTACTTCTGCCTGGTTTTGTATTTATATAAATAGACTGTGCATACTCTTTTGTGTCTGGCTTCTTTCACTCAACATTATGTTTGTGAGATTTATTCATGGTGCATATAGTTGTGCTTCATTCATGTTCATTTTTGTAAATGGTTCCATTGTGCAAATATACCTCAATTTATTTATTCATTCTTCAGTTTTATGGGCTTGGGGGTGGTTTTAACAAGGTGATTATGAACGAAGCTGCTCTGAACATTCTTGCCTAAATCTTTTCTTCTAATTTGAACTTTTTATTTTGAGATAATTATAGATCCACATGCAATTGTAAGATGTAAAACAGAGAGACCTGGTGTACTCTTTACCTGGGTTCACTCAATGTTAAGATCTTGCAAAACTGTAGTAAAATATCACAACCAAGAGACTGGCATTGACACAAACCATGGCCCTTGTTCAGATTTCCCCAGTTGCACATGTCCTGGGCATTCTCTCTCTCTCTCTCTCTCTCTGTCTTTGTGTCTGTGTGTGTTGTTTAATTAATTTATTAATTAATTTATTTATTTTTCTGAAACAGGGTCTTGCTCTGTCACCCAGGCTGGAGTGCAGTGGTGCAATCAAGGCTCACTGCAGCCTCGACCACCTATTCTCAAGTGATCCTCCCACCTCAGCCTCCCTTGTAGCCGAGACCACATCTGGCTAATTTTGGGGTTTTTTTTTTTTTTTTTGGAGAGATGGGGTTTCACCATGTTGCCCAGGCTAGTCTCAAACTCCTGGATTCAAGCAATCCTCCCTGTCTAACCCTCCAAAGTGCTGGGATTACAGGCTTGAGCCACCACGCCTGGCTGAGTTCTATGTTTTTATCACCTATGGAGGTTCATATATCTGCCACTACAGTCGAGATAGTGAATGGTTCCGTCACCAACAGCAGGGAGGAACATACTTGAAAATGGATTGACCAATAACTTGATTCCAATGCTGTGAGAGACCTTGAGCCAGAACCACCCAGGGAAGCCACGCTGGATTCCTGACCCTCAGAAACTGTGTGAGATAATCATTTTTTGTTCTAAGCTGCCAAGTAATGATGTACTTTGTCACACAGAAATAGATAACTAACATAGATACCTATATCAAACACGTGATTAAAATGTAGACCGAGCTCAAATGTAGTCTGAGCTCATCCCAGACCTAGACTCTGCCTTCTATAAACTCTCCCAGGCAGCTCTGATGCACATTCTTTGTTTGAATCACTGCTCTGCCACTAACTTCATGCAATTTACCTCACCTCTCCAACCCTCAATTTCACACCTGAAAAATGGGCATAATCATACCTCATAAGCTATCAGAGCTTTGGTTTTTTGTTTTGTGTTTTATTTTTTGTTTGACTTCTGGGTTCAAGATAATGCACATAAAGCCCGAGCGCTAGCCTTCTTGGTGCCCTGCCCATGTCCCCTCGCCCTCATCATCTCAGAGCCTGCCTGGTGGGGTGGTTGGGGACTGCAGGCACCCACATTGCTTTGCCTGAGACCTTTCTTTGCTGCTAGAGCCCAGTTTGCTGCCTCAGCAGTAAGCCTGAAGTGCTGGGTATTTAACACCCTCCCAGTCCCCCAAAGTAATGACTGACAGAGCTGGGATGTAAACACTTGACTCTAAGTGGCAAGTTCTACACTGGCTCCCAGAATTCTACAGCAGAATTAAGGTTGTCACCTACAGTGGTAACTTGTTTCATAACACACCATTTATTGGCTCACCTCCCTTCTGTAGGTCACTTCCCCACTTCCCTAAGGTGTTACTTTCACTGCCCACATAAACCACTTACACCAATATCTTTGCCTCAAGATTAGCTTCACAAGGACCCAAACTAAGACAAGTACCTAGTGGTGTCAGCACATAGTATGTGCTCGGCTAACAGTTTTGACTGTGTGTGTGTGTGTGTGTGTGTGTGTGTGTGTGTGTGTGTATGGCATGTTTGTTTAGTGAAGGACACAGAAAGAAATTCTTAGCTAATATGAAACAGTGAGGAGGTATCAGCAGCATCAAAAATCCAAGGATGACTATCTAGACTGTCAAGTATGTGTCTACTACAAATCAACAATGACAAAAATTCAACAGGAAATAGAGAGTGGTCATCAGGCAATGCACAGGAGAAGTGACCAAATGGCCAACAAGTATGGGAGGAGAAGCTCCAGATCAGCAGTGATCTGAGGAATTGAAATTCAAATGAGATGTGCTCTTCTATCCACAGGAAGGGCAAAAGTTAGAAATGTGGGTAAGTGAGGACCTATACTGCTAGGAGATATAAGGTGGAACCACCTCTCTGGAGATCTTTCTGACAACATTTAACAAAATTCAGAATCCATTGACTGGCTTCAACACCTAACAAATCCACCCTGAGCACATCAGTCCCATGGAAGTTCTCACAAAGTACCAGGTGGTATATTGCACTGTTTTTCTGTTGGGGAGTTGGAGGCAGTCTGGTATCTTTCAGTAGGGAAATGGATAAGTAAACTGTGACAATGCACTTAGAAGCAAACACAGAATCTATAGAGCAACATGTGGCGTAGGAAAAGTAGGAAACGGAATGAGATTTGTAGCAAAATTCCATTATGTAAATTAAAAACAGACACAAGGCAGATGTATGTATTTTACAAGATTATATACATATGTAAGGACATATTCCAAACACATTTGAAAGGGTGGCGGCGGGGGTGCTTTTAAAAACAGACTTAAATGAGAAAAGTAACATTTTAAAACATTAGATGATAACATAGAAAAGTATCTTTATGACCATGGGGTAAAAATTTCTTAATTAAGACATGCAAAACACAAACCTTAAAAAAAAAAGGATAAATCTGGCAATATTAGAATTTAAAGCCTTTGTGCAATAAACACTATGTAAAAAATGATAAGCCACATACTGGGAGAAGATATTTGAAATGGATGTAACTGAAAACGGATTGGTATAAAGAATACATAGAGAACTCCTCCAAATAATGGCTAATATTTATTGAATACTTACAAAGGGCCTGGCATTGTTGATGGTGTTTCACATGGATGGAATAATACAAAGCAAAGAGGAAATAAAAACTGGCAAAGGATATACACAGGCAATTTGTGAGTTACTTTGTGTCACATTGTGTCTTAACGTAACATACAGAAATGGGTTCCCTCTTTGGTTGGCCCCTTTGTAGCTATACCATAGACCTCAACAGGTGACATGACTTAGGGGGTAAGAGCACGGCTAGCCTTCGAGAGCCAAGATCTCAGTCCAAGATCCTGATCCACTCTGACCTTCTGTTTCCTCTTCAGTAGGAAGACAATAATACCTCCATGTGTGGTATGAAGTGCTTAGCACAGTATTTAACACACAGCAAACACTTACTAAATGGCAACTATTTTGATGATGCAAAATAATAGTAGCGCACATGTAGTAAGGACCTAGTCCTAAGCTATTTAAATATGTATATTCTCATTTAATCCCTACAGCAGTTTTCTGGGGTAGTTCCTGCTTTTATTTTCATTTTACAGATAAGGAAACTGAATCTAAGGGAAGTTAGGAGGCCACCCAGGTCATGCAGTGGGCTCTGAAGCCAGGCTCACACTCTGAACGACCACATGGCACCCCCTTCTGTCATGGGCATGAGCATGGGGGTGCTACTCTTTCTTCTTAACATGAAAAGTATCTAGAACTTTAGAAATATTGTTTATGAAGCTGAATGTGTTTCTGAATGAGCACCTCTCAGACTTTAACATGCAAGTAAATAATGGGGATGAAGTGGGAGCAGATCTTGTTGAAATGCATATTCTGATCCAGCAGGTCTCAGGGGAAGCCCAAGAATGTGCATTTCTACCAATCCCCCAGGAGATTCTGAGGCTACTGGTCCTCACACCCACTGGGGAGTTCTGCTTCTAGGATCCAGTTATGACACCCACTCCTGGGTTCATTTTGCTTTGCAGGGTGATCAGAATGCTTTGTGTTTGTACCTGTGGACAATAGGGGGCTCTACAAGCTTTAAAAGATGGCATGTGTCATCAGCACACATTCAACGGAGGCCAGAATTCAGCACACTCAGCAGTGGGTGAACTGCCTCTGCACCTCTGTGGCTCATTGTTTTCCACACAAGAGTGCTCGGGATGACATGGGCCTGGACTATTCTGGGCCTTGGTCAGGTGGCAGCTGATTTACAGGAAGAATGATGTGGCTCCAGAGAGTCACGGTTTGTTCACCAGCCATGGGACTCCTGCTATGAGCCAGACCCAGGACAGTCTGCGAGGCGAGGATGAGGGTGAAGCACCACAGTCCCTGCACTCAGGAATTTGAAGCATTTATGGACATGCCTTTGGTGGAGAGGGTGGAGAAAGCCTGGAAGGTCAAGCTGGCCGGCATTTGCCCTAGTCAGGGGTTACAAGAATCAGAAGCCCTCTTACTGGTCAGGAAGGGGAGTTTATGGGAAGGAAGGAGCTGCCCAGGAAAAACAGCAGGAAGAGAGGCAGCTCCACCACTACAGGGAAAAAAGGCCCTCAGAAAGCCAAATAGCACTCTCCTCTCCTCCCTCCTCCCCTGGCCCTCCTACCCTGCTGGCTCACCTCACCCAGGCCTCTGTAACAAGGCTCCTGGCTTCACACCAGTCACCTGCGACATCTGCATCCTTGGTTTCAATTGTTGAAGGTAAAGGCTGATTGTTCTATTTTTGTTCTGTGGGCAAGGCAACTTCTTTGGAAGTGGCCGAGGCAGACCGGGCCAGGAAACCTGTGCACTCATTCCACTTCTGTGCCTGCCAGGCTCACACATCCTTCTTCTCATAGCACATTTTTAAAGGATCCTGCATTTACCAAGATCTAAAAGTGCAAACATGCACTTACCCGTGAGAGACACCCACAGTCACAGCTGTGTGACTACACCCAGAGATGACCTTGTTAACCATTTTTCTCAGAGTCCACAATCTCCAGTGGAATCTGTTTCTCCCTGGTTCTGTAACAGTCAAGCCTTGTGTTTCCTCCTCATAATTTTGCAACCTGATTGTAACAACAGTCCTCACTAACACATCCTAAATACAATAATGCAATTCAAGCAAGGCAAGTTCAAAAACACTTTCCATTTGGAAGGGGGTGAGGTTGATAAATCTCCAGAACAGCCCCTTAATCCAGAGCAAACTTCATCCAAGGTTACATGGCAGCATGGGCCCCCTTCCACAGCTGCTACTGAAGGGGAGGATTCTTGTGGATAATCAGGAACATGGTGGGACCAGAGAATTCCACAAGCATCACTGTTGACTTGTCTCTCTGGCACAGGGGGAGTTCTTTGGTCAGCAAACCTGGCTTCCAGATAGGTAGGGCCCATATCTTAGTTCTTCTTTTTTCTTTTTTTTTTTAATTTTGTCTTGGTGCTTTATACACTGTTTCTTATAGTGTTTACTAAGACACAGTCTCTGCCCACAATGAACTTTGGTACATTGTGAAAATATCATGTGCAGAAGATGGAAAAAGTGCAGAGTCTCTGCACTTGGTGTTCAGAATGCAGAAAAGAAAGGAGAATGGCTGAGGTATGAGCTGGTTGCTGCTGGTTGGTGAACAGATGCCATTAACTGGCAAGGAAGAGGCTGGTGTGGACTGCAGAGCTGGTGACACCTTAAGCTTTTTTGCACTTCCAGGGGGCCAAGCAAGGCAGAAGCAGTCATTGTTCTTTTCCCTGTACCTGTCTCCTTCAGGACAGGCACATTTGGCTGAGCACAAATAAGAATCATTTGCAGAAGAGCTCTAAGAGAGGAAGGAGTCCAAAAACCTTTGACCTAGGATTATGACTCTCACTGAAAGTTGTAAGAACTGACCTTTGACCTAGGATTATGACTCTCATGTAAGATGTAAGAACTGAGAGTCATTGCAAAAAGGCTGCAAGATCTCAGATCTGCAGGACTGTGGGCTGTCTCCTCTAAATGCAAAGAACTGGGGCCTAGGTCTCACGAGATAAACATCAGTGATGAGGGCAGTGGGCTGGTGGCGAAAGAGGCAGAGAAAACAGCAGCTCTGGTAACTGCTATTTTAAACACTTTTATTAAAGCAACAAAAGAAGAAGAAGAGGAGGAAGAGGAAGAGGAAGAAGGAGAAGAAGAAGGAAAGAAAGAGTGAGCTCACATAGAAAGCTTAACCTCTATTAAATCTTAGAGGCAGATTAGAAATAATTATAAAATTCGATACGCACAAATGGGAATGCATAGGTTTAAGGAGTGAGTGGATTAATTGCACATGACTCCAAACGTGGGCTAAGGAGGTAGACAAGATGCCTCTTCCTGAGTGTGTGACTTTAAGGAAGCTTCTTAAGACCTCCAACTTCAGTATCCCTGAGGGGAAATCTTTAAATGGAGATAGTGGCACCTACCTCCCAGGGTACTGTGAACATTAAGTAACTATTGCCTAGCAAGCCTTTGGTAGAATGTGTGGCACGTAGTACATGCTCAGTAAAAAGTGATTGACGTTGCTGTTCCATGAACTAGACAGGCTTTAAAGTCAAGTTCCAAAAATATCTGAGTGGTATCCACATCTTCAAAATGAGCAGCCAGCCTCTCAGCATGGAACCCTTTGAAGGAGCCACACTGGCAGGTAGGAACAGCCATGCTGAAGGGCTCAGGGAGCAGGAACCGGGCCACCTGCACAGGGAGGGTTTCCTTCCACTTCAGAGCAGGTAAATGGTTTCACTTCCCATCCAGCTCAGGTAGATTGATGATGGCTACCAGGATTTCAGCCCCAACAAGGATGACAAGGCAAGGGTCCTTCAGGATGGAGTAGCCATGCCTTTCATGGGGACAGGAGAAAGGTGGGTTGACTTAATAGGCTACAGATCCAGAAGTTAAATTTGTGCCATTGTTCGGCATAATCATAGTATTATTTAGTGAGAGTTCACCATGTCTGAGCAGTAATTGTCAGGGTGCTTTACATTTATGTATCATCTTATTTGATCTTACATCAATCCTGTGAAGAGGGTACATTATAATCCCCGTTTTTCACATGGGTCTTACGGACTAAGTCAACTGCTTGAGGTCACTTGTAGCAGATTCAGCCACTGCCCAAGTGTTGTGAACAACAACTCCCATGTGCCTGGCTTCTGTCACTTTTGAGAACAGCTGCCTCTGACTACCAGGGTCTACTTTGCCTACCCACAAGAGTCTGGGGTCCTTGGGAATTTAGGTGTGCCAGGTAAGCCCTGAACCTTAGACTGTTGGGTGCAGGGCTATAAATGTTTCTAGCTCCCTTGCCTTTGACAGGCACACTCAGGTGTGGTCTCCACTGACCCCAGAGCTCCACCAGAATTGAGCCAAGTGGGAGCCTTTCCTCCTCCTTCTATGGGACTGTGTTCGATGCTGCCCCTTTGCACCCTGCCTGGCCTCCTTCCCTTCCTGGCCCCACTCTCCTGTCCCCCTATTGTATTTTCCTAGGAGTATTCTGCAATGAAACACTTTCGTGCAAAGGTTTATCTAGTGGTCTGCTTCTGGGAAAACAGACCTGCGAGGTCACTTGGTTGTAAGTGCCAGAGCCTGAGTTCAACTCAGGTTCACGGTGTAAACTGCCTCAAAGAGAACCACCCCACCAGAACCAGTAATAATAAATGTGCAAAGACGGAAGACCTAAATAGAATTCTCACCAATGCTCGGGGGCCGAGTCCCAAGCAAGGCCTGGCTGTGAAAGCTGTGCCTGCCGACCACCTGAGACTTGAATATCCTGCGTGGAAGCCCTACAGACTCTGGTGTGCCCTCTGCCACATCCCAGCATAATCCTGGTGGAGAAAGTCATTGGAATTTTGGAAGCTAGGAAGGCTTTCCTTAGCCTGGTAATTATTTTTTCTTCCAAACCTCTATGCAAAGAATGTAAGTTAACTGATTAGGCTAAGGCTCTGTGCATCCTGTTGTTCTCTTTTCTGCAGTCATTTGGGTCTTTGTGTATCTTTGATGTGTGTGAATTAACATATTCTGCAGCTCCTCCCACTCACCGAGAGAAGGGGAAAAGATACCAGCCACAGCCCTTGCAGCTGAAACAAAAAACCTGAGCCTGGGTGGAGGCCAGAGGGAGGAGGAGGGCTTTTCTCCCTATCTCACCATTTGGGAGAATTTTCCCTAGAACAGGAAAAATAAAATAGTGTTCTTGTTCATGAATATTGCAGGTAGAAAAGAACACACTCTAGGGTATGCCTGAAACTCCACTCACCTTGTCTCCCTGGAAATGCTGAAGTCCATGAGTCCCAGGAAGGACCTTCACTCAACACTTCCCTAGCCTCCAACTCTCTTCCAACCCAGCCTCACCCCTGCACAGGGAGGTTTTCCTTCTACTTCAAACCATCTTTATATCAAGGGATGGTTTCATCTCTCATCCAGCTCAGGTAGATTGATTTTTTATCAATCCAGAGAATTTTTATGGAAAGAATGTGAAAGTTGCACCTGGGTGAGATGAGCTAGAGATCAGGGGAGGGAAGAGGACATTCTAGATTGGCTTCAGTAAGAGAAGAATGTAGACTCTTTCTTATTTTACTTGGAGGAAATTTTCACTTGCAGAGCTAAAGCCAGGTTCTAAGTTCCTCTTTGCTCATGCCAACTCAGAAGAAAGCACCCCTCAGAGGGGACAATGGCTTCTTCCCACAGCAGGTACCTCTACAGATTTACTTCACTGGTGGAGGTCTGCACCAAGAGCAATGCAAGCAAACTTCAACCAGACAGATCCCTGATCTTGCCTTGCTTACACACGCTGAGTACAGTCCTCTCTCGATATCTGCAGGAGATTGGTTCCAGAACCTCCTTGAAAACTAAAATCTGCAGATTTCTCCTCAAGCCCCTGATAGAAAACAGAGTAGTATTTGCAGATACCTTATATACATCCTCCCCTGTACTTTAAATCATCTCTAAATTACTTATAGTAGTACCTAATACAATGTAAATACTATTTGAAGAGTTGTTACACTCCATTGGTTTTTTATTTGCATTATTTTTTTCCAAATATTTTTCATCCTGGTTGAATTTGTAGATACGGAGCCCATGGACACAGATGGCTAACTGTATTTTGTTTGCTGTTCCCACTCAAGAGAATGGAGCAGAAAGATGAACACAGCTGGGACAATGACAGCAGCATTGCAGAGCTCACGTCAGCCCTGTACTACCTCCTGAGACCTCTCGTTATGGGAGAAGACAAATTCCTTTGTGCTTGCACTACCCTAGCAGGAATGTGTCACACACAGCTAAATGCAATCCCAACTAGGACACTTGGAATATGGCAACTCACAGCTGGGGGCTAACCCATCAATGTGTCTTGTTTGGGCAGCACAGTGTTTTAAGTAATTATACTTCAGACATGGGAAACTTCATTCAAAATCCAGATTTCTGGCTTCTTTGGAAAAGCTAAAAGGTACAGAAAGATTGGGCTTATACTCCCATGAGGCACACAGTCCCCCTGTCACTCCCTCTAATTAAGGGGAGGCTCAGTTGCCCTTTATCATCACACCTGAGCTGATGTTCGCTTGGCCTCCACAGATGTTTGGGTTCATGCCATTTGGGAATGAGCACAGGTTTGTTAGTTGGCCACCTTGGCTCTGTGTCAGTTGTGCAGCACATCTTTGAGCCCCTATTTCTTAATAGATACAACATGTACAAGAAGCGAAGGTGTTGGCTTAAGGGAGAAAATGCCAAAGTACTTAGTATGTTATCTGCTATTTCAAAGAGCCCCCAAGAAATATTAGCTCATTTCCTCTCCTCTGCAGATTTGAGATATCAATTTTCTTGTGATTGAATAACTCAGGAATGTGATGGCTCACATGTGACTTAAATACTACAGCTGTCCCTTCCAGAGGTGACACTGCCAATTTAGTGACTAAGCTCAGCTTCTGACTACTGACTTAAAGGAGGGTGCCCCTGCAGGGTCCCCATCACAGACATTAGAGTTGGATTTTGAACAATTCAGTTCAGTGAACATGGGCCTACCATAACCAAAGGGTCCATTTTCTGGTCTCCCTCTCACCCTGGGACACTTCCCTGTGTCCTTGTCCATCAAGCCCCCTTAGGCTTCCTGAATAATATTCTTCTCCATAGAAACCTTCTCCTGACAGCTACAAAGACTTATTTGCACTGGGAGCCTCTTCTACAGCAGGTAAGGCCAGCAGGCTGAAACCTTCACACCTGGGTGCCTTGGCCGATGTTATTCTCTCTGCAGGAATGCCCTTCTGGTCTTCTTCCGAGAAAAACAAAACAAAACGAAAAACTGCTGATTTGTGCAGGGCACGGTGGCTCACGCCTGTAACCCAGAACTTTGGGAGGCTGAGGTGGGTGGATTGCTTGAGGCCAGGAGTTCAAGACCAGCCTGTCCAACATGGTGAAACCCCATCTCTACTAAAAATACAAAAAATTAGCCAAGTATGGTGGCACACATCTGTAATCTCAGCTACTCAGGAGGCTGAGGCACAAGAATCACTTGAACCTGGGAGGCAGAGATGGCAGTGAGCCGTGATCGCACCACTGCACTCCAGCCTGGGTGACAAAGCAAGACTCTGTCTCAAAACAAAGAAAAAAAAAAAACTGCTGACTTGTTAATGCCAACTCCTACAAAGTTCTGCCTTCACCTCTTAGGCAGAAAGACTTGCTCCTCCTTCAGAGTCTCATTGCCAACTGAGCTCCAGTCACATGACACAGCAGTGAGTCTAGTAGGAAAGACAGTACTTTAATATACCCAGCAACCACTCAGTGTCAGGAGCTTAGAAGGTGTTTAATAAAGAAGATGGAGGTCTGCTCGCTGACTGGCTGGTGGACAGGTGGGCTACTTCTACCTGGCGGCCTACTTCTACCTGGCGGCAGATAGCCAGCAGGGAAGGATTTCCAGGCCAGCCTTACCCTTTACCCTTGCCTTTCTGCCTTCTGAGATCTTCTTTCCCTGAGGCTGGTGGGGCAGAAAGCAGCTGGACAGCTGCCCACATGGGGAGTGGGAGCAGGGGCAGCAGCCCCCCAGAGGTCTGCCTATCACAGGCCCCACCCTGTCCAGGGGCTTTCTGCCTTTGCTGCCTCTCTCTTCCCTCAGAGCCTCACAGCCTCCCTCTGGTGACGAGCTTCCCATTACATGGAGGAGGCATTGCACAGGCGCCCACCTGCTTTCCCCCATCCTCTGAGCTCTGTGTCTCCGTTCTCCCCTCACTCCTGTTCCTGGAGATGGACCTTGCCAGCTATGGGAAACTCCTTTGCCCTAGGTCCCGTATTCCCTCTCGCTCAACAGCTCCAGCAATTCTCCCCAAGCCCTCTGTTGCCCCCACGTCCTTCTCCAGGTGTTGCCTCCTCTGTCATTCCTTTGCATCAGAGTCCTAGGAAGGCTTATGTGCCCTCTCTCTAGCTCTCCTCCTTCCAATCTTTTGTAAATGTACTGAATGGTTGAGAGTATCAGTAAGTTAATGGCAGTCAGCCTGTACCCTGGCCCCTCGCAAGTCCCCAGAAACCTCCCCTTTGCTGGTGCCAAGATGACTCTCAGGCCTTAACTTACACTCCCAACCATTCTGTAAATTTCTCCTTCCTCCTGTCTGATCCTTTCTTCACTTGGCTTCCAGCACCCCACATTCTTGGCCTTCCCCCTCCCACTAGCCAATTACCCCTTCTCACTCTTTCTCTGGTTCCTCCTCATCCCTCTAACATTTACACATAGATGAACCCCCGGAGCTCTGTCTTTGGACCGCTTTTCTTTTCCATTTATAGAGCTCAACTAATCCCATGGATTTAAATGCCGTTTACATGGAGTCTAGTACACTCTTTTTATATATGCAGCTACCTACCAGACATCTCCACTTGGGGGATGTATCTGTCAGGATAAACTAGATTATGATGCAGAACAAACAACTTCAACACCTCACTGGCTTAAAATAACAAAGGCGCGTTTCTTGTTCGTGCTACCCGTCCACCACAGGGCAGCTGGGGCTTCTGTGAATTCTTATCATTCAGGGGTCCCCAGGCTGATGGAGGCTCCACTTATCAGCAGCCATCTCAACATGAAGCACTCTCCTAGCCCTCAACACACAGCAAACATGTCTAGCTAGTCTCCTCTCTGCCATGACCTTAGGTAATTTTCAGAAAGGATACATACATACATGCACAAATAAATGTCTACTTCATAAACCTCACATACAACAATGCTCACCCATAAACAACATAATTAACAAAATTTTCACAGCCTCCTCCACCTAAGATGGAATTATAACAAAGTCTTGTGGGCCTCCAGCAAAAGAAGGTTTTTCTCCAGGGAGGTGCTCATAATGTTTAACAACCAGCTCTCTCAGAAACCAAAAAAAACCCCGATTTATATTGTTTGCCAATTACCATAGTGTAAATACCCCCACCATGGCCAATTTCAAGTCAACATGAGTTTAACACCCAGCTCTCAAATTTACTGAAAATGTAACCATTGGCTTTTGTGAGCTGGTCTGAGCCAGCCACTGGTTTCATCCCAAACTTTTCTTTACCACATCCCTTGATTTACTCTCCAGAAAAAAAAGAAAAAAAGAGCAAAGAGAGGAAATATATGCCAGGCACTGCAACAACACTGTGTGCATTATTTAAGACCAGTGTTAGTTAGTATATTGTTTCCACTGCTTTAACAAAAAGACTCAAAATCACTTGTACACCAATGCTCATAGCAGCATTATTCACAGTAGCCAAAAATGTGGAAACAACCCAAGTGTCCATTGACCAATGAATGGATAAGCAAATGTGATACATTCATACAATGGAATATTATTCAGCCTTAAAAAGGAAAGTGATTCTGACACATGCTACAACATGGGTGAACCATGAAGGCATCACGCTAAATGAAAGAAGCCAGTCACAAAAGACAAAAATTGTATGATTCCACTTGTATGTACCTAGAATAGTCAAATTCATAGAGACAGAAAGTAAGATAGGGATTATCTGGGGCTGGAAGAGGGTAAAATATGGAGTTGTTATTTAATGGATACAGAGTTTCTGTTTGAGATGGGAAAAACCTATTCTGGAAACAGATCATGATGATGGTCACACAACATTGTAAATGTACTTAGTTCTACTGAATTGCATGCTTAAAAATTGCTTAAAATGGTAAATTCTGTGTTATGCATATTTCACTACAATACAAAAATGAAAAAAAAAACTCAAAATTATGAAGGCTTAATACCATTTCTGCCACTTATAAAAAGCTGAGTAGGTAGACCAGGGCTGGTAAGGTAACCGCATGATTATCAGACCAAGGCTCCTAGTACCTGGTTCCTCTGCCACTCAGCATGAGGCTTCTCCCTCATGGTCCAGATGGCAACTTCTCTTTTGTTGTTGTTGTTTTTTTTTTTTTGAGACGGAGTCTCCCTCTGTCACCCAGGCTGGAGTGCAGTGGCACGATCTCGGCTTACTGCAGCCTCCGCCTCCTGGATTCGAGCAATTCTCCTGCCTCAGCCTCCTGAGTAGCCGGGACTAGCGGTGCTCACCACCATGCCTGGCTAATTTTTGTATTTTTAGTAGAGACAAGGTTTCACCATGTTGGCCAGGCTGTTCTCAAACTCATGACCTCAAGTGATCCTCCTGCCCTGGCCTCCCAAAGTGCTGGGATTACAGGCATGAACCACCGTGCCCGGCCCAGATAGCAGCTTCTACTCCTAGAATCACATCAGCATTCCAGCCAGCAGAAAGAGAGAACACTGGAAAGGGAAGCATGTTCTTACCTTTCAAGGGTATGGCCTGGGTATTGCACACATCACTTCCACTTTTATCCCAATAAGCAGAATTTATTTATTTATCTAATTAGCCAGGCATGGTGGTGCATGCCTGTGGTCCCAGCTACTTGGGAGGCTGAGGTGGGGGAGTCTCTTGAGCCCAGGAGGTGGAAGGTACATTGAGCCAAGATCATACGATTGCACTCCAGCCTGGGTGAAAGAATGAGACCCCATCTCAAAAAAAAAAAAAAAAAAAAAAAAAGAACTTCTTTCTCTAGCTGCCATAGAGGCTGGGAAGCACAGTCTTCAATCCACACAGTATTTGTTCAGCTAAAAATTCTACTGCTCTGTAAATGGTGGGGGGGGGGTGGGGGAGGCATAGATATTGGGATATAGTTAACAATCCCTATCAAAAGCATAGTAACCCTATGAAGTAACTCCTATTACCCCATTTTAGAGATTGAGAGACCAAGGCTCAGACTAGTTAAGTAACTCACCCAACGTCATTCTAAGTGAATGGCAGACTTGAAAAACCCTTTCCACTACATTATGCTCACTCCCTCCAGGAAGTAAAGTTCATCTGCAGTTCCCTCGGAGACACTGCGAGAGAGAGGGTAGGCTGGGAGCAGAGGGTGGAGGTAAGGGAAGCCACACTGTAGCTGAGCCCACAGACTCACCCCTTGTGGCATTTAGGATGATAGATATGAGGGGACATGGAGTTGCTGAGTGGCTGGAGTGCAGTGCCGTAGGCTCATCACTGGCCCGTGAAAGTCACTTATTAAATGATCAGAAACGTTGTGAACCAGTGGTTAAACACAGCCATTGTAAAATTAAATTTCATAAACTTACAATTAAATAAATTATATTAAAAACAAAGGTAATAAATACCCAAACTCATCACTTCTTAATTATTTTACTGCGTCTTACTGTCTTCTATGCTCTTAAGGGTCTGGTATCTATTGTGTCTTGATGGTGGAATCCTCCCTGATGGGGGCTACTGCCCAGCTCCTCCTTACTCTGTGCTCAGTGACGTCTCCTGGATAGCCTGATATCAGCTGTGGGGGAAATGTTTACAACACAGAAATCAGCAGAGACTACAGAACAGAGGCTTCAGCCACTTCCTAGCACAAGACTGCATACGCATATACAGGCGGTATAACCGGGATCACTGAGGAGCCTGCAGGTTGGGCTGAGTAGAGAAGGCCTGCGCTCCTTTCTCTGACTGGCTCCCCATCCCTCTTCTCTCCTGCATTCTGACCTCTGTTAATAAAAAGACCTCACTTTATCTTTAAGAGAATTTCTGATACACAAAGTGTTCAGGGATTGAAGTAGACAAATAATTTGGGTTAATGTGCATATCCCTGTTGTCACGTGGTCCTTGGTAGAGGGCTTGTGGGGGGTCCACTGTGGCTCCCAAGCCCCCTCCACCCTACCACAAGCTGCTGCGCAGGTGGAGCGTCCCCACTTTTCCCAGAAGGTGAAGCCAGGATGGAGGAGGAAAGGCTCCTGTAAACAATGGCTCCCTCTGCCCTTTGAATGGATAATGTCGGTTTCCCTCTTGGAAATGAATCAGGCAGCCACGTGGTATCCTCTGCCAGCCCTCTGCTGCTTTCAGTATGACATGCAGGCAGTTGGGGGCTGGAGAGTGAGGGAGGTGAGATGCACAGCCAGCCAGATTTGAAGATGAACCTGGGCGTGGCTCAGCCAGAGGAGAAGGACACCAAGTTCCCAGGAATTCCTGGCCATCAGGCTCAGGAGCACTGCTTCTCACTCAGCCAGACACATGCAATCACCCACATCTCAACTCCAAAGCAGAGAAAATGAAAACCAAAAGAAGCTTTAAACATGGGGAGGACCCTGTCTCATTTTTCTGTACCAAAAATAAAAGCAGCTTGGAGAAAACATTACCTAGAATGCAAAGCATAGCCCCCTCAGCCCTCCACTGAGGCCTCCTTCTCTCCAAAGACTGTCTTATCTATCCAAAGACTTGCTCTGCTACTCTTGCAGGTTAGGTTCCTCGAAGCAGAGGCTGAGTTTAATAGGGGTCAATCCTGGCGGGGCAGGATGAGCTGAGGAAGACGCCAATCTGTGACTCAGGCCCCACACAGCCATGGTCAGCCAAGGGCCTGGAGCAGGCTCGCCTGGCAGTATCCACATTTGGTCCAAGTGGCCAGACTCTCACACCCTGGCTCCTAAGGGGTTGGATACAGACTCCCTGGGGGTGTAACCTTGGGCAAGGTACACAGGAAAGAGCTTACAACCAGCAGCTGACTGCACGCCCGCAGCTGGCCACTGTGCCTTCCTGAAGGGGAGCTGGGCAGTGCAGCTCTGTGTCCACCACACAAACCCATAATGTTTTGACACTACCTGTGGAGCTGATGCTCTTGGCAGGACCGTATCTGCCTCTCCAAACCAACAGGAGCTTGAATATTCACATCATCGTTGTTCAGCCCTGTGGCCTGAGCTTGTCACTTGATTTCTGCTTCTAAGCCTCTATTTCCTTGTCTGTGAAATGAGACATAAAGACTCTATGAACTGAGGACATAGCGGGCCCTGGATACGGTGCGTGCCTTTCTCCTCCTCTCCTGCCTCTCGTCCCCACCCTCCATGAGGTGGCCAAGACCTTCTTATTCTTTATTCTCTACAAACGCACATTCTTTACCCTCATTTCTCTCAGCTCCCCAGGGCCCAGCTCCTCCCTCACCTAGGGCTGTTTGGCAGAGCCCCCTTTTTCTTTTTTCTTTTTTTTTTTTTTTTTTTTTTGAGACAGAGTCTCGCTCTTTCACCCAGGCCGGACTGCAGTGGCATAATCTCGGCTCACTGCAAGCTCCATCTCCCGGGTTCACGCCATTCTCCTTCCTCAGCCTCCCGAGTAGCTGGGACTACAGGCTCCCGCCACCGTGCCTGACTAATTTTTTTTGTATTTTTAATAGAGACGGGGTTTCGCTATGTTAGCCAGGCTTGTCTCAAACTCCTGACCTCGTGATCTGCCCGCCTTGGCCTCCCAAAGTGCTGGGATTACAGGCGCCCGGTCAGAGCCCCCTTTTTCAAAGCATCTGTCCTGCTCCCCACATCCCAGGGGCAAGATCTCTAAAAGAGCAATTGACCAAGTCTCCCTACCTCTGTTCCTTGCTCCCAATTTAAATCCCCAATAGCCCCC
This sequence comes from Homo sapiens, assembly GCF_000001405.40. NCBI lineage: Eukaryota > Metazoa > Chordata > Mammalia > Primates > Hominidae > Homo > Homo sapiens. The sequence continues at coordinate 43,746,842 of NC_000003.12, read as the reverse complement.
TGAACTTCCAAGCTGGATAAGTTTCTTACTGCTGCTGTAACAAATGAACACAGCAACATGAATCCATCATCTTATAGTGCTGGAGTTAAGAAGTCCACAACGGATCTCATGGGACTAAAATCAAAGCATCCACAGGGCTGTGTTCCTTTCTGGAGGCTCAAGGAGAGAATCTGTTTCCTTACCTTTTCCAGCTTCTAGAGCAGGGGTCCCCAATCCCGGGACCACAGACAGGTACTGGTCCGTGGCCTATTAGGACCAGGCTGCACAGCAGGAGGTGAGCAGCAGGCAACCAAGAGAAGCTTCAACTGTGTTTACAGCCACTCCCCATCACTTGCATTACTGCCTGAGCTCCACTTCCTTTCAGATTAGTGGGGCATTAGATTCTCATAGGAGCATGAACCCTACTGTGAACTGTGAATGCATGTAAGGGATCTAGGTTGGGTACTCCTTATAAGAATCTAATGCCTGATGATCTGTCACTCCCATCACCCCCAGATGGGACCATCTAGCTGACCATCTAGTTGAAGGAAAACAAGCTCAGGGTTCCCATTGATTCTACATTATGGTGACTTGTATAATTACTTCATTATATATTATAATGTAATAATTATAGAAATAAAGTGTACAATAAATATGATATTCTTGAATCATTCCAAAACCATTCCCCTCCCCACACCATCCATGGAAAAATTGTCTTCCCCAAAACTGATCCCTGGTGCCAAAAAGGATGGGGACCGCTGTTCTAGAGACTGCCTATACTCCTTGGCTTATGGGCCCCTCCATCTTCAAAGCCAGCAGTAACCTGTCAGGTCTTTCTCACATCACATCAATGTGACATTGACTCTCCTGCCTTTCTCTTCCACATTTAAGGCCCCTTGTGATTACACTGGCCCACCTAGATTATCCAGGGTACTATCCCATTTAAGGTCAGCTGGTTAGAAACCTTAACTCCTTCTGCTATCTGAATTCCCCCTTGCCATGTAACATAACAGGCACAGGCTCCAGAGATTCAGGCCTGGACATCTTTGGGGGGAAGTTACGTTGTCATTTTGGCCACGGTCAGAATCCCTTCACCAGGGTCTTCTTAACACAATGCAGCCAGAGGAAACTTTCAAAAAACAAGCCAGTCTGTGATCCCTGATTACACTCTCCAATTGACATTAAGAAAAGAATCCTGAACCAAATTACCTAATCTAGGCTCTCTGGCCTCTGCCTTTCCATTGCCTCATTTCAGGCTCCTCTTTCCTCCTGTCTTTCCTACCAACCCACAAATGTCAGAGAGTCCCTGTCCTCACCTCGTCCTGTCCTGCCACCTGTCTTCCCTATCCTGCCGCCTGCTGTGCCCACTGTGTGAATTACCCCTCTCTTCCCTCTGTGTCTGTCACATCTTCCTCAGTCTCCAGGTCCTGAGCAAGTCATTTCCTGGGGGCAGCCTCTGAGCTCCCTGCCAAGCTGCTGCCTCTCCTCCTTGCATTTGCAGTGACTTGTTTAACAACTAATCACATAAGTGAAAACTGCTGTGGGGATGGTGTCATAGGCAGAATAATGCACCCCCAAAAGTGTCCAGGTCCAAATCCCCACAACTAGTGAATATGTTACCTTCCACGCAAAAGGGACTTTGCGGGTGGGATTAAGTGAAGGATCTTAAGATGTGGAAATTTTCCTGGATTATCTCAGTAGGCCCACTGTAATCATAAGGGGCCTTATAGGTGGCACACAAGAGAGTCAGACATTAGAAAAAAGAGACATGACAGAACCAGAGGTTGGAGTGAGGCACATTGAAAATGAAGGAAGGGGCCACAAGCCAAGGGATGCAGGCAGCCTCCAGAAGCTGGAAGGGGCCAAGAAACAAATCATTCTCTGAAGCCTCCAGAAGGAACCAGCCTTGCTGGCACCTTGATTTTAGACGTCTGGCCTCTAGAACTATAATACAACAAATTTGTGTTTTTGTAAGCCTCAAGTTTGTAGTAATTTGTTACAGAAGCAAAGGAAAACTAATACAGACAGGAACTGAGTCTGTGTCTGCTCAACATGGTATCACCCAAGCCCACAGCAGTGCTTCCCGTAGAGTGGAGGCTCATTAAGTATTTGATGCATGGACAAATGAGCCTGGCAGGAGATAGTGAATTAAACCCCCCAGCAGACAGACTGTAAGAGCTCCTGCTCTTCACTGTTCCTCATGCCTGTGCTTCCCCAACGCTTTCAATTCCCAAAGGAAGAAATGTGGAAAACCACTTCTCAGAGTTGGCTGTGAAAGACAAAAAAAAAAAAAAAAAGGGTGGGGGGAAGATTAGAATAACAGGCTGCAGGGGTGGAGGGGTCCAGGAGATGCCACCTACCATACTAATCTCAAGCCAGAAGGGACTATGGCTCACAGCCAAGACCTCTGGTACCAAAGAAGAGACTGCCCAGTGGCAAGACTCTTCCAGGCTACCCAGCCTATGGGGCGGAGCAGGGAGAGTTCCCAGGACCCCTGGGTGAGTGGAGGTGCCTTTGGAGGGCCATAGTCAGGGGATCTCGCTAGCCTTAGCGAATGAGGGACCTACCTGGCCAGGCTGAGTCTGCTTGGACAGGCCGTGTTGGGAGGGCAGCTCTGAAGGCCCTGCTGTGCTGCATGCACAAATGCAAGGAGCTCTGACAGCTTTTTCTCTCATAAGTTCAAACGCAGTGAACCAACAAAGGAGGTGTGATATGGCAGGAGGCAGGGGAGGAGAGAACCAACTGGTTGTGGGGGGAGGCGTGGGGGTGAAGCAGGGAATTCAAATGTTTCTGTAATGTTTATTTCCTAAAAAATAAACTGAATATGACAGAATGCTAACATTTATTAACTCTAGGAATGGGTTATATAATTCTACAATTCTCTAAATTTTTCTGTGTTTAAAATATTTTTAAAAGAATAGAAAAATGGAGAAAGTATTGTTTTCTGATATGTATTCATAAATGAATCACACTAATTCTCTCTCTTTCTCTGTCTCTCTCTCTCTCTCACACACACACACACACACACATTTCTACATAGGCTAATTGTCCATTCCTGTCTCCTTTTCCTCTCATCACTAAAATAATTTTCTCTGTACATAGAATTTATATAATCACAGCAGACTTAGTGCTTTTTAAAAATTCAATGAGTTTTCTTATCAGTTTAATTATTTCAACACATTGTTCAAGTTAATTAACTTTCATTGAGTTGATTTACTTTTATAGAAAAAAAGGTTTTTAAGCTCAGAAAAGATTTTTAGAAGTCAACAATATAGAAATGAATGTCGTTGAAATTCTAGTTGTAAAAATACTTATCTATATTTTCCAATCACCCTACCAGCTACCACCTAGACATAAACTCTTAATAATTTGTATATTTCTTTTTGATCTTTTTCTTAAAGCAGAGGTGAAAATATGTGACTTATGGAAATGCGTATTCTTTTTCCCCTTAACATTGCATCACAAGCACTTTATCATACCACTAAAAACTCTTTCTATGCATAATTTTAATGAATCTTTAACACTCATTTTAACGTGTACCATAAATTGTCTCTACTCGTCAACATTTAGCATGTTCTATTCTTTCCCTATTACTATACTGCTGAGACAAACATCTTGGCATATGAATCTTTGACCCCAATGATGTTTATTTTCTTAGGGAAGTTTCCTAGAATTGAAACTGCCCTGTGTTACTGAGTGAAAGGGCATACAAGTTTTTAAGTTTCTTGATATCAGCTGCCAAATTGCCTTCTAGAAAGGATGTAACAGTGTCACGTGGCCACCAGAGAGTGTCTGTGCTCCAGTCAGTTTGGCAAGAATTTAGAAAATCTAGTTCATTGGTTTAATTTGCTTTTCTCTGATCGCTCATGAACTTGAACATTTTCCCTCAACTGTCTTGAGCATTTTCATGTCTATTTTTGCCTATTTGTATTCTTTGCCCACATTATCTCTGGATTCTCAGTGTTACTCCTGTCTTGTGGATATGAGTCCTTTATTTACTAAGCACATAGCCCTTTGTCTATTATATACATGAAAAGCATTTTGCTCCAGTTTACCTTTTGCCTCTTAATTTTGCATATGATGCTTTTGGTGCATGGACAGTAGTTTATGTAGCTTTATCTATTGATCTTTTCCTTTCAATTGAAATAAACCAAACAACAACAGTCCACATAAAAACATAACCCAAAACTTCAATTTGAAATACAAAGAACTGGTGACGTGGCTCACACCTGTAATCCCAGCACTTTTGGAGACCAAGGCAGGAGAAGCCCAGGAGATTGAGGCCAGCCTAGGGAACATAGCGAGATCCTGTCCCTACAAAAAGTTAAAAAATGAGCCAGGCTTGGTGGTGCATGCCTGTAGTCCCAGCTACTTGGGAAGCTGAGGCAGGAAGATTGCTTGAACCCAGGAGTTAGAGGCTGTGGTGAGCTATGATCACACCACTGCACTCCACCCAGTGTGACAGAGCAAGGCTGTCTCTAAAAAAATAAATAAAAAGTAAAAAGTAAACATAAAAATATAAAGAACCAAAAACAGGCAAGATGAAACAGGTGACCATTTAATTTTCTGATTCACTTGAAATGTACTTTGGTATACAGCAGAAAGTGGAAACTCTCAATTGGCTTTTTTCCTCAAATAGCTAATCAGTGTCCTAACACCATTCGTTGAACAATAGTTTAATTTCCACAGTGATTTATTGCCTTTTATTTATTTATTTATTTATTTATTTTTTGAGATGGAGTTTCGCTCTTGTTGCCCAGGCTGGAATGCAATGGCACACTGCAACCTCTGCCTCCCGCGTTCAAGTGATTCTCCCACCTCAGTCCCCTGAGTAGCTGGGATTACAGGCATGCGCCACCATGCCCAGCTAATTTTGTATTTTTAGTAGAGATGGGATTTCACCATGTTGGCCAGGCTAGTCTTGAACTCCTGACCTCAGGTGATCTATGCACCTTGGCCTCCCAAAGTGTTGGGGTTGCAGGCATGAGCCACTGTGCCCGGCCAATTTATTGCTATCTTTATCATGGATTATATTTTGTTGTGTGCTAGTGTTGCTATTTGACAACAGTGGACGCCCCTGCTCTTGAAATTCTCTCTTTCTGTGGTTTCTCCCAGTTCTCCACCTATCCTACCTCGCTGAATAAAATGCTTCCATCTCCACTGCTCTTCCATTTCCAAAGCTGGCCACCAAGAACAGAGGCTCCCTGGAGCTGCAGCCTGGGCCTCGGCTCCCCTCAATCCATGCTGCTCCCTATGCTGTGGTCTTCCCTCCTGCTGTGTGTCACTGCCACCCTCTTCCTAATGATGCCCAGGTCTTGATATCCAGCCCATGCCTCTCTCCTTAGTTCCTGACCAACTGCCTCCTGATGTCCTGTGTAAAGAGACATCTCAAAATCAATCTTTCCAAAATTGCGTGTGTCACCTATTCCATCAGAACTTTTCTGGCTGGTTTACAGGCTCAGAGTTTGGGTTGAGTTTCCTCGAGGGTGTGTGGTGTGTGTGTGTGGGCGGGGGGGGGTTGTAGGGGAGTGTGTTATAAGCATGCATAGTAGCCATCATAGTAACAAGCACCTTGCGAGGGTGCAGGGAACACCAGAATCCAGCCAAGTTCTCGAGGTCACTCAGTCCTGCTCCAGTCACAGCAGCTTGGGGCACCTCAGCAGCAAGAACCTGCCCCTTCACACCAGTAATCTGCCATCAAAAGGACTCAATCTCTCCCTGAGTCTGCCCTGGCCTCTGAGCATGACTGGCTCACACTTTCCCTCTCCAATCACATCTCTAGTCTACACAAGGACTCTTCTTTACTTGTAACTTGAGTGGCCCATCTGACCCATCATGGCCCCCATCCTACCCCTTGGCTTCTTTCACCTTCAGCTTCCATCAACTGTGTCATTCTTTCCATTTCTCAGTTCAAATTCTTGAGCACAGGAATCTGACCAACCTTGATCCTTTCACTCCAGACCATGCAGGTTAACAATGCTGATACTGCTTTACGTCTATATTGGAACTGAATGGTTAAGTGGATTGATGATGGGTGATGGGAGCCAGTGTTCTTACTCTTGGAACAGGACTTCACAGGTAAGCCAGAGGCACCAGAGGCTTTGCTTCTCCAATGTCCTTGTTTTGACCCCCCTGTTGTCTTTTGGCTTTCCCAAGGACCACTCTAGATAGAGTCTGTCTTGTGGCCCTTTCAGCTATAATCCACTATTATTATTACTATTATTATACTGGAAACTGCTAGTATGGTGATAAGGTATTGGGGAGGGAACACCTGCTTCCCCCACCCCAACCCACCCTGCCCTTAGGCCCTTAGAGGAGTTGGGAAGGCCAATGTGTGCAGAGTGGGAAAGGCCCCATCCTCCAGATGAGCCTAAGGCTCTGGTGAAATTTTTCCTGGAGTACTCTCCTTTGCTATGGAGAACACACTGGGTGTATTCCACAATGGTTACTTTTCCTTCCCCTTGCCAGAGCCAGGATGGATGGGATATTTCTTGATTCTTCATCATGAGATGATGGGGTCCCTAAAGATAAAACCCACAGAACTATGGCCCCCCCATCTAAAACTGCTGCCCCCAAAATTTCCCACTCTCATGCTTGCCCACACTCAGCCTCCAGCAATTCCTTTAAATCACCATGTAAGCATTCCTACCAGAGTGCCTCCAGCAGCTTCTGCTCCAGGGAAACAGATCTCAGCTAAGATCTGTGGATTTGCCTACCTCTCCAGATTTTGAAGTGGCAGTTAGCCCTGTGACCTCAGTTATTCAATGGGTCCAAAAAATGTCATTGATTTTTAGTTTTTGGTGGGGGGGAAGGGGCTTTTATCTTCTTTGAGGACAGGAGTAACAATTTTCAAGTTCTTTACAGGTCAGAGTTGAAAACAAGAGATTTATTTTTCAGGAGGTTTTCAAATTTGAATTAAATTTATTTAATGGTTATAGGACTATTTAACCATTAAAGAAGTTGAATTTGTAATTTAAAAGCTCCCCAAAAAGAAATCTTGCAGGCCCAGATGGTCTCACTGGGTACTTCTACCAAACATTGAATAATCCTATAACTTGGTTTTTTTAAAATGCTCCACCTGAGTGACTTGACTCCTTTGTTGTAGATCTAATCATCTCTTTCCATTACCACATTTTTCATTTTATTTTATTTACTTTATTTATTTATTATTATTATTATTATTATTATTATTAATTTTTTTTTTTTTTTTTTTTGAGAGAGAGTCTCGCTCTGTCACCCAGGCTGGAGTACAGTGGTGCAATCTCGGCTCACTGCAAGCTCTGCCTCCTGGGTTCACGCCATTCTCCTGTCTCGGCCTCCCAAGTAGCTGGGACTACAGGTGCCCACCACCACGCCTGGCTAATTTTTTGTATTTTTAGTAGAGACGGGGTTTCACCATGTTAGCCAGGATGGTCTCGACCTCCTGACTTCGTGATCCACCCGCCTCAGCCTCCCAAAGTGCTGGGATTACAGGCGTGAGCCACCGCGCCCGGCCCACATTTTTCATTTTAAACTAAAATGTATTTCTAGTTTGTATGTCTACTTATGTATTTCATATGATCCCAGTATTGACCACTAGAATATGAGTTACAATTATTCTATCCTTGCACACTTACTTAAGCACCATATTCACTTCATATTTCAGCATATTTCCTTATTCTTCCATTTGAAGCTTAATTTTCTTTTCTATCTCTTTCTCTGTATACTTTGTGGCTTTGCTGATAGAGTTTGAAACACATACAGAAATAAACAAATGATCCATTATACCAATTGAGTTTGAGAGTGGCAAGTGCAGCTCTGTTGAATTTTCACCAGCATCAATTTTTTTTAAAAAGTCACTAGTACTGGCCGGGCACAGCAGCTCATGCCTATAATCCCAGCACTTTGGGAGGCCAAGGCAGGCAGATCATGAGGTCAGGAGTTTGAGACCAGCCTGGCCAATATGGTGAAACCCCATCTGTACTAAAAATACAAAAATTACCGGGCGTGGTGGTACACGCTTGTAATCCTAGCTACTCAGGAGGCTGAGGCAGGAGAATTGCTTGAACCCGGGAGGCGGAGGTTGCAGTGAGCTGAGATAGTGCCACTGTACTCCAGCCTGGGTGACAGAGCGAGACTCTGTCTCAGAAAAAAAATAAATAAAAGTAAAAAAAAGTCACTAGTACAACTCTTAGTCACTCTCCTGCTTTGCCATTCAAGGGCTGGTTTCTCTAACCATCTGTATGTCGCTAAGGAGGGCACAATGGCTGCCCTAAATCATAGCTGGTACCATGATTTAAACATTACGCTGGGGATCTGTGAAGGCAGAAGCCATGTCCTAATCCTTAGCTCCCTGTCTCCCTCTCTGGGCTTTAGCACAGCCAAGCAAACAAAACAAAACAAAACAAACAGAAACCTGGGCACAATTGGGGCAGTAGTTACATCAGCTCTGCCCTAGGGCCAACAAAAATCTTGGGAGGTCCCCAGGCCAGGGTTCCCAAACCAGGCTGCATATCCAGGTAACCCAGGAAACTTGTCAAATACAGATTCCTGGCCTTCAGTCCAAGAGAGTCTAATTTAGAAGACCAGGCCTCAGAAGTTTTAACAAGGCCTCAAATGTCATTCTGCTACCAGTTTTAGAAACCTGCAATCCACTGCGTTCCTCCATCTCCAGAGAGCAGGCTACCTGAACAGGTCTCAGAACCTGCAAAAGGGCTTCTTTTTCTAGAGATTTTTTTTTTTTTTTGAGATGGAGTCTTGCTCTGTCGCCAGGCTGGAGTGCAATGGCGCGATCTCTGCTCACTGCAACCTCTGCCCACTGGGAGATTTTTTTTAGAAAATTATCTTTGGTTACTCTTCCCTGGTGGGATTCAATTCATAAACTTTCTTGAGCAACTCATTCAGCTCCTAAGAATACTACAGCCCAATTCAGAGGCTGGAGTCACAACAAGAGATGAGAAGTGTGCTTAAGTTTCTGGGTGAGCAGTGTGAATGCTATTGTGGTATAATGGGTCCCCAGCTCCAGAGCCAAGATCAATCAGGAATTTTAAAAGCAGCAGGTGGAGATGCTGCTGTATTCATTGGACCTGGGCCTGGGTATTTTGATAGGTGATGCACATGACCCAGCTGAGCAGGCCAGACCCTTCCAAAGCAGTGGCTTTTTACATATCCCGCTGATACCTCCCTTAGGCTCTCACTGGCATATCCCTTCTCGCTCCAAGTCCATTTCTCCAGCCTTGCCTCATTTAGTGCCCAACTTCGGAGCATGGCACTCCTGTCCCAGTATTTGCTGGGCAAGCTCCCCTGTCCAGAGCAGAACTTCTGATGATGGTTTTTGCCAACAGATGGAGCTTTTCAGAGAAATGAGTTTTCCATCTTTTTTTTTTTTCCCAGTCTGGATCAAATTCACAGAAAGCAGCACCTGCTTCAATCTCTTTTCTGTACTTTGCTTCAATCTATTTTCTGTACTTTGTCCTGCCCTTGGTCTGTGGGAGCAGCTGGTGCCCAAAGGTGAACTCAGTTTGATTACAGAACGGTGTTCCCAACTGCTCTGGGAACCCTGGAATGGAGTTCCAAAGAAGTGAGACTTGTGACTGGCTTAGTCCATTCTTAGATGTGTGGTTCTGCCCCAGAGGGCTGTCACTACTTAATGCCAGACCCAGCCACACCCTGCTTCCACAGTGGAGCACTGCTGAATAAGTGCCACGAAGCAGGGAGGCCAAATTCCACGGGGCCAGGTCATTAGGTGGTCTGCCTTCCTCACCCTCTGGGAATAGGATATCACATAACCCTTCATTCTTCTGATAACCACTGAGAAGCTGATTATCCTGGAGCGTGATACCTTTGGGCAGGCAAGTGGCCCTCCCACTTTCTTTTCTGAAGCTATTTCTCAATCTGTCACCCCACCAAAAACCAGAGTCCTAGCACTTAACCATTCCCAGAGAGGACAGTCTAGGTTGTGAGGCTTGTTTTCTTTTTATCTCACTCTCAAGACTACAACGTATGGTTTTGCAGTCTGTGTACTGCATCATTCCAGGGTGACACCATTTATACAGACTGAGATAAACGATGCAGTGCTCTGATAACCTTAATCCTTCTCATTTGTCTCGCCCAAAACCCTTCTGACCCATTTACGTCATGTGTCTATACCATAGGTCAGCAAATTCTGACTCACAGGCTGGCCACATGGTTTTGTAAATAAAGTTTTATTGGCATAAAGCCACACCCATTCATTTACATCTGGCTGCTTTTACACTGCAACAGCAGAGTTGAGTAGTTCCATCAGGGTCCATATGGCCTGCAAAGCCTAAAATACTTACTATCTGGCCTTTTACAGAAAATGTGGGCCAACCCCAGCTCTAAATGGAAGGGATCCAGCATCTTTATTCTTTTATCTGGTTGTCCAAAGCCCCAACCTGTACCATCCCCAAAGCTCCAAAATCGCCAAGGAGGTCAGACATACCTAGATTTGTGGCAGGCTTTCACCTCTTTGCAAATCAACCTTTCCAGGCTCTGTCTCCTCATGGGGATGATAACAGCACGCCTCATGGGGTGTTGCGAACATCAGTGAAATGGCCTATGAGACCCTCAGGTGGTTATTCAGTACATCTTAATGTGTGGAGAAACTGAGGTCTGGGAGGTGATTTCTGACTCCCGGGGTTGTTGAGCAGGTCAGAGGAGAGGGGTCACGAGAATGCAGGTGGCATGCAGCCATCACCCACTCAGTGATTGTCGTCTTCATTTCCTTTATCTTCTTCCTCTCTCCTTTCCCATCTCCCAACTTACCATCAAGCCTCCTCCCCATCCCATTGTGAGGATGAGGCCAGGGATCCCTGATAGGCTTGGGAGGTGGACAGGGTATTTTTGACAGATGTGTGTGGTCATAAGGGCCTCCCCGAGAGCTGAAGGCTAAAGTTAGGAACATCAACTCTCACCCTAGAAAACCCTCACACTTCTGAAGGCGTGACCAGGCCTGGGAGGCCACATTCTCCACTGCAGGCCCTGCCTCCCGCAGCCTGTGTCACCTTTACTCGGGTGATGAGCCTCTCTGCCCATGGGGCCCCTCATGTAAAACTAACAGGAGAGGCCTCCAGCTCAGGGCAGGCCACAGCTGACCTCAAGTCCACAGAGCACCCAGGGCTGGCATAGGGGTGGAGACTTCTGTTCTTTGGCCCAGCATCTCAATTCCTTGCCATGACTCCCATCCCTTGTTCTGAAAAATCCAGAACTAGCCCCTCTGAGCTTTCTCTGGCCACTCATTAGTGAGGGGATAAGGAGACACAAAATAACTACAAGTCCAAAAGTCAGGTGGGAGGAGAACCACTGAGAAGGCTGGGTATGGATGAAGCAGTGTGGGTGAGGGGAATGCAGAGTGTTTCATTTTGAACCATAAATCCCAGCACACCAGGTACCAGGTTAGCGAAGCCCTGGCCTTGTCCCTATGGGACAATGAGAGCACTTGTTCTCATTCCCCAGACACTGAGAAAGGCAGGGAGCTGGACCCAGGAGAGCTGCTGAGAGCAGGGAGCTGCCTCCTCCATCAAGTTTACCAGCATGGTGGGAGGTGGCTGGGAGTAGAGAAGAGGGGTTTCCAAACCTACCAGAATGCTGGCACCTGCGGTCTAGACATACCTGCTAAGATTGACCTCAGATCATTGCCTACCCCTGGTCCCGATCTCCATCATACTTCCTAGAGGAGTTGGGACAGAGTGAGCCTTCAGCCCAGACTTCTCTTTATAGTATATAAACAATTGTGGTTTTGGCCATTAAAAGTAATGGCCAAAACCGCATTTACTTTTGCACCAACCTAATACTTTCTCTCCTTTGTGCCCCCAAACTCTTCTCTCCTACAATCAAACATCTTCAGGAATTCTAGGCCCCATTTTAGAAATTCAGCATGATTTGGTTCAATAATTATTCAGTGAGTACTCACTCTGGGCCGGACATGAGCAGGTGTTTCTACTTAGAGGTTTCAGCATCACATCAAATGCAAACTAAATTTTCTAGAAACTAAAGACTGCATATTTATTCAAATATATCCAGTGCTTCAGTTTAAGGCAAGCTTCTCCAATCCATGGCTGCAGGCCACATTCAGCCCAGTATGACTTTGAATACAGCCCAAAACAAATTTTTAAGCCTTCTTAAAGCATTATTAGATTTTTTTGCATTTTTCTTTTAGCTCATCAGATATCGTTAGTGTTAAGTGTATTTTATGTGTAGCCCAAGATAATAATGCTTCTTCCAGCGTGACCCAGGGAAGCCAGAAGGTTGGACATCCCTGGTTTAAGGCTTCCTCTCTGTTTTTACACCTCACCATCCCCTATTTTCATGATGACCTTACACCCTCCGGAAAATTCAAGAAATCCCATACCCATAAGCCCTTCCTTTTAAGGTGACTTTCTTGGATCAGGGTCTCTAGTAGCAAAGCCTAAGAAAAGAATTCTTATATATTGGGTTTTGGGGGCTCTCAAGAAACGCGAGGAGAGAGAAATAGGCTGGAGTGAGGGAAAGAGCTAATTAAGGATGTAGTTTAATCTGAAGTTTAACTTCAGCCAGTCCCACAGGTGCCCAGGAACACAAATTGCACCACAGACTGGGTCCCACCTGGAGGCAAGAGGGCAGGCTTTCTGCACCCACGTGTCAGTCAATCATCGGCTGCAGGGGTGTGATCTCCCAGGTGAGGAAGCAGCTGTTTGGCCAAGGGCAATTCTGCAGAGGAGACAGCTATAAGCCACTAGGGGACATCTTCCTGACAGTTGGGGGTAGTTGCACCAGCACCGTAAAGAGCACCAAGGCATCTACTGACAGCATCCATTCATGGTCACCAGAAAGCACACTGCAGAGGGAGAGATCCTTGAATTACTATTCATCCAAGCCCAGCATTCCACAGACAAGAAAACTGGTGCAGACTGGGTGACTTGCCAAGGCCACTCAGCTCATTGGTTGGGGCACTGGGACAAGAATCCAGACTTCCTGGCTCTCAGACATGGTTTTGCGGAATGAGCTCTGAAAAAATAGTAACAGTGTTAATGAATCAATTCTCAATCATGTCATCTTAAAGACATTCTCTGAGCAACCTAACATGATGCAATCACCACCCATTTGCACACAGATTTTAAAATTTATGCCAGGATGGTTGTGAAAATATGTACCCCAAATACGTTTTTCTCCTTGAGTAAAGGACATTTAAAGGGAAGTACTGTACTATATTTACTCCTCAAGAGAGAAATGTGACTCAAATGTAAATTACTGCGAATGGCAGGACTATGACAACAATCCAGATGTGAAAGGCAAACACAAGGGCATCCTGTGGAAAATTTTGTTCTGGAATGTTTAAGCTCTTGTTTTATCTTTCATGGCATAACATTTTGACCTTTTAATATGCAAAACTGCCAAACCCATTTTACAATGCAAATTAAAAACAACCTGTTAATGGCGCCAAACTGTTTTTTCAAAACTGCTTTTATTTGTAGCAATTCATGTTCATTCAACAAACAGTGATTGATTATATGAGAGCACCTGACACCAGGTACTGACGCTTATGAGCAAGACACCTTGTCAACCATAGGGAGACTGGATGAGGATTTATATAACTCAGGTGTATGACCAAGTCTCCCTTGTCTGACAGGCCTTATTATGAATGAGTGTGGTAGTGAGTAAGCTCTAAGACAGCCCCCAGGGATCCCAGTCTCCTGGTGCTCACACCCTTGAGAGTTCCTCTGCTCCTGAGTGTGGATGAAACCTGTGACTTCCTTCTAACCATCAGAATCCAGCAAAGACCGCGGGATGTCACTTCCATGATTACACTGCACAAGGTTGTAACTGCTGTCTTGTTAGACTCTCCACTGCCTTCTTGGTTTACATGCTTTGATGAAGGAAGTGGCCATGTTGAGGAGGTTCACGTGGAAACAAACTGAAGGTGGCCTTCAGCAGATGGACAGCTACCAACTACGGCCCTCAATCCATCAGCTGGAGGGAACCAAATCCCAACAACCACATGAGCTTGGAAAGCATGTCCTTCCTCACTCAAAGAGGAAGCCCAGCCCTGGCCATCACCTTGACTCCAGCCTTGAGACCCCAGCCCTGGCTACCATCTTGACTGCGGCCATGCAAAGATCTTGAAGCAGAGGACCTAGCTCAGCCATGTCTGAATTCTTCATCCGCAGAAACCATGAGATTATAAATGTGTGTTGGGTAAGTCACTAATTTTGCAGTTACCTTTAAATATTGTGCTTACCTTTACATATTTAAAATTAATTTTTAAAAATACAATTAGTTCTAATTAATCAGTATTTAAACATCCCCTGCCCAAGTCTAACAAGACTTTAAGCTTGCATTTTACTTTTCTCTTACTTCTTGACCATCTCTTTCCTGTTGTTGAAATTATCAAATTTTAATGTGTATGATTTTTAAGTACACATCTCCCCTCTATTCTGTTTGTTTTGTTTTGTTTTTGAGACACAGATTTTGCTTCCTCACTCAGGCTGGAGTGCAGTGGTGCAATCTCGTTTCACTGCAACCTCCAACTCCCAGGTTCAAGCGAGTCTCCTGCCTCAGCCTCCCAAGTAGCTGGAATTACAGGCACGTGCCACCCTGCCGGCTAATTTTTGTATTTTTAGTAGAGACAAGGTTTCATCATGTTGGCCAGGCTGGTCTTGAACTCTTGATCTCAAGTTATCCACCCACCTCGGCCTTCCACAGTGCTGGAATTACAAGCATGAGCCACCGTGCCAAGCCCTCCCCTCTATTCTTAATGGTATTCTAAAAATCATTAAGCTTCATAAAGAATATTAAAGACAATAATTTTTTTTATGTTTTACTGGGATCATTTTTTGTTTTGTCTCGCACTCACCACTTTTTTGAATTAAATGCTTTCTTTTTTCCAGAAGACTTCATGGGTGGTGAGTTTTCTCAGCTTCCTGGGCACATGAGCTGTGCAACTGCATGGGGCGCTGCATTCAGAGGGGTCCCACACTTATTTTAATGCTCTGCAGTTGCCATCCTGAAATTCTTAATTTTTAATTTTAATTTTTATTTATTTATTTATTTATTGAGACGGAGTTTCACTCTTCTTACCCAGACTGGAGTGCAATGGCACGATCTCAGCTCACCACAACCTCCCGTCTCCCGGGTTCAAGCGATTCTCCTGCCTCAGCCTCCTGAGTAGTTGGGATTACAGGCATGCGCCACCACACCCGGCTAATTTTTGTATTTTTAGTAGAGACGGGGTTTCTCCATGTTGGTCAGGCTGGTTGTGAACTCCCGACCTCAGGTGATCCGCCTGCCTTGGCCTCCCAAACTGCTGGGATTACAGGTGTGAGCCACCGCACCCGGCCCAAACTCTTAAATCTTTCAACAAGCAGCCCCACGCTTTTATTATGCATTGGGCCCCCAAAATTATGTATGCAGTGTTGTCTGAGTGTTTGCATGTTCAAGAACACTGTTATTTTGTTCTCACTCTTAAAGATAGTAAACAGAATATAGAATTCTAAATTCAAAATCATCTTCCTTCATAAAAATTTAGCACTTTGGAGATAGTTCCCATTTGGAAGATAAACCATTGAGTGCCAGTCTGTTGAAACTTTCTATGTCTCCTCTGGCAATATGTAGAATTTTCACCTTAGCTTTAGCGAACGATCCTTGGAATTCTTAGGAGGTTGAAATTATACTAGGTGATATCTGTGTGTGAACTTTCTCCCACTATTGTTGCTCACCACCTGGGGCCACAAGGAAATTCACTTTAAAAAAAATGGATTAGGGCCGGGCGCAGTGGCTCACGCCTGTAATCCCAGCACTTTGGGAGGCCGAGGCAGGTGGATCACGAGGTCAGGAGATCGAGACCACCGTGGCTAACATGGTGAAACCCTGTCTCTATTAAAAATACAAAAAATTAGCCAGGCGTGTTGGCATGCACCTGTAGTCGCAGCTACTCAGGAGGCTAAGGCAGGAGAATTGCTTGAACCCAGGAGGCAGAGGTTGCAGTGACCCAAGATTGCTCCACTGCACTCCAGCCTGGGCAACAGATCGAGACTCCGTCTCAAAAAACAAACAAACAAACAAAAAAACAAACAAATGGATTAGGCCAGGCGCAGTGGCTCATGCCTGCAATCTCAACATTTTGGGAGGCTGAGACAGGAGAATCATTGAGCCCAAGAGTTCAAGACCAGCCTGGGTAAAATAGCAAGACTTCATTTCTCCAAAAAGTAAGAAAAATTAGCCAGATGTGGTGACATGTGCCTATGGTCCTAGCTACTCAGGAGGCTGAGGGAAGACTGCATGATGAGCCTAGGAGTTCAAGGCTGCAGTGAGCTTTGATCGCACCACCGTATTCCAGCCTCGGAGACAGGGGAAGATCCCGTCTCAAAAAAAAAAAAAAAAAAAAAAAAGGGATTATTTTCTATTCTCCATTAAAACAAAAAAGAAAACCTTAAAGTCTCTCTTTCTGGAATATCTATTAGATGGAAGACAGATCCAGGAAGTCCAAAGTCTCTCACCAGTGTTTTTCATACTGTCTACTTAGTCAGCAAGGTTTCCTTGACTTTCCCTTCCAGATTACTTCTCCAGGTATGAGTGCTCTCATCAGCCAAGAGCATTCCTCAGGAGAAGGCTGGTGTGAACTAGTTGGCAGCCAACACCAAGAGAAGCTGGCCCAGCAAGGCCATCCAGGTGTGGCACCAATGGCATTGCTCCAATAAGTTAACTGAGCCTTCGGTTCCTCCTCTGTGAAATAAGTGTACCTTTCCCACTGAGTTGTTAGAAGGATTAAATGAAAGATTGTTGCAAAGCTCAAAGCATGCAATAAGTGTTCCATAAATGTCATTTCTTATAAAAGATGAACAGAATTTAATCACCAGCTTCTAAGTATTTCATTTCAAATGCCACCTCCTGCTTCAGCTTTCCTGATCTCCCAGGCCAGATGCAATCTCTCCCCCTCTGCAACAATACAATATGTTTACTTTGCAGTATAGTTAACAAGAGCACACAAAGGAACCATAGACAGAAACAGACTCCTAAATAGCTTATGACCCAGTAGAAAGGAGTCTACACCTTACTAATTTTCATTTCTGGAATCCCTGTAGCATAGAATACAGTGCTGGCCTATACTAACATTTATTTGAGCACCTTCTATCATAGAGCAACTTGTAATCATTCTGAATATAACTTCTGCCTGGCTAAGGCACTGGTAGCTTTGTGATATCTCAAAACTTGGCTAGACAAATTATCTACCTTTGTCACACCAAAGATCCTGCCCACTCCAACACATGGCAGGCCAACCCTACACTATTATTTATATTTGGCAACACTATGAAGAAAGAAATACAAAGAACTCTAAAGAGAATATTTTCCTGACTACTCATTAGCTGTATGATCCTGGGCAAGTCACTTAACCTCTCTGGGCTTCATTTTTCTCTTTGGTAAAATGAAGATGGTTTTTGGAGATATATCTCAAATTTACCCAGTCCTATCCCTCAGTCTCCCCATAAATGCGTGTTACTCTTAGGATGAAATCCAAAAATCTTATAAGGCACAAGGAACAGATGGTAAGGATGAGATATTTGCGGAGCCTTTTGTAAAAGTACTGTGCTTTCCCTGTTGTCGTTTGCGGGATGTTGTCCTCCAATCATCCAAGATGACCTTCTTTCCACTTCTCACACATCAAGCTCCCCATCGTATATTCTCTGCCAACCTCACCACAAAGTCGTTACTGTTGTGCATCCTTTGACCCCAGTCCTTTCTGGGGAAGAGAACTACTGCTTTTCCACAAGGAGGGATCTCCTGGGACCTCTGTCTCAGGCTGTTATGGTTAGAGTCACCACAAAAACTTTAAAAGCTCATATTTGAAAATACACCAGCTTATTCTTTGTTACTCCTTGCTAAGTCTCTCTCCCAGCAAACATGTTAGAAACCAGGAAATCCTTACTTTTACATGGGATTCTAATCCACTCAGCAGATTAAAAAGAGCAATTTGGAAGTGCAGTGAGAATGCCCACTGCTTAAATGCTGAGGGAGGGCCTCTGAGTCTTTCTGGCAACCAGGAAGCACGCAGGCTTTACGTGTAAGGCTCACTGGTGTCCACTCTAGGCGCTCAGGCCTTGTTCTTTCTTCCTTAGTTCTCAGATCTATCTCTGTTAGTGGAGGTTGTTTAATAGGTATGTGTGTGATACCTGATTTACTTAATGGTTGGCTCCTGTCCCCACGGTCAAAGATTAATGAACAATGAGGCAGACATCACAGCGGTAATTAACAGTCACATAACAGTAATGCTCAGAATTCCAGGTCCCACTTCATCAGTCTCTGGGTAGTAAATAAGCCCTGATTGGTGTCATCTCATTATTTCCAAATTCCTCCTTTATCATTTTTTGGAGAGTGGAGGTGTGGAGGAAGCATATCAGGAACATCACCTCTTAAAGAGTTATTTATGGGTTAGCTTTAGAGAACCATGAATAGTTTTCATCAGCAATGTAGAAGTTTAAAAACACTCATTACTCAAGATTGTTGCTGACTTGTTCATCAATCTTATCCCATAGTTGGTGCCCTGGCGTTTTAAGTGATGCAGAATATTAGGGTACTTTACTATCTGAATTTGTTAGAACACTGATTTTCCCAATTTAAGAGAATTTGGCATTTTTCAAGAATTTTGCCATGTTGCTTTTGTTGGCATAGTAAAAATTTTCAGCACAGCACTAGGGCTATTAGATTACAATGAATCAGCATGGCTCCAACCATAAATGTGAATTCAATCCCAGAGAGGACCGAGTCCTCAGGAACAATGGGCCAACAAAATGTTGCAAGCTCTGGAGCCACTGGTGGGCAGAGCAAGGCCGGTGAGGTCAGCGAAAGTCAAAGAGAGAAGGGCTTACAAGGAAGCTGTCTCATAGATGAGACAGAAATGGTGGTTTCCAGACAAGATGCTGATTGCAAACATTTTCATTCCAGCTACATTTGGGGCCTCATTCTTTAAAAGTAGTACAAATACGGCCAGGTGCGGTGGCTCACGCCTGTACTACTAGCACTTTGGGAGGCCGAGGCGGGCTGATTACCTGAGGTCAGGAGTTCAAGACCAGCCTGATCAACATGGCAAAACCCTGTTTCTACTAAAAATACAAAAATTAGCCAGGCATGGTGGCGCATGCCTATAGCCCCAGCTACTAGGGAGGCGGAAGCAGGAGAACTGCTTGAACCCGGGAGCTGGAGGTTGCAGTGAGCTGAGATTGCATATTGCACTCCAGCCTTGGCAACAAGAGCGAAACTCTGCCTCAAAACAAACAAACAAACAAACAAAAAACAGTAGTACAAATACAACACCATTTTTTCCTGCATTGGCTAATTCTCATTTACACTTCTAGAGTAAAGTGAAATATCTATAGATTGCTAGATGTGGCCACAGAAGGCTGATGGTAAAGTACAGAAACAAAATGTAAGCATTCTTTCAGCATGGTAAACTTCCACCTAGCCAAGTCTTGAGGGACACTGGAAAAGACTTATTCTCAAAGTCTGTGATCCAGGAGTTCTGCTTCCAGTACAGTAGAATAAGGTCCAATGGGGACTAACCCACCTGCTGATAACTATAAAGTGGCCAATATCAAGAAACCACCACCTGAAGACACTAGAGAATGAACACAAGCAAAGAGACTCAGGAAGGGAGTTAACATTTGAAATAGAGACCAGCATTTTTATAGCTTTCAGTCTGAGGGAAGGCAACTCAGGGTTCCAAGGTGGGGAGAGCTGTGGTAGAAAACCAACAGCCCTTCTGGCTTCAAGAACCAGAATGCAGAGTTCAGGGCAGCCACAACCACTGCAAAATGAGGGAGGAGTCCTAGAAAGGAGAGCCAGAGAGGGCGCCCCAAAATCTGGATATAATCTCTCCCCAAATTTCTGCAGCTAAGGATAAAGTATTAATAATTAAACTGAGAGTTCAAGTGCCACCAAAAGACAGCATATGTAGTTAAACTCCAACCAAATGAACTGCCCGATAAACCACAAAATGAAACAATTGAACACTCCCGTGTCAGACATTGAGGACAGGAGTGCTTGTTAAAATGTAGATTCCCAGGCCCCACCCACACATCTGCAGAATTAGAATCTCTTGGGGGTAATGCCTCAAGTCTGCATTTGCAACAAGCAGCCTTGATGACTCAGGCACACTAGAGTTTGAGCCTCAATGCTCTGTGAGTTGGCACAATCCACATCTCATGCTCAGATGTTTGCCGAAACAGACTGCACTTGAGGATGTGGTGTTCTGATTTTGGCTGTCAGTTGCTGGCATCTTTGGTGCTGGCCAAGTGAAGCTAAGAGGTCATTGTGCATCACAAAGATGCTCCCTCCTTCAGATCATCACTGAAACTTTGATAAGGAAGACGCCATACAGACAGGACAGCTGTCCCTCAGCAGTCTCCTGCAGGCCAGCACGAGAGTCCAGTCCTTTCATGGTGTTGTCCTCAATGCCTGGCTTCCCTCCTCTGCCATCTTTTTCTCTCCATATCCCCTGACCCTGGTGCCCCTCCTACCCCATGGAAAACAGCATTTTCAAGTCTTGAACAGATATATGTTAAAGATCGGTTGGGACATTCCTAAGTCCCGACAGAAATATGGTAAGCTGGTTGGCATAGGAAGGTGAAATACCAGTCATTCGTGTCTGGTATCTTGGCCTCAACATTTCATCATTTCCATTGCTGTGACTTCCAATTATAAAAACATTCGCAGGTTAAAAACTAGGAAACAGGCCTGGTGCGGTGGCTCACACCTATAATCCCAGCACTTTGGGAGGCCAAGGTGGCCGGATCACGAGGTCAGGAGATTGAGACCATCCTGGCTAACACGGTGAAACCCTGTCTCTACTAAAAATACAAAAATTAGCCGAGCATGGTGGTGGGCGCCTATAGTCCCAGCTACTTGGGAGGCTGAGGCAGGAGAATGGCATGAACCCAGGAGGCGGAGCTTGCAGTGAGCCGAGATCCACTGCACTCCAGCCTGGGCAACAGAGGGAGACTCTGCCTCAAACAAAAAACCAAAAAAACAAAAAAACAAAAAAAAAAACTAGGAAACAGCCCTTAATGAACCTGATAAACAATGCACTTGTCTCCCACCCTGGTCATTGTGACTAATATTTCTATTTCTTTGAAGGAGGAGACAGGCCAGTTGTTCAGGTTTTCAGACCTGTCCTGGAGACACTGTCCAGAATCATACAATGTGGCAAACCAGCTTAAGAACTCTCAGCCTTCACATCTGTTAGCCAAGTGACCCCTCTTGCAGATGAACACAATATTTTAATTTTTTAAAAAGTAGGATGGGGTTATTCTAAATTTTCAAACAATGGGCACCTTATGGAAACCTTCTAATCTTTAAGTGAACATACAGAACATTTTTTAAGGATTAAAATACATGGTAGAATAACATTCCTTGTCCATGTCACTTAGAAAACTACTTGGTAAGACTGTTTTAAATTTTTAAATCTTGGAGCTAATCTAATTAAGCCAGGCTACAGACAGCAAACAGGCAAATAAACGCTAACTAGTTCTAACTTAATATAACATTTTTAAAAATTAAGGAATTATTTCAGAGAAAACAGCAGGAGAGATATAATGGTGCACATGAGATGGCAAGAGAGAGGCAGAGCTTAATATACAGAGAGATATAGAGAAGTAGATATTCTAATTCAGTTGCCCCTTTCAACAAGTTTAAGCAAAAGGAAAAATAAAAAGGGCAGTTTTGTATTGGGGCTGTGTTTCTTAGTTAGGGAGAAGAGACAGACCAGTTACAGCTTTATAGCTCTATTTCCAATACTTAAATTACGGAGACTCACAACCTGCCATACATTCAACACCTGTCCTACTTCCCCTAATCTGGATCTGCACATCCACACACAGACAACAGCACAGTAAGACCTTTTAGTTATTTTCTTACCTATTTCATACTAACCAAGATTTTTCTATATTTTACAGTTTTCATTAAAATATAATGAATATATAAGGATCCAACATTTACAAAAGCATATCCAACAGGAAGAATTGTCCTTCTCCAAAGCCAACCACTGTTGACAAACCCATGTATATATTTATCCTCCTCAAAATGTCTATACATATATACGGGTGTGTGTGTGTTAAGTGTATCTTTATGTAACTTTGTAGACACACTATTCTGTATGCATGTATATATTTACATATGTGTGTGAATATATACAAGAAATATTCTGCATTTTGGTAGTTTTGTTTTCCATTAAGGATATTTTGGAAATTTTCCATATTGCCACTTATATAGAGATCTACCTCAGTCTTTAAGGCTGCATAGTACTCCAGCATATGAATGTAGCATAATTTAATCAGTTATGTGTTTGATTTGTGACTTCTAATATTACCATATTGCAATGAACATCTTGTAGATGTCTTTGCATATTGAAGCTGGAGTATCTGTGGGATAGAAACCTGGAAACAAAATTGCTGTCAGTGGTGTGAAGCACTTAACAATTTTGCCATATACAGTATTGTGAAATGACTTGTCAAAGGGGTTGCACCTATTACAGCCCACCGACAGTATATGAGAGTTCCTATTTGCCCTTAGCCTTGCTGATACATCACCCCAACTGTGCTCTCCTGCATCATGTTTTCCTGCTTTCTGCTGCGTTATTCACAAGGGTTCCCTCCAGCTATTACCCACTTTCTGCTTTCTTTATGCCTAGAAAGAGTTATCCATACTGGCATTATCCAATCTCTTTTCCTATTTTTTATTCTTTAAAGTTCTACTATGGAAATTCTAAACATGCATACAAGTAGAAGAAATAGCATAGACCGTACATAAGCCCCTGTGTGTCTGTCACCCAGCTTCAACATAACACTCTGCTCATTTTATCTATTTTCTGACAACTGACTTTTTCTCCTGGAGTAATTCCAGGTAAATCCTAGTTAAAATCTCAACCATGAATACTACACTATGTACTCCTAAAGGTAAGGGCTTTTAAAAAAGTCACTATACTATTATTTCACTCAATAAAATAACTCCTTAATATCATCTGATACCCAGTCCATTATAAACTCTTTTCTAATTGCTTCAAAAATGTCTTTTTGTTTTGTTCAAATAAAGATCCAAACAAGGTCCTTTAAGTTTCTCTAAGTCTTAAAGTCCTATTAACACTTTTATTTTGCAGCTTCAATTTGTTGAAGAAACTGGAATTTCTGTCCTATGGAATTTCCCACATTCTAGATTTAGCATATTAACGTGCTTTTCAATCTCCTGTGTGTTTTTACTTATTAGATGTAGAGGCTTGATTAGATTCAGGCTCAATTTCATTTGTCTTAGGCAGTAATTCATCATAATTCAACATGGTGTGTTGGGTTGTTGCTATTGCAACACAACAGAAGCATGTCTCATTGTTCCTTTTTCAGTAATACTAAGATTGAACATCAGGTTCAGATTTTATGAACCTAAGCCACCAAATAAATGCTTCTCATCAACTTTTCATTTCATGCTTTTAGCAGCTGGATCTGTTCCTTCATTAGAGGTGGCAAAATGGCGATTTCCTAATCTTATTCCTCTCATATTTACCTATGATTCTTACATGAAGAACTTTCCCTTATCAGGGTAACTTGATACACAAAGAAGTTGGGATAAATGATTCATTTTTCCCATGAACAATTTTCAAAATATTGAATTGGTGCCCTAGTAACCTCCAAAAGTGACCAATGAGTTTTTAAAATAGCATTATGATCTCATGGCCGTTTTATATATTTCATGTTTCAACACATTATTCTTTCTGATGCTCACATTTAACCCATCTTTGGCCAATGGAAACCCCTTCAAGTTAGCTCCTGGGTCCTTTTGACATGACCTTACTCTGTTTGCTGCCTTGCTTTCTGACACAAAATATTCCAGACTCATCTTGTCCTTTGCCTGCCCCCATTTAGTGGGACAGTCTGGGTACGAGGGCTGGCCTTACTATTGAGCTGTGATTATTTCTAGGCCTTTTCAGTGAACAAAGCTATGCAATACGTATTTTTCAGAAATAAAAATAAATCATACGATTCTTTATTATATTCTTGTGTCTCTTTTCTCCTCTGCTGAAAATCTTGGCTCTTGATTCCAATGACACAAGTAAATATTTGTTTTAACACACATAAATACCCAAATGACACTACCAATATCATTGCTAAAAATAAAACTACTGAATGCAGTTTAAGATTTATTTGTGGTTGTTTGGTCTGTAGGATATATTCCATTAGCAAAGTACAGACAAAATACTAAGTTTTCAAGTCACTTGAAGTAAGTCTTCTGTGGGGTTATATCACCAACTTGACAGACTGTTAAGTTTGTTTTAGTTTTAAGAGTTGCCTTTTCAAAAAATGTTTATTATATAAAACATTGACAGGGCCTCAAAATAAAAGGTATGTAAGATACAGAAATAGTTGCCATCCTTGTCTAGCTCCCTACCACCACTAACAAGGAGATCATTTTATTAGTTATTGGTATAACTAATTCTTCTATTGCTTTACAAAAAAAGCAAATACATATTTTTTCCATTTGTCTCTTCGTTATACAACAGACAGCACACCATACATTCTCTTCTGTGCTTTACATTTTTCATTTCCTATATTCTGGAGATTTCTCCAGACCAGAACTACAAAAATAGTTCGCAGTCCTTTCTACAGCTGTGTAGTATCCCATTGTATAGATATACCCTAGTTCCTTCCATCAATTCCCTATCAATGGAGATTTGGCTGGCTTCCAGTCTGTAGCTATTAGAAACAGTGCTGTAATCAAGATCTTTGTGCATATACTATTTCATATTCTTGCAAGTGCATCTCATATGGATTCTTAGAACTGGGTCTGCCAGGTTGAAGGATATACTCATTTAACTTTGCTAGTTAACAAATACCATCCACAGGGATTTGTAATTTTTGGAGTGCCTGTTTCCCTATTGTCTCAACAGAGTGCATTGCCTAACTTGGATTTTCCCCAATCTCACAGGTAAGAAAGGTATTTCCATTATTTTATTTTATTTTGCATTTGTCTTTTTATGCATATCCTTGTATGTTTAAAGACCATTTGCATTCTATTTTCTGTTAACTGTCTGTTCACATCCTTTTGCCTATTCTTCGGGTTCTTCTCATAGTTTAAAATTCTTCATATATAGGGCTACAATTAGCCCTCTGTGATAAATGCTGCAAATATTTTCAGCTATCCAAAAAAATCTTTTTTCTTCTCTGTCACCCAGGCTGGAGTGCAGTGGCTTACTGCATCCTCAAACTCCTGGGCTCACAGTCCTCCTACCTCAGCCTCCCAAGTAGGTGGAACCCAGGCCAGGTACTTAATTTTTTTTTTTTTTTTTTTTTGGTAGAGCCAGTCCTACTAGGTTGCCCAGGTTGGTTTTGAATTCCTGGTCTCAAGCAGTCCTTCTGCCTCAGCCTCCCAAAATGCTGGGATTACAGCCATGAGCCATTCCATCTGGCTGAAAATTCTTCTATAGACTTCTCTTTTTATTGCTTCTGAATTTTCAGTCCTAGGAAAGTTTTTCTCACTGTCAGATTATACAATAATTCATCTATGTTTTCTTCTAGTTAGAAAGAGGGTTTCATTTTAAAAATTGGGTCTTTGTTCTATTCAGATTTTATCCTGTGTATCCTGTGAGAAATCGATTCAATTTTATTTTTTTTTCCAAATGGTTAACCACACTTCTCTCAACACCATTTTTAAAGCCTTTTTCTCTGAATGAGATGCTTTATCATGTACTAAATTCCTAGACTTTCTCATATTGTAAACATTATGTTATAATATTTAATAGGGTTATCCCTCCTTCCACATTGTTCTTTTCTAGGCATCTTCTGGCTATTTTTGTTTATTCTTTCCAGTACTTCTTGTTTTATTGAAATCGCGTATGGCCCTTTAAGTATAAATATATATTACATATATGAATGAAGACATTTCAAAAGTGTTCTGCAAATCATATTCTAAAACCAACCTTAGGCAAGGCTTTTTTTTTTTTGGAAAATCAGAAGAAAAAAGAAGAAAACAGAAGTCATCTTAAGGGAATGCATGGACCCAGGTAAAGCCATGTATGGCGGCCACAACACCCAGAGTAGCCTTCCCTAAGAACAACAGCAGCATTTACTGAACATTTGCTGGATCCACAGTCCTGTAGTTAACTATTATACAGAGACTGGTCCATACAAAAGACTCAAGAAACTATACAGCTGTCTTGTTGTGACTATCACAGGAAAATTTATTCTGTAAAATAAAAGTATGCTGTGCATAACAAAGATCAAATGCTGTACTAGATTTTTAAGAAAACATTTAGCACCCACTATATTTTTTTAAATGTGAGGATTGTGAACTTCCCTTCCAGCTCAATCTTCACAAAATTACATATACTATACCTCAGGGTAAAATCTAACTTTAAAAAGAGTTACAACATCTTTCAAATAAAGCAAATTCAGTCTGTAGGAAAATAAATTATCACTTGATATTGGGGTATATCTTTCTTCAATCACTTGGCACATCTGCGGCCAGAAACTCCATTCACTAAGTAAACGAAGGAACTTCTTCCTTCCAAGGGCTGGGACCAAATTTCCTGTGCAAAAACCTTCCTGTATAAGTGAAACCTGTCATTCTCCCAGCAAAGGATAATTGAGATTAGAGAGTGTGTAAAACAAAAATACAAAAATATTACCCAAATTATTTGTACCACATACAGGTTTGAAACCTGGCCATCCAAAATACTAACTAAAAAGACTATTATTGTTCTTAAGGTAGAGAAATCAGACAACACATCTTGGCGCTCATGTTGCTTCCTGCACTAACCTAGTTAATCTGACAAGTGAGACAAATTGTTCATTGGGAAGATGTTTATATCATGCTTCAGTATAATTTGTCTATTCTTTTATAGGGGAGAAATGTTGAAAATAGAACATTCAGTCTTTCTGGCAGTTAATCAACAGTGACACAACCTTACATTTCCTAACAACTACAAATTCCCTAATTAACCATTTTAAAAATGCAATAACAAAACCATTAAACCACTATTTGCTCTAGTTCACTGTTTTTATTTACATAGCTACCTTTCTCCTAGACAAGCAACGTTAGCGAAAGATGCCTTCTTGATGACAATCCTATTCAATTTTTATTTATTTTTTTGGTGAAGGGTTTTCTCAGCAGCCAGTTACCACATGGAGCATTTCACAGTTTCAAAGAAGTTTTCCTCATTTTAAAACTGCAAGAAAATGCTACACTTGATGGTAGTTCCTAAAAAAATAGTTCAATCAACCTTCTAGAATTTTTGTAATATAACTTCAAGTATGTAATGATTTAATTAACACAATACTCTTAATAAACAACAGCAACAACAAACCCAAGTGCTAGCTCATTTCTGGTGCCATGAGACATAATAGCACCACTTGTTTTTCTATTTTAGTGGTTAAAATGTATGCAATTTTAGCACCCATCTACAAAAGTTAGATGTTAATAAAAATATGGTATTACTTGGCTTACTAGGAAGTAACAGTCTTAATATCCCCTTAAGAGAAGAAATCTGTTTCATTTGCTGCATCCTGGGTCATGGAAAAGAATAGTATGAAAGGGGGAAACAAAGAACAGCCTTTTAGGTAAGGCTTTTCAGTACCTGAATCACTGAAAGTATTGAAGTCATGTTCCTTGGAAGAGTAGAATTATACCACACATAGGAGGTTCCAAGGAGTTATGTTGTTATACACTGTATGTCAGGATAGACCACATTTAAAATGCTGAACATGGCTTAGCAGCCTTAAATATAAAAAACAGGTAAACTAGAAAAAGTAATGATAGTGATCAACTCCCGTCCTCTAACCAAAAATCTGCCTTGTCACTCCGTTTCAAAAACAAAGTGAAATATTCTAAACAACTGACAAATTTTTACATAAAAACACATTGAATTTAGATTAATATCAGTTATCAAGACACAATAAATACATGATGGGGAAGACAAAGAAAATAAAGTGCACCTTTACAGTGTAAGAGACTCAGAAATCACTTCCTAAATTGGTAATATAGATTGCAATATAAAAATAACTAGCAAAGTTAGATTAAAAAATTTTCAGCTGAAAAATTACAGTTTTTCAGTACATCAGAGGGACAAATAACCTTTTATTTAAAGGTATTATATTTAGAGACTTGTATATTTCAATTTTGTGTAGGAGAAAGGAAAGCCATTCTTCTAGAAGGCACTAACTGGTTTAAATGTGTGAGTGAATTCCTAAAGAAAACATGTGCAAAGTATAGTCAAGAAGGCTGCCTGGTTGTGTGTTGTATTCACTACTCTTCATCACAGACTATGAATTATTGCTGAACAACTATATCAGTCACCAGGTTTTCCCATCAGAGCTTCAGTGTGTTCAGTCCACAGTGTCGCAGATCTCCTTTACTTTCTGGTTGAATTCTTCTGGTTGATCTGCATATACATAATGTCCTGCCCCAAGAATAGCCTGGATAAGGAAAAGCATTCAGACAGTTAGTGAGTAAAAGCATTTAATAAAACAGAATGATATATAAGCAAAGACACTTAGTAATAAAAGTGAGAGCCACTGTATTTAAATAAAACACGTGATTAAAAAATAACAATAATCTATAGTAACTATTAAGTATATCCATTAAAAGGATCTGAGAATAGAAAAATCTACTGAATCTCAATAAAATTTTAATATGCAAAAAACACTAAATTGACCACTAATAAAAGTGCCAACAGAGAAACTGAAAAAAGTGAGAGTGTGCTGCCTTGTGAGGTGGGAATTACTTGAAGTGCTACTGGACCAATCCCTCTGTCCATCTCTCCTAATGCTGTGGCTCTAGGGACAGGAAAAGTCATTCAGAAAGGTAGTTCACGGTTTGGACATGAAGATGTGTGCAGGCCAAACCCTGCACCCATCACAGGTGGTATCACGTCCCCGACTGAGGCTGCAGGTATGGCTCAGATGACCTGCAACACGAGGATGACCTAAAACCTCTTTTAAGGGAGATAATAAAACGGACCTCACCTATACCTAAAAACCCAAATCAAGCCACACACTTACTATTGTCTTCACATATGAATGTGGTCGTAAGGACTGGATGCTGGTGCCAGAATTGCCATCTATGCAGGATCGGGCGCCAAAGATCACTGAAACTGGAATGTCAGGGTGCATTTTACCAATTCGCTGGAGCATTGGCCTTTTTGCCCATCCATAAGGAATAGTCATATTCTTGAAAGCTGTCTCACCACTTTAACGGCAAGGAGAAAATCACGATGTATGATTTTTGGGAATGAGTATGCATTGCACTGTCACTTCTATCAAAACACATTCATATTTAGCTTTTCCAGCACCTAAGAAAAACCTCAGCTTAAATAGAAAATAATTTATGAGACAGTGTAAGGAACAAATCTCACAGATCACTGTTAGATAAGCAAGGCTGTTGTATACTCCAGCTGATTTTTAAAAAAGTTTTCTTGTAAACCAAAATGTACAACCCTAATTTTCTATCATTAAATTATTTATTGTGGAGATAGTTAAAAATATGTTTTTTTGTCCTTATTTAAACTGATGTAGAAGGTAGCTTATCCCCAGGTTCATGGCACCAGCGTTTCACCTGCAATGCTAAAACCATTACCAAGTTAAGAAGAAACTCAGACAATATATTCTTGCAAGCTCTCAGGATAGGTCTATCTTGCTGTCACTTCTGCTATTCATTTTTTTTTTTTGTTTTTTTTGTTTTTTTTGAGATGGAGTCTAGCTCTGTTGCCTAGGCTGGAGTGCAGCTGCACGCACAGTCTCAGCTCACTGCAGCCTCTGCCTCCCGGGTTCAAGCAATTCTCCTGCCTCAGCCTCCTGAGTAGCTGGGATTACAGGCACGCACCACCATGCCCAGCTAATTTTTGTATTTTCAGTAGAGACGGGGTTTCACCATGTTGGTCAGGCTGGTCTCAAACTCCTGACCTTGTGATCTGCCCGCCTCGGCCTCCCAAAGTGCTGGGATTACAGGCGTGAGTACCACGCCTGGTCCCTTCTGCTATTCTTACAAAACCAGACATCATTCTAACTTGCCTTTTATGAAGAATTCAAGTCTCACTACAATCAAAGTAACAAACTAGGACTACACGAACACATGTAATCATGAAATAAGAGTACGTGAAGAGTAAAACTTACGCCATGCAGGAAAATGAATGATGTTCCCGGGGAAGACCCCTAAAAAAAACTGTTGGAAGTGTGTAGACCTAATCCACCAAACCTGACTGCCTAGCAATTCACAAAACCTCAATCTCTTGAAGACCTTGAACCTCTAGCCTCCCTCACTCTTGGCAGAGAACCTCTAACCTACTTTATTAAAAAGACTGAGGCTACAGCTACCTATAAATAGCTACCATGGCCTCAATCTTTTTAATAAAGTAGGTGTACATATTTTCTGCCAAAAGTGAGGGAGGAAATAAAAGAGAGGGAGGCTGTCTCTGCATCTCGCCTCTTAGCCTTTCATCCAAACCTCAGTCTTAGAAAGGATGAGATACCACTTCTCTGTCTTAAAGTGTGCTCCATAGTTCACCTATACAGAATCACCAGAGTATTTGTTAGAGATGCAGCCCAGAAATGCTAATATTAGTCTTAGAAACAAACCTCAGGAGTCACATTTCAACAAGCACCCCCAATAATTCCAGTACACAACATAGCATGAGAACTGCAGCTCTCATCTTTGCACTCTATTCTTGATGCTCTTCCTAGAAACTCTAGGGCCTTATCATTCGGCCTCCTCCTAGCCCCCCACTATCTTCAGGCTCTGTTTTCTCCACTGGTACTTTTCACCCAACATCCATAAGTCATATTTTTAAAACATACATTTGGCCCTCTTGCTCCCTCTGCTACTATGCCCCATTCTCTCTCTCTCCTTCTAATCACTGTCAAAATACATGCAGAATCCCTCACTTACTCCTCACCCTCTGCAGCTGCATTTCTAATGCTGACCTACAGATCTTTAGAGTTGTTCAGGAGTACAATCATCAAATGAACTTGAAAAATACACATAGCATCTCCCATTCACTTGGGAGATTCAATACCCTTCGGTATAGTAAAGGTTCTAAGAGGATTCATAGTATAGACAATCATTTACTTTTGTTTAATCCAGCACCCTTTTTTCTTTTTTTGAAACATTCATACTCAGTTTGGGAAATACTTCTTTATGTGAAATTCTTCAACTCTCAACTCAAACCATCTCTTGGAGATGCCCAAGACCAAGACTTTCTCAACATGTTCATGAGAACTTTGAGGGAAGAGTGAACATGTTACTTCTTAATCCCCCATCAGAACTCAGCACAATGTTTTATACAGTGGGTACTCTAAGAATAGATGAGTAAAATAAAATGTATTAGACACTTGTCCTTTTAAATTCAGTCATTTAACTACTGATACAAATCTTCTGGACCACTGATATATTTTAAACAAAGGCCGGGCACGGTGGCTCACACCTGTAATCCCAACATTTTGGGAGGCAGAGGCGGGCAGATGACCTGGGGTCAGAAGTTCAAGACCAGCCTGACCAACATGGAGAAACCCCGTCTCTACTAAAAATACAAAATAATTAGCCGGGCGTGGTGGCACATGCCTGTAATCCCAGCTACTCAGGAGGCTGAAGCAGGAGAATTGCTTGAACCCAGGACGCGGAGGTTGTGGTGAGCCAAGATCGCACCATTGCCCTCCAGCCTGGGTGACAAGAGCGAAACCCCGTATTGAATGAATAAATAAATAAATAAATAGTTTTAAAAAAAATAGTCTAAAACACACACAAACACACACACACA
This sequence comes from Homo sapiens, assembly GCF_000001405.40. Taxonomy (NCBI): domain Eukaryota; kingdom Metazoa; phylum Chordata; class Mammalia; order Primates; family Hominidae; genus Homo; species Homo sapiens. Next base: position 43,715,107 of record NC_000003.12, on the reverse strand, counting down.
CACACACACACACACACACACAGAGTGAATTGAGAATCCTAACCCTCACCTTGGAGTCTGCACATTACAGTGGTAGATGTATTCTGTCACAGTATCGTCTTCGAACATTGAAGAATACTTTCGTTTGAAATCAGGCCTTAAACGCTGCACTAGACTTAAACCTATTTAACAGGAAATTTAAAAAATGCATGTTTTAAATTATAGTTAACTTATCAACTAAATAATATAGAAAGTTTTAGTGCTTGTCTGTGTAATGAGTGTTATATGCACACATATATATATGTATTCAAATATATATTGTAGGTGGGAAAAAGCACACATTCTGATAGCTGTCCTCCTAAAGTTCCCCAAGGAAATATTAATATAAGAAGTAAAGAGTATTGTATTTTGACTTGCAGATGTACTTTAGGGCCTCAAAAACATGTAAGTTAGAAGGCACTTTTGTAGGTAAATAAATTCTTTAAACGTGGCGAGTAGCTCGTACGTAAAAATTAATGTAATAACTTGTATTTCTTCCATAATTATAACACATTAACTTCTAAATGAAGTAAACTGGTATACATAATTATTTCTGTGTGAAAATAAATTCAGCTTCTTCTTGGGACACTAGCGAGACTCCCTGCTAAGGTTATCCCTGGTGGCGCCCACAGCCCCACTCTAGAAAAAGCCGAGGACACCCAGGCGTGATGGCTCAAGCCTGTAATCCCAGCACTTTGGGAGACCGAGGTGGGCGGATCACAAGGTCAGGAGTTCGAGACCAGCCTGACCAACACGGTGAAACCCTGTCTCTACTAAAAATACAAAAATTAGCCGGGCGTGGTGGCGTGCACCTGTAATCCCAGCAACTCAGGAGGCTGAGGCAGGAGAATCACTTGAACCTGGGAGGTGGAGGTTGTAGTGAGCCAAGATCGCGCCACTGCACTCTAACCTGGGCGACAGAGCGAGACTCCGTCTCAAAAAAAAAAAAAAAGAAAAAAAGAAAGAAAGAAAGAAAAGAAAAGAAAAAGCCCAGGGCAAGGCCCACAAGGGAAAGAGGATGAAGAGCAGAAGCTTTCTTCTAGTCACACTTTTCTATTCTGAGGCCCCAGAGACTGACTGGTCTCCCTTTCTGCTACCACTACCCCATGACTCCAGCAAGGCTTTACTTCTCTACTGGCCCTCTCTTCCCATCTCTGATGAATTATACAGCTCCACCAAGAAATTCTGTCATGCAATTGATTCTACATCACCTCCCCACCCCCAAGTGCAAGCAATAATGGCAGGCTGAGGGCATGGCATTAAAGAGCCTCTCCTAGGTGTCCTCCCTTGCCCATCACTGTCTCCTAATTTCTCTTCATACTTTACTTTTCCCATAATTGTTATTTTTGTACCTGTGTTCTAGTAAAATCTATTTATATTTCAGGACTATAAAGACTAAATGAAGCTCTTAAGTAGTTTACCAGAGAAGGACCAGGCATAGTAAGGAGTGGCTCTACTGGGGAGGGCTGAAAGACTGCAGGTGGGCAAAATGTGCCATCTGTGAGCACTGAAGCAATAAAGTGTGGTCACCAATTCAACCCCCATATCCTCCTCTAAGTCCTGCAGTCCCACTGCTCTCCCAATCCAAACAGAAGGCACTAGGGCAGGAGGGGTCAGGGTTGGGCAGAAGGGAACAGCATTTACAGTCACCTGCATGACAGTTAATCCCACAACCTCCTCCACACCCCCATGCCTCTTCTCTTTTCTCACTAACAGAACCCATCTTTTCTTTTTTCTTTTCTTTTCCTTTTTTTTTTTTTTTTTTTTGAGACAGGGTCTTGCACTGTTGCCCAGGCTGGAGAATAGTGGTGCGATCTTGGCTCGCCACAACCTCCACCTCCCAGGTTTGAGTAATTCTCATGTCTCAGCCTCCTCTCCTGAGTAGCTGGGATTACAGGTGTGTGCCACTATGCCTGGCTAATTTTTTTGTATTTTTAGTAGAGATGGGGTTTTGTCATGTTGGCCGGGCTTGTCTCAAAGCCTGGCCTCAAGTGATCTGCCTACCTCAGCCTCCCAAAGTGCTGGTATTACAGGTGTGAGCCACAGCACCTGGTTAGAACGCATCTTTTCTATAGTATCAATTAGGCAGCAACATGCCCAGGAAAGCAGGCCCTGGAAACAAATCATGATTGGTGCATCACAGAAATTTCTTCTTTGCTGGTGGAAGGACTAGGAGTGGGCCGAGTCATAAGCAGAGGTCAGGTGGAGCCTTCCAGAGAGGACTTTCTTCCCTGACAAAGCATTATGGAGAGAAGGACCATTTTTCGTGCTTTTATTTCTTTTTGCTCAGGGCGCTGATTTGTGAGATGATGCTTAATGCTATGGCAGGCATCAAACCACCGTGAGGAAAAAAGTCAAGAAAATCACAGACACAGACCCAAACCCTAACATCAATGAGCAAGCAACCAGAACAAGTGCTAAAACCTATCTCCAGATTGCTTATTAAGGAAATAATAAAAGTCCTTCTAGTTTAAGCCTCTTGGGTATTCAGTTACTTACAACTAAAAGTACTCCAAATTCATACAAGTTGTACGGGGGAAAGGCAGAAGTTCAGAACATCATTATCTGTGACAATGAGGGAAGGAAATTCCCATGGCTATGGGGCTGAGACAGAACTGCTGAGAGTCAAATAAAAGTCAATCAGGGACTAAACACTGGTGCCTCAAAATATGACCAGAAATATATATCAGGAGTCCCCAAAATGTTGTGGAAAAAATAACTTTATCTTTCCAACACTCTGACATGGATAAGGGAAGAATCTGTGAGTGTGGTGGTACCTGTTATCCCCAGGGTCAATCAAATCAGGTTTTATGGTACCAAATGGTATCATCAATTGGCCAAACGCTCTCCAGTGCTCACCAGCAGGGCAACATGCTACACTTCTCCCAGGCCCTGGACTAGCAGAGGTCCTTATATACTCCCCAAAACACTCTGCTTGCCTGGCTTTTTTTAGAGTGTTGAGGACTGACTAACCTTATCCTCAGCATTCCCTCCTTTTCTGCTTTGCTAATTATTCACAATGTTTACAATATAAAGACTCTCCTTTGAGGAGAAGAACCTAGTTGCATTCGTCTTTGTGCAAGACATGGTACTTATTAGAGGAAGAGGAGAAAAAGTAAGGGTTCAGGGTTTTCTTGTTTGTTTTTAAGATTTTGACTAACAATAGTGAATTCTGCTCTTCTCATAACTTACAAACATTTTGCTTTCCTAGAACATAAGCACTCACCAAAGGGTCCTGCAATCCTTAGGCCAGCTAAAGGGTTAAAGGGAGTCAATGCTGCTCCCAAGGCTCTGATCCAAACTGGAATTGGTCTGTCTTGATCAGCAAGGTCTGGTCGTTCAGGGAAACCCCAAGGCTCCACTAAAATGAGATGATTAACCCTGTTGGGGGAAAGAATATATTTAAGTTCATTTGGTAAAATCACCCTAAGACTATAAAGAGCTAACATGATTTATAAAATAAAGGTAGAATGAACCACCTTCAAAAACCTTCACGTTAAAGATTAGTGCTAAATAGATCGTATCATGCTCTTATTCTGTGTAAACTTTTGAGATTCAGTAGGATCTAAGAGGTGTATGGTAGAAAGAGGGCTTTATTTTTAATATATCTAAATGTGAATAATAAAAGATATATAGAGTACAGAACTGTGTGTTTCTTGAGAAAAAGAAAAAAGGGCATTTGTTATTTAAGTTACACTCTGGCAGATGATGTAGATCACTGGCCACTCAGAAAAATCCAATGGTTCCATGTATGTCTAGGTTGACACTGCAAAAATGGCTAAAGATCAATATCACATTCTTATAAAATAGCCTCAGATACCAACAACAGTTATCTCCTATGAATCAACCATCCTAAAAATGTAAGTGAAGTTAAGGACTTAAAGCGGGTTCAAAAGTACTTTAAATTAACTTTTCATAAACATGAGGATAACGTAACGTGGACTGAAAACACTCCCTAGTTCAGGATTCTAGAATTGTTGAAAAGGAACAAGTCTATCTACCTTATCCATGATATCACGCTATACTGACATTAGATTCTGTTTTCAATTCTTTCCCAATTTTCTTTTTCATTGACCAAGAGATAGAAAATATTCAGTAGAACTTCATATACAATTATTTCATATTGTTAATCATTTTAATTTTTCCATCTTATGAAACTTCTTCCCAATGAAGGAAAACCAGAACTATCAGCAGTACTTCCACATAGCTGCATCATGCTTTAAACATCATAAAGATTCCAAACAAAGTACAAAGATCCTTCTGATACAATACAATGTTCAACTGTAACCAAGCCAGCCAAGAAATGCCAGCCAAAAATCTCCCAAGGATAACTGACAATGACTCTAAAGTCCCTTTCCTAAGTTATAACTGAAACAGAAAGGTAAAGAATCTAAAACATGGGCACAGATGGTATTATTCTTCATATAAAATCTATTCTATTATTGTTGTCAGCATGCATAAGAATAAGTTAGTAACAGGTCCATACTGTGACTGTTTTCTTTCCAGACAGAAAGCTTTGGTGCACAGAGCTCTATGGTACCTTGGAGAATATTGGGTGCAATCATCTTAGATAAGAAGGAAGCTGAGATGTACTACATGACCTGCTCCGGTACATAACATTAGTTAACACAGAACTAGGGCTGAAACCCACATTTCTCTACCCCAGCATACCAGCAGATGCCGACAAGGAATTGGGCAGAAGGCTTTATTTTCTAAAAATAGGCTAATCAACATAAGAGAGACATATTAGTAAAGGTAAAACTTAACCTTTATCAACTCTCAAGGCCAGTCCTAATATTATACTCCAAACTTCATAGCATTAACATATGTAGAATATAACCATAGAGATGTATGAAGATATGTGATAAATGAGTTTCATTTAATTATGAAGTATGCCTTCACAGCCTAAAAATTTCATATGAGAACATTTTCTAATAGTGTATCAGAAAGAGGTTAGAAATGAGTGTTTTGCTTTGTTTTTTAATGGCAAAGACTAACTCTTATATTTTGACCACCTCCTAAATTCCTTTTTATTTTTATTTGTTTTGAGATGGAGTCTCACTCTGTCGCCCAGGCTGGAGTGCAGTGACACAATCTCAGTTCACTTCAACCTCCGCCTCCCAGGTTCAAGTGATTCTCCTGCCTCAGTCTCCTGAGTAGCTGGGATTACAGGCACACACTACCACGCCTGGCTAATTTTTGTATTTTTAGTAGAGATGGGGTTTTACCATGTTGCTCAGGCTGGTCTCGAACTCCTGACCTCGTGATCTGCCCACCTTGGCCTCCCACAGTGCTGGGATTATGGGCCTGAGCCACTGTGCCCGGCCCTAAATTCCTTTAATTATAGCCCACAATAAGATCTGGGGTAGGGGAAGGAAGAGGCCTAACAGGGGTATGAGTAGAACTAATGAGACAGCCACCTAGTTGAAAGCAGCAAAGATTCATGTTAAGAAACAGCCACTATTATTCACTACTGACTTATCTCCCAAAGAGAAAAATGAACTCTTTATTAAAACATACCCTACCCTAAACAATTTAGTTAAATTTTTGTCACAAATTTGTTAATGGATCTTGCTCTAAGCTCTTTCTGACCTGCTAACCCAAAAACAGGTAGGACAAAGGAAAACTTGACAGAAGTCTCATCTGTCTGTAGGTAAGTGACTGTTTTTGCCTTAGTTCTGGCTTGCCTTTTAAATATGATCTTCAAAATTTCATCCCTAGGTGAAAATGCCAGTTTAACAAATTATGCAAAGTATATATACTAAGGCAGATGATCTTTTTGTTTCTTTTTGAAAAGGAGTGAACCGTGCCTACAATTGCTCAATTCTACTGTCCCTACAATTGCTCAATTCTACTGTCCCTACAATTGCTCAATTCTATGTCTTCATAACCTAGCATGAGGCTTAGCACATGGCAGATGCTTGGTAAACATTTGGATTAATATGCTTTTCCACATTTTCTTTTAGTCCTAGTCTATTAAGGATATACAAATTTTATAAAGTATAATCATAGCATAAGCATATCCAGCTGGATTTTTCTGGTCCCCCAGATGACATCAGAACATCACTGCTATTTATTAATCTTATTATTCGGTAACAAAATCCATTTAGATGGTCAAGAACCAGTCTAGTCTTTTTTAAAATAAAATTATACTGTTTGGAACAGAAAAATAAATCATAAGCATTGAATACCGGCCACAAAATTGTATTAATGTATATGTGCATGGGTGTCTGAAACAAGTTTTGTGGGGTGATACAATTGTATTTTTCTATTCCAAACAATATAGAAGGGCTATAGTAAAAAAAGTTTGAACATAATTTTTTAAAACTCTACAACATCTAAACTATAGTTAACTGTAGTTATATATCATCTGCTTCTACTACATGTAAAGACCCCAGAAAATAATTGTTCCTTATTTTTGGTTTTAAGAATTTTAAATAAGATAGACCATGCAAAGCACTCAGGTTGGTGGCCATCGAATAGTAAGTATTCAGTAAATGTAAGCTAGTTACAGTAGCAAGAATAGGAAGACTACAAGAGTAGAATTTATTCCCGGGAACATGGAAAGACAGGTATTTATTCTTCAGAAGAGCTTGATCACAGGTGACTGCAATGTTGCACCAGACCAAGGTCCCAGGCTATCTTCTAACCTCCGCTTTTAGTAAAAATATTATCTCCTCACTTGATAGGAGTTACTGGGTTTTAATGTACATCTAAATTATTATAATTAGCTAAACCCTACTCTTTAATATTCCAGAGAGGGTTCCCTGCTGGGATTGTTAGTTCACATCTAGGGTAAAGAATGGGTCCAACCAGATAGCACATGTGAGTCATCCTATTAGACATCCTTGTCAAGAACCAGAGACTGGTTTAAACCACAAGAAAAACAAAGAACCAGCAGAGCAGGAACAACAGAACAGCTCATCAGTTTTGAAATATACAAAGGCATTCTTCTTAATGTTAGTCATTAGAATTGGCCTTGAGTTTGAAGATGGTGAGCAGAGTACATCCTTAAGGGCAAAGCAGTGGACAACACCTGTACCAACACACTAGGACCTGATTTCACTTGCTCTAAATGCTAACAAGGGTAGATAAGCCTGACCTTCATGAGATTTAAAGACAGCCACCAGTCAGAAATAATGCAACAAGAACAATAATCAGGTCAGGCGTGGTAGCTCATGCCTGTAATCCCAACACCTTGGGAGGCCAAGGCAGGTGGATCACTTGAGGCAAGAGGTTCAAGATTAACCTGGCCAACACGGCGAAACCCTGTCTCTACAAAAAATACAAAAAAATAGCCAGACATGGTGGTGCACACCTGTAATCCCAGCTACTCGGGAAGCTGAGGCACGAGAATCACTTGAACCCAGGAGGCGGAGGTTGCAGTGAGCCGAGATGGTGCCACTGCACTGCAGCCAGGGCAACAGAGCAAGACACTGTCTCGGGGGAAAAAAAAAGAAAGGAGAACAATTAGACCTAGAATCAAAATGTGTAAGTGAATCTAAGGAAAATAATCAGAAAGAACTCTAGTCAATGCACAAAGGAGGCATTTGCAAAATGAAGTTGGCCCCAGGTATTTCCCATTGGCTCCAAGCCATTGGTGAGAGAAAAGGGAATGCCCAGAGAACAACAAACTAAATATCTCCAACTTCGAATCAAGTAGAACAGCTTTTCCTAGAACAGCAGAGGGCCAACAAAAATTGCTCAGCTCAGTTCTGTACAATCAGAAGACAGAGCCAGGCAAAAGAAAAGTATTCAAGATAAAATTATTTAAAAACCTTTTACTAGAGAAATAAAGACTAGTGAAAACTTATTCTAATCTAACTTGGAATAGATCTCTTTGCTAAACACTTTCTAAGTTAAAGTTTCTATAATCTCCTTTTCCGTAGTTTATAACAAATATCTTTAAAATACAGATAGTTTTTTTAATGGGGTACTGAGCAGCAGGGGCCAGAAGGAAAGGAAAATTAAAAGAAAAAACCGGGCCAGGTGCAGTGGCTCACGCCTGTAATCCAAAAGTTGGCAAAAATTGATCAGCTTTTATTTGTTCTTTAGAGTAAGAATCCTTCTTAAACAAGTGCATTAAACTAGGCCTTTTCATTCTTCTCTTCAAACTGTCCTATAAAAGTAACGAATGGAAGAATGGAGCTGCCCATAAAAGACAAGGACTGAAGTAGTTATGGCTTGGAACACTAAGTCCCAACAAATAAAACAACGTTGTTTTTGTGTTTTTTCCCTCCATGCATAAAACGGAAAGTAAGGAGCTGTCATTTTACTTAAAAGAAAAAAATAAAGATTATATTTGCAACACCTGAGGAAGCAAAGAATAAAATAACATTATCAGCTGAGCACGGTGTCTCATGCCTGTAATCCCGGCAGTTTTGGAGGCAGGAGGATCATTCGAGGCCAGGAGTTTGACATTGGCCTGGGCAACAAAGTGAAACCCCCATCTCTACACAAAACTTTAAAAATTACCCAGGCATGGTGGCACACCTGTAGTACTAGCTACACGGGAGGTTTGTTGAGTGTAAGAGGTCAAGGCTGCAGTGAGCTATGATTGCGCCACTGCACTCCAAACTGTGCAACAGAGTAAGACCCCATCTCTAAGAAAAAAAAAAAAGGTAACATTCTCAAAGTCCATTATCGAAAAAAGAGAGAGAGACAAAAGAGGCACAGTGAGTGTAAGAAAAGATCTGAATTTCATTTGATCTCCAGACCACTTTTTCCCTCCTCTTACCGCTCCCCCCACGCCCACCAAAAGTCTTTCTGAAACTCAAAGATTCATTTGAATATCATGACAGCATAATAAAAATGCTACTGGATCAAAAGCAAGCTGGATGAGCACGAGTATGTAGTTCAGTACCTGTTTGTTGATACCAAGCGGACTGCTCTATTGCACCAGAGAAAACGTGTGTGTGCTGCAAAGAAGCTTCTCCAGCTTAGGTGAAACATTCCACATCACACAGAAGGCAACCCTGACAACCACCCCATCTGCTTAGTGGGAATGCCAACTTCAAGACACACCAAACACTAAACATAACTTAATATGAGGTTTGCTATAATGGTGAACACTTAACAGTACTCAGTCCTGTTTAATCCTGTTTAATGTTTGGATCTGTGAGTCTATCGAACTATATTAACTATCAGATCATCTATGTAAATTTGTACAAATTTGCCCAACCAGGACCAAGCAGAAAAAAATTCTTTTTAATAAAAAGTTAACAAATATGAGCAACATTATTAGTAATATAAATAAACGTGGACAGCAAGACCAAAGGGCACCAAAGGAGACGATGCACCTTGCAGAAAAGACAAGAGATACTCATTTTTCCCTGTCCTCTCCATTTAAAGAGAAGTGCTTCCAGGGAAGCCATCCTGAAAAGCAATGAAGGAAAAAAGCTAGGGAGAAGGGGAAGCCCGTGAGATTGTTAATTCCAGTCTTCCTATATTATATGCTACAATGGGGTATTATCTGGTCTATTAGAACAGGGAAAAAGTAAACTATAAAATTTTACTTTTATTTAGTAGATTTAACACACTTCTAAACTAACTAAAGTTGTTGGTTTAAATGGCTGGTCAATTTGCTTAATTCTGTAAAATATTCATGTATGTTATGTATATACGTGTGTGTGTGTAAATGTTAGAAGAAACATTCTCACTAATACCTTTCTCTCACACATACACACAGAATGATCTCTTTATTTCCACGGTAACTTGTTTTTATGCTATACTAACTCAAGATGTAGACTAACTGGGCAAAAGGCATAAAACTGAAATCTTTGCCTGCTTATGCTTGCATATCTGAAACTAATTTTTCTCCCAAAAATAAATTAGAAAGATATGACATGACCAGCTCTTATCTCTTGATACTTCTATGCAAAATGCAAAGAGAAGAACAGAGAAAAGAACATAAAATTGTTAGCTAAAAGGTGAACTTAGCTTATAATTCTCTTTTTCAAAATCACCTATTCAAGAAATATTTACTAGGCAGCCACTATGTGCCAACCATGGTGTTCTGACTGACTGGACATAATCATGATTTGAGATATCTGAAAATCCAGAAAACATCATTATTTTGAAATTAACCTGTATTTAATAATTTAAGTTTTATGCAGTTAAGAATATAAGCTTGAATATTCAATACACTCTGTACAGTTCAAAATTTTGTTGGCAACCAGCCAAATTTAGACAGGCTAATTATTTCAAGCATTCTCATATCCATCTACTGCTACTACTTATGATTCTTGGTCCTGAGACAGTACTCTAGTTTTATTTCTAGCATTAGACACAAACATTCAAAAACCATTTTCTAAAATATTATTAGTCCAATGCAGGAATCACTAGCTTTGTTTTTAGATACCTTTTGCTATTCTCTTTTATAATGTTTTTAAAGTGTTGATTCCCTTCTGAATCCCTGAAGCCCCCTATTTCTTTAGAGCAGTTCACAATTGCAAATGAAACTCTTGCCAACTGACCTTATCAGTAGAGAGCTATGAAGGGTCAGGATTCTAAGACTTAGGGTTTAATGACCAAGGTCTAGCCTGCAGAGTTCCATGTCACATCTTCAGAGAATAAATACCACAAGACAGACACAGACATAATACATACCTGATAAAAAACAAAGGAAGTTCAACTCCCACAAATAGCCCTGTTGACTTGTACCAGAAAAGCATCTACTTCCTTCTCCTTTCACCATAAATGCAAATAGGTGTTTGTCACTAAGAGTAGGACACAATAAAAGAAAGTAACACCAGCGGGTGCGGTGGCTCATGCCTGTAATCCCAACACTTTGGGAGGCCAAGGCAGGCGGATCTCCTGAGGTCAAGAGTTTGAGACCAGCCTGGCCAACATGGTGAAACCCTGTCTCTACTAAAAATACAAAAATTAGCCAGTGTGGTGGCGGGCTCCTGTAATCCCAACTACTCGGGAGGCTGAGGCAGGAGAATTGCTTGAACCTGGGAGACGGAGGTTGCGGTGAGCCGAGATACCGCGCCACTGCACTCCAGCCTGGGCGACCGAGTGAGACTCCGGCTCAAAAAAAAAAAAAAAAAAAAAAGAAAATAAAGAAAGTAACCCCAAAATGCCAACCAGGAGAAGAAAATTTGCATTTCTTTTTAAAGAACAGGTCCGCCAGTTGACAGGACTATTATTGTCTAGCACATATAGGACCATGAGATCAGAAAAATCAGGTGTAAATGCTAAAGTTTAGATAAAGAGTCTATAGAGAAAAAGTGGCTGTTCCAGAGGAAGAGAACCTCAGGTACACAGGGCTGCTGCTTCACACATCAAATTCTGTGTTGAACACACACCCAGAGTTATGCAATGGGGAGATCTTATAGGTACATACAGGCACTCTGAAATGACCATCATCCCATGTCTCACTCACGGACCTCAAAGTCAAAATCAGTTGCAATTTTGGATTTAAAAATCAGTCCAATGGAAAAATACACTGGCAACACAAAAATGCTGTATTCATTTTTTGTTGTTTCTTTCCAAAAGATGATCAAAACAAAGATGAGTTTTTCTCCTGTTTTCTTAGCACTTAAATGTGACCCTCTCTCAGAGTAGTAACATGAATGACAGTAAATAGCATTTAAAAATAACGTAAAGGGGCTGGGTGCAGTGGCTCAGGTCTGTCATCCCAGCACTTTGGGAGGCCGAGGGGGGTGGATCACTTGAGGTCAGGAGTTTGAGACCAGCCTGGCGAACATGGCGAAACCCCATCTCTACTAAAACTACAAAAATTAGCTGAGTGTGGTGGCATGCACCTGTAGTCACAGCTATTCAAAGGCTGAGGCAGAAGAATTGCTTGGGCCTGGGAGGCGGAGGCTGCAGTGAGCCGAGATCATGTCACTGCACTCCAGCCTGGGTGACAGAGCGAGCTTCTATCTCTTAAAAAAAAAAAAAGTTAAAGAAAGGAGATGATGCTAGAAAGACTTTGAAGCAAATGTTCATTAATTCAATGTTTTATAATGAGAAAGGTTAGGGTATGGTATAATAAAAAACCCTGGGATATATGCTATGAAGTTGTATTTTCTATAGTTTAGGTAAAAGAAAACTAAAGGTTAGAGGTTAAGTGATTTGCTCTAAGTCATAGAGCTAGCACTAGTACCTACATCTTCTAACCTTCTGGTTTCCCCTTACAGCTTACTATAACTTAGAAAACATTAGACGAAGCCTGCTGGATTCATAGGTTTAATGATAATAATAATAAATAATTTTTACTTGTGGCTTAAAATTATACATTAAAGTTTCTACAATTCTAAGCTTAACAAATAGAAACCCCTTTCCCAAGCCTATTAACATGTAGTACGTGTAATAGGAAGATCTGACATGATTATTTCAGCTACTATATTGGTCATCAGTTGTGGTGTGGTCTATAGGGTCCTTTAAGAGAATGTCTGCCTTGTGGCTCAGACACTAACAACCACCAAAGATGGGAACTAGAGTCTGGTACTTGGAAGCACAGTTATAATCCCTCTCTTCTGTCACCACCACTTACCTTGATGGGTACTTCAGCGAGTAAGCAGCAGCCAAGAATCCACCTAGGTTGTGCCCAAGCAAGATCATTTTGTCCAATCCTAGGGCACATCTCCACTCTTCAATGGATTCCACAAACTGATTCTCCACTTCTTCTGCATCACTGTCAAACCTGGGTCTACTACTTCGTCCAAAACCCAATAGGTCAAAAGCATAGACAGGTCTGTTGGTGCAAAGATCTCCAAAATTCAGTGCCCAGAGCCCAAGACCTCCTCCAAAACCATGGAGAAGGACAAGTGGAGTCTTATTTGAAATATTATGAGAGAACTTCAGTGTCCATATTTTATTTCCATTAGATATACGAACAGGTTCTTTTTTGTATGTGCAAGGCACACCTAATGAAAACATAAAAGAGAAATTCTGTTTCATTTTATTACTTCTGAGAAGGGAAGTATTCTCAGAGCAACCAAAAATTACAAATCATCTAGTATCCAATCTCATGATTTTAGCTTGTATTGTCAGCTATTTTTAAAAAGTACACATTTTATTGAAGTAAATAATCCTAAATGACCATGTTTTACACCTAAAGGGGAAGACCTACCTCAGACAAACCTCAAGTAACCTGTGATCAAGGTCTTTGGCAAGTCATATTACCTTCTAACTTCTTTCCACATCTGTCAAATGAGGGTATTATACTCCTAGAAGTGAAAAGGAACTTAGTGGTTACCGAACCCATTATTTTAAGGTCTCTAGCTTTGCAGAGAATTTGTAGAATACTGTCAGGTGTTCTACAATTTCAAGGTGGTATTCTTTGGTTAACTTTGAGTTGAAGTCAGGCTTAAAGGCATCATTTTTCCTTAAAAAGTAGTCATGAATTTAGGGAAGGATTACTGGTATCTATGTTAAACATGTAAGTGAAACCTTAAGTCATTTCAAAAAAAGGTTGACAAAGTATTGTAGGAACTCCTCAGCATGACACACCAGGTAACTTGGGTCCAACTCTAGTAATCTCCTAGAAAAAGCAAATAGTCACAATTTTATAGACCAAAACTCTTTTTTACCTTTAATGTTGTGGAACTAAATACTTTAAACACTCCCAAAAATTGCCTAAAAATGAAATTAAATTTGAAATCATTTATATTTAACTATCAACTGAACAGCTGCATTTTTGATATACCCCTTAATTATTTATGCATATTCATATACAGTAAACAAGACACTGAAGAAACAGGAGTTTCTGCCTTTTAACCAAAGAAATAATATCATGTTTTGTATCCACATAGTGGCAGCAAAGAAGAAACCTAACATTCATTCAGAATATTAATGGAGCACAAGCCCTCAAGTTGGGGGAAATACCACTAGTTTAGAAAAGGGGCTGCTTTGGCTTAAGTGCCAAGCCAAACCACTTCAGCATTTTGAACACATACGTCTGTGTATTCCCATAAAAACCATCTGTATAACTATTAGAGAACTCACTCCACCGTAGCTTACTTTCATGTCTGACACTAAAGCAGAGACCAATTCACATTCCTATTTGCATCCCTAGAACCAAAAGGAAGGGAATCATTATGTCTGTTAAATGCATGAATTGAGAATCTAGCACCCCTTTTTTACCTCCTGATAAGAATTTTTTTATTTTGGTAAATCACAATGACATCTTTCTTAGTTTTGTAGAGAGCAAGTTTACCCAAGTATATGGAATAGAAGTTCATTATCATGTTAAAAATCCATGTAATAACTGGGCGTGGTAGCTCATGCCTGTAATCCCAGCACTTTGGGAGGCCGAGGCAGGTGGATCACCTGAGGTCAGGAGTTCAAGACTAGCCTGGTCAACATGGCGAAACCCCATCTCTACTAAAAATACAAAAATTAGCTGGGTATGGTGGCAGGTGCCTGTAATCCCAGCTACTTGGGAGGCTGAGGCAGGAGAATTGCTTGAACCCAGGAGGCAGAGGTTGCAGTGAGCTGAGATTGTGCCACTGCACTCCAGCTTGGGTAACAGAGCAAGGCTCCATCTCAAAAAAAAAAAAAAATTCATGAAAGATGGCTAATTATCCCTTCCTAAGGATATATCCAGTTATGGTCACTTACTCCTGAATCATTCAAATGCACAAACAAATTCATTAGTGGTAAAGAGAATGAAAAACAGGCATGTACAAACATCTGCACCTACATACAAAAATAACACATGAATATGAATGGTACTACCTAATCCACTCCTTTAAGTAGAATCAGCAGAACAAAATTGCACAATAAGTACCACTACTTAGAACTACACCCACAGATACCTTGGAATGCCCTGATGGTACAAGTTTGGGTAAATTTTAGTGCTCATAAGAAGGAAAAAAAAGGGGCTTCCACACCACTATAAATATAGAATCCTAGAATGCTAGAACTAGAAGGAATTCTATGGACCCATTCATTTTATAAGAATCCTACCCCTTCATTTTATAAGAAATGAGAAGCTGAGCAAAGTGACTTGTCCAAGATCTTGTAACCACCTAGTGGCAGATCTGGGCCTAGACCAAGTTACCTGGGTCCAGTCTAGTACTTCCACTATACAAGGCTGCTTGCTCTGAAACACCTAGAATCTGTTCTCAAAGCATAGTCTCAAGCAGAGTCAGGGGGGGTGTCCCTGAGACTCTTCGAGGAGATCCAGGAAGTCAAAACTATTTTCATCATAATACTAAGACTTTCTATTTTTCACTCTCATTCTCTAATAGGTATAAAGTAGTCTTCCAGAAGTCACATATGTGATTACCCATCAGACTGAAAGCAGAAGCAGCAACCTTATGTCAAGCTAGACATTAAAGACATTTGTAAACATGTAAACAATGTTTGGAAAGTATTTTTTTTCTTTTTTTGGTACAAATTTTATTTATTTTAATCTGTAATGGGTTTACTATTATTTTTAAAGAAATTAATAAATTAACATTTTTGATTATTCAATTTTAATTTCTAATTGTATTAGAAATGATAAATATTGATAATAAGCCCATAAACAAATCTCCTTGGGGTCCTTACTAATTTAAGAGTATAACAGGGGCCCAAGACCAAAAAGTTTTAGAACTCCTACCTGCCAGCCCCCGACATTCATTTCTGTACTTTCTAATGACAAGGAAAAGGAAAAAAGTTATTTTGCCAACAATGAACACACCACAGAATCTTACCTCCAGTTTCAGGGCAATGAGATATATTGGACCTATCTTAGTACACAGCTCATTTAACTTACAAGAAGAAAGCCTTACATTTTAACATCTTCTCTTCAGCTTCTTTAAGGTGTGATATAGACGTAGGGCACCATGTGGGGAGCCAACCAGTTAGCCATCCTGACCTAGAGCACCAAAAACAAAATAACAAATAGGTGAGTTCATGCTCTTCTCAACTACCAATTGTCACATGCACAGAAGAAAGGCAGCACAGGAAATTTACTACCTGTGTGATGGTAAAGCTATGTGTGACAAAAGTGACCTAACATGCACAAAGCATGGTGGTAAGTACTGGGATACAGATATTCAACTTCAGCCTGTGTACTTACAAGTAGATCTCAAAGTCCATCTTATTCATGGATAGTCAGATTCCAAATAAGCAAAAAGAGGATAAAATGGGAAGAACAAGAAAACACAAAAAATGCATTCCTCCCCACTGCAAGACAGCCTCTTATTGGGGTAGAAGTGCAAAAAAAGTTAAAGACCAGGAGTAGATTCATTTGAATGACAGTTTCACAGTGAATATAAAAGGTACCTCTATGGGGGTTGAGAAAAGGGGCACCTTATTAAAATCTGAGATCGACCATTTTTTGGGGAAAAAGAAGGCTTCAAATCTCATATGAGTAGTAACATACCCCTAACACAAATGTGGGAGGCTGGTCTGCGTACAATCTCCTTAGGGTGAACTGGTTAACTGTTAATAGAAGTACAAAAAAGCTTTGGGTTTCAGCAAACAGTAGATGAACAGAACGACCAAAGCATCCATCAGAAGACAGCACAACAAAGAACAAGGAAGCAGATCTGAGGCAGCTAGTGAGGAAAGGCATGGGGAGGCTGCAGTTGACATACTTTGCTTGTAGCCAACAAAAGAGAGGGTAAGCCTCAACTCCTGGCCTGGCAGTCACAAACCAAAAGCTTACTGTAATAACCTGACATAATGCAGAGCTTCAGTAGTCATTTGACAGTTAGCAAGGGCTCGGTGCATGGCTGGTATTATTTAAAATGAGAACTTTCTGATGAAAAAGAAATGAATTAGAAGAGGAAAAGTGAACTACTGCAGAGTCCAGATGAGAGGTAAGGGCCCAATCCAAGGCTTTGGCAACAGGGATAGAGACAAGAAGATGTAGTCAAAGAATATTTAAAAGGAAAACAGGTTGGATTTGATAACTGGTTGGAGATAAAGAAGTTATAATAAGGATTCCCAGGCGTCTCTCTTAGGTTACCACTATAATGACAGACAACACAAGAGTAAGAATAGGTGTGAGAGGAAAATGTGCTAAGTTTTGGAAGGGTTGTGTACCAACATCTAGCTTTTCTTACCTTTGTAGGTTCATCCTACTATATTTCCCTTCCCTGTAGAATTTATCTGGATATTACGTATAACAGGTACTCAATCAATAATGTTTGCTGAGTGATTAAGTCACTCACAATCCAGGGGATTCTCAGTCCAAATTATCCCCATTTCATAGATGTAAAAACTGAAGTTCAGAAATGTTAAGCACCAAGTCCAAGGGTATACAGCTAGTAAGTAAGTAAGTTTGATTCTGAGCCACTCCAAAGTGCTTTTTTCTCAAATGACTACCTTCCTTAAAATGTCTGAAGGGTTGCCCATTACCTACAGGATAAGTCTATATTTTCCTGGACCTGCACAGAAGGTACTTTGCAATCCATCCACAGCCTACCTCCATCCCATCTTTTCTTTTCATATATTGTACTTTTTCCAGTACTTCATATCTCTCAAAATTTCATATGATTACATGTCTCTATGGCTTTGCACAGCTCTTATAAATTACCCAGTCTCAGGTAGTTCTTTATAGCAGCATGAGAATGGACTAATACACAGGCCATTAAAATAAAAGAACTCATGATTTTTAGAGGTTAAAGGTGAAGCTCTTTTGTCCTTGACCAGCCATTAGGTCTATATTTAACCATAAAAATATGAACTAGTACCAACAAGAAATTACTTACAACTCAATCTCATCCATTGTCTTAAACAAACATCCCTCGAACCATATCACAATTATTTGCCAGAGAGAATCAGAGGTCAATTAAAAAAAATTACAGTGAAATGAAGTATAAGCTACTATTGCTCCAGTTGATATCACAGACAAACTGGGGCAAAGAAAACACAAATGCATTCTTTGCATTAAAAAAGGATACTTTTTTAAAAAACGACACTCAAAAAATAATTCAGACACTGAATACCTACTATGTACAAAGCACCAGTGTTTAAAAAGTTACATACCAGCCTGTAATGGAAGAATCATGCCTACCTCCACCAACTTACCACTTACCACAAAACCAGCTTTCAAACAATGGGACTGTCTGTCCATGGATTTGCCTTCTAGTGACCAGCTCAACTCAGAGAAGGGGCAAAACATGTTTTCATGTTTGTAAGCTTACATTAAAAAGTAGGGATCTTCAACCATAAGAAGAGGCACCAACTCTCTTCAGGTTTTCACAGAAGCATTTTCATCAAAACAGGTGATTTTTTAAAGTGGGTTTTTTTCTAACAGAAAAATATATATTTAACAAAACATAGCAAGATATTTTTACTCTTAATGGAATTGTAAAGATAGCACTCTTCCCCTAAGCCCTGATAATGCTTCTGTCCAGTTTCACTTTAACCAGATGATTAAATGTTTTACAGAAACTATCCTCTGCTTCTTTGAGACACTCTACAGGATTAAGTGTTATATACATAATAGGCTTCAAGGAACATTTCCAATGAGTAAAAAGCAAGGGCCTTATCTTTTCCACCCTTTAGTTGATTCCTGTTTGTTCAAAGGTCTCATACCTTACCTTGCAACCTCTATTGCTTCAACCCTTTAAAACTTACCCATCCAACTCTACCTCCTGTCTTCGGGATAAATTAATCTCACCTTCAAAGAGACCCTTTGCCCCCTCCCCAGTGGTATCCTATGCCATTCAGTGTTGCTCAGCATTCCTAGGTTTAGTATATAGAAGACTGGAACTAAGGACACAGGACTGAAGCTTGTCAGATATTCTGCCATTCTTCTGAGGTCACAAAATTCAAGGCAAAAATTAAATTCACACAGCCCACCTATAAAACAGTAAACTAGATTCAATGCCTCTTCCTCATAGCTTTGGAAAATAAATAGAAAAGCAAAACCTAACTTCTCTATTTTATTTAAGGAGACAAGCAATAAACACTATCATCCATCACTGAGGCCTAAATTCAACAGTGACCAAAGTGTCAACTGTAATACAAAGAGAAGTCATTCACCACAGGAACTATAGCTTTCTAATAGTAAGCATCTATGACATGGGGAAAGCTTACCAATGCAAGCCAAAAAGTTTTCTACACAGCCCCATCAGTTGGGCACTTACCTTATTAGCAAGGCAAAGGATATAAGCCCTAAAGCATCTAATCACAGAAACAAAAACAAAAAAAGAAAGGATTCTTGTTTTACAACCATTGTAGTGCAAACTAAGAATCTTTTTAGTGAGCAGACTTTTGAGTAAGAAAAGTTATAAAAGATCACATCAGAGGTGACAATTCTAAGGAAAGCCAAGTAAGATGTGCTTAACATATTAATAGAGTATATTTTACCTAAGAATCTGACTTTAAGTATCCTGAGTGAGAGATAGACACCACTTTTTCCATTAACTTTTTACGTAATCCTTCTAAAAAAATATTATGTCATACTTATACTCCATACTATCAACACTTAAGTTTCCTGGTAATCTCTGTTTTGTTCTTTAACACATCTGTCT
This sequence comes from Homo sapiens, assembly GCF_000001405.40. Taxonomy (NCBI): domain Eukaryota; kingdom Metazoa; phylum Chordata; class Mammalia; order Primates; family Hominidae; genus Homo; species Homo sapiens. The sequence goes on along the minus strand of NC_000003.12, from coordinate 43,695,662 downwards.
ATCTACAGTATTACTAAACCTGAATTGCACAATCTATAAACATTATGAAACAGTGAAAGAGGTTTCGAAGTATTCTGAAGAAAATATGCAGAAATCTGGCCAGTTTCCATACACTCTTGGCCACTTAATATTTCTAATTAGGTTATAAGTAAAGAGGATTTCATTATATTAAAATTTTGTTTAAAATGGCCTCCATTCCTATTCTAGTAGTTGAGAGAGAAAAATCACATAAACTTATTGCTCTTGATAAACCTAAGCACAGCTCTCTATCTCATTTAAAGAAACCATGAGGCTTTGATTTTTATTATAAATATCCAAATGAATTACAGGTATGAATATATACATTTATTTATATTTACATTTATATTTATCTGAGATACTTCCTCAACCAATGACTAAAAACATCCAAATTGGAAATTATAACACTTGGGTAAATAAAGACCTTTCTTGGGAATTGACTTTTTAAATCCTATTCTTGGGAAAGAGAAAAAGAAAAGAAAAAAGCGTACTTTGGGAGGCTGAGGTGGGAGGATTGCTTGAGCTCAGTCAGGAGGTCAAGACCAGCTGCCTGGCACATGCCTGTAGTCCCAGCCGCCTGGCACATGCCTATAGTCCCAGCAACCTTGGGGGGGTGGAATACAGGGGCTGGGGGGCAAGTTGCTGAGGTGGCAGGATTGCTTGAGCCCAGGAGGTTGAGGCTGCAGTGAGCCATGATTGTGCCACTGCACTCCAGCCTGGGTGACAGAGCAAGAACCTGTCTCTGGAAAACAAACAAAAAAAAAAGAATATGGTCTCATACAGCTACAATTTAAGTGACTAACATGCCATTTTATTTTGGATAAATGATACTTAAGTGATTCAAATTATCACTATTAGATCAATGACAATCCAGGCCCTCTAATATATGTTAACACATTAATTAATACTGTTTTAACTGCCCCTCCCCCCCCAACCTGTAACTTTTAAAGACTCAGATTGGTAGTATAAGTGTTTTAGACAAGCCATGTGCTGGTAACACGTATCTCCCCATTGTTTCCTACCTTCCTTCACACAGTAAACAAACCATTTTAGAGTCACTTATATGACCTCATTATCAAACACACTTGAAGAAGCCACAGGTGTACTCTACTTAACAAGTCAGTGACATTTCTTTGCATCAGTTCTAAAATAAGTTCATTCACTAGATAATAAAGAGAATAAAACTAAAAATCCTAGGTCTCAACTGAATAATCAGTTTTAATAAAATCACCTCTCCATATGATTTTTTTTAGTAACTCACAATCAGGAGTGGGAATTACAGAACCATGAGATTAAACTAATAATCTAACAATTAGTCAAGGCAATGATTAAGCCAATATAATGTTTCAAGAGGAAGAACTGAGCTTTTTTTTTTTTTTTTTTTTTGAGACGGAGTCTTGCTCTGTCGCCCAGGCTGGAGTGCAGTGGCACGATCTCGGCTCACTGCAAGCTCCGCCTCCTGGGTTCACGCCATTCTCCTGCCTCAGCCTCCCGAGTAGCTGGGACTACAGGCGCCGCCACCTTGCCCGGCTAATTTTTTTGTATTTTTAATACAGACGGGGTTTCACGGTGTTACCCCAAAGTGCTAGGATTACAGGCGTGAACCACGGCGCCCGGCCAGAACTAAGCTTTTTATATCGTTTAGTTTAGGAGCAGGAAGGTAAAAATAAGATCATGGTCTGGACATGTTAAATTTGAGGAATCAGGCACAAACATCTGACAATTAGAAACATTACCAGAGTACAGAAGAGGGCTCCAGAAAGAAAATGAGATCTGAGTCATCTCCACAGACAAGACAGTTCACGTTTGAGTAAACAAGATGAAAAATAAAAACAAGGATGATGACAGAATCTTGGAAAATGACTACATTTAGAGAATGCAAAAAAAAAAAAAAGAGGAGAAACTAATAAAAGTTATTGTTGGTCAGGTAAGGTAAGATAAAAGGCAAAATGTCATTAAGACCTAGAATGTCTAATAAGAGTTTCAAAAAGTAGTAGCTATCATTACAGTAACAAACACCAAAAAGGACCCAAGAAGAAGTACTGAAAAAAACTAGAAGGCCATTGGGATGTGGCAGTGAAAAGTTTTGTGATTTTTAAGATATCAGGTGGCAAAGGTTTGGGAAGGAGAGAAGGCAGCAGAGAGAAAGGCACATATCTTGCCAGTTTTTAAAAAGATTAGATAGAGAAATCCACTCTCCTATCTCCAAGGCAAAGACCTACATTCACAGTCTAATGTAAACCCAGTGGGGAGCTGGCAAACAAACTGAAGCAGGGAGGGGAGAGAAAAATCCCTTATTTATACCTTATTTATAGCATTTGATGATTTCCGTGGTGTAAATACTCCCACCATGGCCAATTTCAAGCTGCCAACCGTTGGCAAAATTCCTGAAAATTTAGCAATGGCTTGCTGGTACAAATCAACTCCAGCACACAACTGCAAATCACCTCTTTTATGGTCTACCCTGCAACTGAGCAATTCTGTGACAGCTTTCTCTCAACTCAATTGACACTAAATCATTCTCTAGGACAACTTAAAGCAATTCACAGAAGTCTACTCTACTCTCATTACATTTAGCTTTCTCAACTGTATTGCAACTGAAAGGGGTTGGATGTTGAAAGCAAAATGGATCCCAGTATGCCTGTCTTCACTAAGTGCCACAAAGCAAAGGACAAGAATCATATTCTCCAAAAAGCCATCAGATGACCATTTTATAACTTTCCTTTGTTAATGTTATCTCCCTATCTAAACCTCAAATGTCTTAAGGGTAGGGAACTGTATTCAAACAAGAGCCAAACATCCCACATGAGTCCCAATTCCAGTGACAGGCAGCAGGGATACAGGGTAAGCACCTTAGATTAAATCCAGACACCTCAAAGGGTTCCACAAAGGGTTCCAATCCAGCCCTGCTACTTGCTGGCAGGCTGTTAGCAGCCTTTACAGTGGCAGTTTCAACTGCAAAATGGGAACAATAATACCCAGCACACAGGGGCAACCTTGGATTTAACAGGATCACTTCTGGGGATAGTCACTGGACACTGCTAAAGCATATTGCCAAGAATACCAGCGAAGCCCACTTCTGTCTAGAAACTATGGCTGATCAGCTGCTAAGGATTTTTTAATCATCTACCTCCAATGACCTCCAACCATCACTCCAAGCCATAAAACCCTTTCACGATTGTGTCCTGGACTCCAAGGCCCCACTACATCAAAACCAAATAGTCCACCTGAAAGTAGTGTCAAGAGTCAAAAATGTTGTGACAAACAAGATGAGAACACAACCTACCAATTACGTTCCTACTTGCGTCCACATGACATTCAACATTTCACCTCAGTGCAACGAGGAAGTTCATCAACAAACCTCAACAAATAAACAAAACTCAAGAGAATAACTTCCTTTCTAATATTTCACAATTTTTCCCCATGACATCTTTCCAAATATCCCTGTCTTCATGGTACTCCATATTCTATCATTTAGGTTATGTTTCCTAGGCAAATTTCTCCAGACGTCTGAAGTAGAACCGACGTCAAAAAATTAAATATATATGGGGGAAGTTTACTTTCCAATACAAACGACAGGCCTTGAGAAACAAGGCAATAACCTCCATAACAATTTAATTATTCCACTCATTAACTACTATTCTTCTACTAACAAGTGCAAGAAGTCATTTAGGTGTAGAAAAGAATAAACTCACTATACCTGTATATAAAAAAGTTTCACATTAGACATCTGCCCTCCAACTTCCACAGTTTCCTATACATTATGTGTGTTCTTCTAAGGCACATGCAACACACACTTCGCCAGTAAAGCCAGAATAATCCCAGAAGCGCAAACAAATAAGGGACAGTGGAGCTTGCAAGCCAAAGACCTTCATCCGAAAGATGAATTATGACATTTGAACGTGTATCTCTATCTTAAGGGCTAACTTTCTTTCTATGAAGTATCTGAAACTCACAGCCATACACCCACTTCCCTCACTCCTTCTCCCCTCCCTCCTTCCCGGCACCCCCGCCCTCCCGCCGCTTCCCGGGCGAATTCGGGCCTCTAATATCCCCTCCAAGGAAGCGCCGCCCCTTCCTACGGCTACGGGAAGGATCGTCCAGTGGCTGAGGCTGGACAGAGCACAGGTAGTACCTGTAGACGGAAGCCGCGATGGGAGGCTGACAGACCCGGTCATTTCCCGCGCCTCGCAGTCAGGTGCAGGGTCGACCGGGCACCGCCCGCCGGCGGCATTGGGGCAGGCCGGGTCCCTTGGCAGAGCCCGAGCCGGTGCGGCCGCCGCGGCCAGCTCCGTCGCCGGCCCGCGGGGTGGCTTATACAACAACGGGGCGGACCCTCCGCGCGGGGTCAAGGCGGCCTCCCGGCGCGGCCGGAGTCCGGCTCAGACACCTCGGGGCCCCGACGCTGAGGGGAGCCTCTCCCAGGCAGAGCGGCGCCGGGACGCCTCTGGGCGCCGCGCGGACTCATGCCGGGGAGGGTCGAGGAAGCCGCCCGTCGTCGCCAGGCGGGCGGCGACTCCTTGGTGCTGCCCGCTGGGCCCTAACCCGGCCCGCGCGGAGGGTGCGCGCCGGAGACACACGAAGCCCCCTGCCGGCTGCGCTTACCTCTCTCCGGTGTCGGCAGAGTCCACCTCCTCCTCCTCCGCCGCCATAGCCGCCGCCGCGCAAGCGCCGGGACTTATCTCGAAGCCGGCTGACAGGCCGACTGGGCCGCCCCGGGCTGGCGCGGCACTTAAGGCGGCGCAGGCCGCCAGCGCATGCGTCTTCCGCGCACTAGCACGGCCCGGCGGCGCGCCCGCGTTTGCGCGTGCGCGGCCTTGCCTCCGGCTTTGCGTCCGCCATCCCCAGCCAGCATGCACTAGTTCTCCCGCCCGACGCTCCCGGGTGTAAGCGCGGGGCGGGACAGTCAGCCCAGAGGGACTGGCGAGACTCACCCGAATGAGTTAGGTGTTTTAGCTAATTTGAATAATGACTGTATTCATGCATCACCCCGTCGGTGTTGGCTGTCAGGTGGCACCTTGGGGACGGAGGTGCGTCCGGTCCTGGAAGAGCCTAGCTAGTGTCCGATAGATGGTGCAGTGGCAAATGAAATGGCGTAATCGAGGTGCTGTGTGGCGTCCCGCCAGCCTTTCCCCGCGGGTTGGGGGGCCAGGGGGAGAGGGCGACTCACAGGAGCCTTCAGTCAGTTGAGCACTGCTCTAGGTGCTGATGTTACTGTAGTGGCCAGAGCCAGCAATTTCCCTCCCACTCGACTCTCTAGATACCTGGGAGGGTGAAAAGAGTCGGTGTTGGCCGGGCGCGGTGGCTCAGGCCTGTAATCCCAGCACTTTGGGCGGCCAAGGCGGGCGGATTTTCTGAGGTCGGGAGTTGGAGACCAGCCTGAGCTGAAGAAACCCCGTCTCTATTAAAAATACAAAATTAGCCGGGCGCGGTGGCGCATACCTGTAATTCCAGCTACTCGGGAGCCTGAGGTAGGAGAATCGCTTGAACTCGGGAGGCGGAGGTTGCGGTGAGCCGAGATCGCACCATTGCACTCCAGCCTGGGCAACAAGAACGAAACTCCGTCTCAAAAAAAAAAAAAAAAGTCTATGTTTAGGTACTTCGAGTTATTGAGGTGAAATGACTAACCTAAATAGCAGTATTTCTTGACCTGTTTTCAAGCCTTTTAGCAATCAGGTGCAACCTGCTTTTGGAATTCTGCCACCCACTACTACTCATCCATTTATGTTTGGTGTGTGTCTACTATGGGCTCACTTTGTTCTAGGTGCTTGAAAACAATGGGTTGAAATACTGCTCCTGTTTTGATAGATCCTACGCGAATATATTAACCTTTATTTTAGACTCAGTTCATTGTTCTCCTTCCCTGACTCTCCTCCCTCTTTTTCTCTCCTCTGAGCCCCACTGTAAACCTGTCTTTATCACCCATCTAGCTCTCAGGTTCTCAGCCTTGTGTAATTGTTACAGCTTTTAAATAAACATTATCGAATATCTTTCCAACTACACGAGAAAGTCCTCTAGGATAGGAATGGTGTCTTCTGTAATTTAGAGGGGGGAAAGCCACTTATAATCTCTTAGGCATAGTAATAACTAATACATTTTTTATTGTGTTTGATCTAATTCATAAAATATTTTAGGGAAGACCAGAACATATAAAAAACATTTTTACAGGAATTCCTGGTTGTTTCATGAAAGGGCCGTATATTCAAAGTGACCTCCAAATACAGAAGGAGCTGAGAAACTAAAGAATGAAGGAGACAAATCCAGCTTGTCAGCAAAAGGTGATTTATTAGGGAACTTACGGACAGAAGCATGGTCTTGGACAGCAGCAAGACAGGTAAATCTCTGTGCTGTTACCCTCCCAGACTAAGGTTGTTTTGACCTAAGGGCAGGTAGGTAAGTATGTGCTCTGATACAATTTGGGTGTTGTCCTCTCTAAATCTCATGTTGAATTGTGATCTCCAGTGTTAGAGGTGGGGTTTGATGGGTGGTGATTAGATTCTGGGGGTGAATTTCTCATGAATGATTTGGCACTATCCCCTTAATGCTGTCCTTGCAATAGTAAGTTCTTGTGAGATCTGGTTGTTTAAAAGTGTATGGCACCTACCCCTCACTCTCTTGCTCCTGCTCTAGTCATGTAAGATGCCTGCTCCCGCTTTGCCCTCTGCCGTGAGTAAATGCTCCCTGTGGCCTTTCCAGAAGCCAAGCTGATACCAGCACCTGTATAGCCTGCAGAACCATGAGCCAATTAACCTTTCTTTATAAATTACCCAGTCCCAGGTAATTCTTTTTTTTTTTTTTTCTAAGACGGAGTTTCACTCTGTTGCCCTGGCTGGAGTGCAGTGGCATGATCTTGGCTCTCTATGACCTGCACCTCCCAGGTTCAAGCAATTCTCCTGCCTCAGCCTCCTGAGTAGCTGGGATTCCAGGCACCCGCCACCACGCCCAGCTAATTTTTTGTATTTTTAGTAGAGATGGGGTTTCACCATGTTGGCCAGGCTGGTCTTGAACTCGTGACCTCAAATGATCCTCCCTCCACTGCCTCCCAAAGTGCTGGGATCACAGGCATGAGCCACCGCGCCCAGCTGTATTTCTTTATAACAATGTAAGAACAGCCTGTCACATGCTCTTATACAAGGAACAATAGATAAAGTAGAAAACTTGGAGGCCTTCCCAAAACTGGGGTTACTCAGAAATCAACATTGTGGATTAGCATCTGAGATGGAGTTACTTTAGCCTCCACAATAGTGTTGCCAGACACTTGTAGTGTGTCTGCAGAAACTGATGCCCTACAATCCCACCTCTCAGAGTGTCTGTTGAAGACCCTACCGCCTGGAACACAGTGCAAGCCCAGTGGTACTGAGTCCAGTAATGAAACCTTAGGATTTTGCAGCAACTCCTGTAGCGCTTTGGTCTTTATGGACCTGGAGTCTGCTCTCAAAGATGCCTGTGCCTGCTGCACAGTCACAAAAAAAGAAAAGAAAGAAAAAAAGAGAGAAAGAGACCATTGATCCAATACTAGAGTTTATGCAGAAACTGACAAGCAGTGCATAGGACTACAGGACTTCATGATCTTCCTCAACTCTGGGAGTAGCTCTGTTCTAGCTTCACCTTGCTGCTGATGGAGTCATCTTCAACAATGGCAAGAAATCCAAGCTAGAATTGGCCATCCACCTATCCCCTGGGTGTTGCCAGCAATGGTGGAACCCTACAACTCTATCCTGACCACCGTGCCACCCTGGAACCCTTGGACTGTGTCTTCTTGGGAGACAATGGACCAACACATGTCATTGCAACCTATACCCCCAGGGCCCCACATACTTTAACCACTGCTTGGACCAGACTTCCTCCATCACTACCTCCCTGAACTTTGATGGTACCCTGAAAGCAGACCTCTCAGAGTTTAAGGCCAGCTTGGTCCCCTACCTCCAAATTAACTTCCTTTTTGTGACCTACTAACCAATTACCTGGTTGAGCAGTGCTTACATTTGGAGATCGCCAGTACCTACTTTGTACTCTCCAATCAGATGGCCAGATATGACACTGACCAAAGCAAGTACAGAGCTTGCTCTGCATGTTCTGCCCCAGGGTTGTAGCCTAAAGACTGAATGCTGCCATTGTCCCACCAAGACCAAGTGTGCCATACACTTGGTTGATGACTGGTGCCCCACTGGGTTTCAGGTTGGCTTTAATTTCCAGCCCTCCAATAGTAGTTCCCCAGGCAAAGTGCTGAGCAATACCACAACCATCACAGGGGCCTGGGCCTTTATCACAAGCCTGCCAAGCAAGCACTTACAAACCAGAATGAGAGTGAGGGCATGGAGAAGGGGATGTTTTATGAGGGCTTCAATGGCCTGGCTGCTTTGTAAATATTTTTTGGTTTTGGTAGAGACAGGTCTCACTGTGTTGCCCAGGCCGGTCTCAAACTCCTGACCTCCCAGAGTGTTGGGATTATAGGCGTAAGCCACCATGCCCAGCCTGTAAATGTTTATAAAGAAATGCTGTAATAAAACATATTGAGAAAGCAAATGTGGCAGGGAGATAATAAGAAGGACACAGGATGATAAGGGAAAGTGGTAGCTGGGTCAAGGGAAGGGCCTGAACATCAATCAGCTGTAGTGACTTCTCAAAAAAAAAAAAAAAATCACATGACTTTAGGGCTTCTTGGACTCTAATTTGCATGCAGACTTCTGTGGATCATGTTGAATTGTAGATTCTGACTCTGTAGGTCTGAGGTAGAACCTGAGATCTCTATTTCTAACTAGCTCCTAGTTATGCCTGTGTTCCTACTGCCAATCAGCAGACTACCCTTTAAGTAATGAGCTCTAGAGCAACCCTGTCTGTTAGAACATTCTGTAATGATGGAAATGTTCTAGACCCACACTCTCTGATACAGTAGCCATTAGCTACATGTGGTTGTGGAGGATCTGAAATTTGGCTAGTGTGACTGAATTTTGAATTTTAATTAAGTTAAAATTTAGAAGCCATACGTGGCTAGTAGCTACCATACTGGACAGCAAGGTCTACATCTCTTAATCCTCATCTATAAAGATGAGAGTTTGGGCTGGGTGTGGTGACTCACGCCTGTCATCCTAGCAGTTTGGGAGGCCAAGATGGGTGGATCGCTTGAGCCCAGGAGTTCAGGACCAGCTTGGGCAACGTGGCAAGACCCCATCTCTACCAAAAGTGAAAAATTAGCTGGGTGTAATGGCATGTGCCTTTGGCCTCAGCTACTTGGGAGGCTGAGGTGGGAGGATCCTTTGAGCCCAGGGAGGGCAAGGCTGCAGTAAGCTGTGATCATGTCACTGTACCCCAGGCTGGATGACAGAGTGAGACCCTGTCTCCAAAAAAAAAGAATAAAAGTTTTAGACTAAACAATTCTTGAGGTCCCTTCTAGTATTCTGTGGTTCCAAGTTGTTTTTAAGGTGTGTATGGGGTGGGGTAGGGACGGGAGAGGATTGACAGATATGAAAGTCTGGAGTAAGGCATGAGAGGTTGAGAGCTCCGCATAGTTGAATGGAGGAATGAGGAAGAGGAGCATGGTGCCCTGGGGGCTGGATCCTGGAACTCAGTGGTAGAGCTGCCCTCCAGAGACAAGAGATTCTGATTAACTGATGAGCGTTAATTGAACTCTCAGAACCAGAATAAAAGACCTTCTTCAGTGGGACACAAACGCCAGGTCATAAAGGAAAAGAGTGATTAATTTAGCCACATCAAAATCTAAGACATCGTGTGAAAAAAGGCACAATAAAACTGCAAAAGATGGAACAGATTAGAAAATCTTTTTTGAACATGTTAAGAAACCAAGGCTTTAATATCTTCAATATATTTTAAAAAATAGAAAGTGATGAAAAAAGCCTTTTCAGAGGAGAAAACCCTCAAGCCATAAACAGCTGCAAGATGCTCAGACTCATCAGTGATCAATTCGCTCATCAATAAAAAAGGCTGATGCTGCTAAATATTGGCAAGGCCATGAATCAGTGGGGAATGTCCCTACCCATTTGGTGGAAGTGCAAATTGGCACAGCCATTTGGAAAGCAGTTTGGGAGATCTGTTTTAAAATGTAAAATTAAGATACTCTGTGGCCCAGGAATTTAACTTCTGGGGGTCTGACCTTTCTCATGTGCACATAGAGACACATAAAAAGATGTTTGCTTCAGTAGTCTAATGTCAAAAAAAAGAAAGACATTAATAAGAATGCTTATGATTAAATAAAGTCTAGTACCTCCATAATATGGAATACTATGGCAGCAATTAAGAAAAATGAGGTAGATGTATATATACTAATATGGAAGTACTCCAGAGCATATTGATATGTGGAAAAAGCAAAATCCATGAAATATACAAAAGTTGGTTCCTTGGGATTAATAAAATTGATAAATGCCTGGATACCTGATAAGAAGAAAAAGAAAATAAAAATGAACAATATCAGAAATGGAAAAGAAGATGTCACTAGAGATCTTACCAACATATTCAAAAGATAGTAAGGCGAATACTACAAATGGCTTTATGCCAATAAATTTGATGACTTAGATAAAATAAACAATCTTTATTTTTTTTCTCTTTATTATACTTTAAGTTTTAGGGTACATGTGCACAACGTGCAGGTTTGTTACATATGTATACATGTGCCATGTTGGTGTGCTGCACCCATTAACTCTTCGTTTAACATTAGATATATCTCCTAATGCTATCCCTCCCCATGCCCCCGACCCCACAACAGGCCCCGGTGTGTGATGTTCCCCTTCCTGCATCCATGTGTTCTCATTGTTAAATTCCCACCTATGAGTGAGAACATGCGGTGTTTGGTTTTTTGTCCTTGCAATAGTTTGCTGAGAATGATGGTTTCCAGCTTCATCCATGTCCCTACAAAGGACATGAACTCATCATTTTTTATGGCTGCATAGTATTCCATGGTGTATATGTGCCACATTTTCTTAATCCAGTCTATCATTGTTGAACATTTGGGTTGGTTCCAAGTCTTTGCTATTGTGAATAGTGCCACAATAAACATACGTGTGCATGTGTCTTTACAGCAGCATGTTTTATAATCCTATGGGTATATACCTAGTAATGGGATGGCTGGGTCAAATGGTATTTCTACTTCTAGATCCCTGAGGAATCACCACACTGACTTCCACAATGGTTGAACGAGTTTACAGTCCCACCAACAGTGTAAAAGTGTTCCTATTTCTCCACATCCTCTCTAGCACCTGTTGTTTCCTGACTTTTTAATGATTGCCATTCTAACTGGTGTGAGATGGTATTTCATTTTAGCTTTGATTTGCATTTCTCTGATAACCAGTGATGATGAGCATTTTTTCATGTGTCTTTTGGCTGCATAAATGTCTTCTTTTGAGAATTGTCTGTCCATATCCTTCACCCACTTTTTGATGGGGTTGTTTGTTTTTTTCTTGTAAATTTGTTGGAGTTCATTGTAGATTCTGGATATTAGCCCTTTGTCAGATGAGTAGATTGCAAAAATTTTCTCCCATTCTGTGGGTTGCCTGTTCACTCTAATGGTAGTTTTTTTTGCTGTGTGGAAGCTCTTTAGTTTAACTAGATCCCATTTGTCAATTTTGGCTTTTGTTGCTGTTGCTTTCGGTGTTTTAGACATGAAGTCCTTGTCCATGACTATGTCCTGAATGCTATTGCCTAGGTTTTCTTCTAGGGTTTTTATGGTTTTAGGTCTAACATTTAAGTCTTTAATCCATCTTGAATTAATTTTTGTATAAGGTGTAAGGAAGGGTTCCAGTTTCAGCTTTCTACATATGGCTAGCCAGTTTTCCCAGCACCATTTTTTAAATAGGGAATCCTTTCCCCATTTCTTGTTTTTGTCAGGTTTGTCAAAGATCAGATGGTTGTAGATGTGTGGTATTATTTCTGAGGGCTCTGTTCTGTTCCATTGGTCTATATCTCTGTTTTGGTACCAGTACCATGCTGTTTTGGTTACTGTAGCCTTGTAGTATAGTTTGAGGTCAGGTAGCATGATGCCTCCAGCTTTGTTCTTTTGTCTCAGGATTGACTTGGCAATGCAGGCTCTTTTTTGGTTCCATATGAACTTTAAAGTATTTTTTTCCAATTCTGTGAAGAAAGTCATTGGTAGCTTGATGGGGATGGCATTGAATCTATAAATTACCTCGGGCAGTATGGCCATTTTCATGATATTGATTCTTCCTAGCCATGAGCATGGAATGTTCTTCCATTTGTTTGTATCCTCTTTTGTTTCATTGAGCAGTGGTTTGTAGTCCTCCTTGAAGAGGTCCTTCATGTCCTTTGTAAGTTGGACCTAGGTATTTTATTCTCTTTGAAGCAATTGTGAATGGTAATTCACTCATGATTTGGCTCTCAGTTTGTCTGTTATTGGTGTATAAGATTGCTTGTGATTTTTGCACATTGATTTTATATCTTGAGACCTTGCTGAAGTTGCTTATCAGCTTAAGGAGATTTTGGGCTGAGATGATGGGGTTTTCTAGATATACAATCATGTCATCTGCAAACAGGGACAATTAGACTTCCTCTTTTCCTAATTGAATACCCTTTATTTCCTTCTCCTGCCTGATTGCCCTGGCCAGAACTTCCAACACTGTGTTGAATAGGAGTGGTGAGAGACGGCATCCCTGTCTTGTGCCAGTTTTCAAAGGGAATGCTTCCAGTTTTTGCCCATTCAGTATGATATTGGCTGTGGATTTGTCATAGATAGCTCTTATTATTTTGAGATATGTCCCGTCAATACCTAATTTATTGAGAGTTTTTAGCATGAAGTGTTGTTGAATTTTGTCAAAGGCCTTTTCTGCATCTATTGAGATAATCATGTGTTTTTTGTCGTTGGTTCTGTTTATATGCTGGATTATGTTTATTGATTTGCGTATGTTGAACTAGCCTTCCATCCCAGGGATGAAGCCCACTTGATCATGGTGGATAAGCTTTTTGATGTGCTGCTGGATTCGGTTTGCCAGTATTTTATTGAGGATTTTTGGATCAATGTTCATCAGAGATATTGGTCTAAATTTCTCTTTTTTTGTTGTGTCTCTGCCAGGCTTTGGTATCAGGATGATGCTGGCCTCATAAAATGAGTTAGGGAGGATTCCCTCTTTTTCTATTGATTGGAATAGTTTCAGAAGGAATGGTACCAGTTCCTCCTTGTACCTCTGGTAGAATTCGGCTGTGAATCCATCTGGTCCTGAACTTTTTTTGGTTGGTAAGCTATTAATTGTTGCCTCAACTTCAGAGCCTATTATTGGTCTATTCAGAGATTCAACTTCTTCCTGGTTTAGTCTTGGGAGGGTGTATGTGTTGAGGAATTTATCAATTTCTTCTAGATTTTCTAGTTTATTTGCATACGGGTGTTTATATTATTCTCTGATGGTTGTTTGTATTTCTGTGGGATCAGTGGTGATATCCCCTTTATCATTTTTTGTGGCATCTATTTGATTCTTCTCTCTTTTCTTCTTTATTAGTCTTGCTAGCGGTCTATCAATTTTGTTGATCTTTTCAAAAAACTAGCTCCTGGATTCATTGATTTTTTGAAGGGTTTTTTGTGTCTCTATTTCCTTCAGTTCGGCTCTGGTCATAGTTATTTCTTGCCTTCTGCTAGCTTTTGAATGTGTTTGCTCTTGCTTCTCTATTTCTTTTAATTGTGATGTTAGGGTGTCAATTTTAGATCTTTCCTGCTTTCTCTTGTGGGCATTTAGTGCTATAAATTTCCCTCTACACACTGCTTTGAATGTGTCCCAGAAGTTCTTGTATGTTGTGTCTTTGTTCTCATTGGTTTCAAAGACCATCTTTATTTCTGCCTTCATTTCGTTATGTACCCAGTAGTCATTCAGGAGCAGGTTGTTCAGTTTCCACGTAGTTGAGCGGTTTTGAGTGAGTTTCTTAATCCTGAGTTCTAGTTTGATTGCACTGTGGTCTGAGAGACAGTTTGTTATAATTTCTGTTCTTTTACATTTGCTGAGGAGTGCTTTACTTCCAACTATGTGGTCAATTTTGGAATAGGTGTGGTATGGTGCTGAAAAGAATGTATATTCTGTTGATTTTGGGGTGGAGAGTTCTGTAGATGTCTATTAGGTTCGCTTGGTGCAGAGCTGAGTTCAATTCCTGGATATCCTTGTTTACTTTCTGTCTCGTTGATCTGTCTAATGTTGACGGTGGGTGTAAAAGTCTCCCATTATTATTGTGTGGGAGTCTAAGTCTCTTTGTAGGTCTCTGAGGACTTGCTTTATGAATCTGGGTGCTCCTGTATTGGGTGCATATATATTTAGGATAGTTAGCTCTTCTTGTTGAATTGATCCCTTTACCATTATGTAATGGCCTTCTTTGTCTCTTCTGATCTTTGTTGGTTTAAAGTCTGTTTTATCAGAGACTAGGATTGCAGCCCCGGCCTTTTTTTGTTTTCCATTTGCTTGGTAGATCTTCCTCCATCCCTTTATTTTGAGCCTATGTGTGTCTCTGCATGTGAGATGGGTTTCCCGAATATAATACACTGATGGGTCTTGAGTCTTTATCCAGTTTGCCAGTCTGTGTCTTTTAATTGGAGCATTTAGCCCATTTACATTTAAGGTTAATATTGTTATGTGTGAATTTGATCCTGTCATTATGATGTTAGATGGTTATTTTGCTCGTTAGTTGATGCAGTTTCCTCCTAGCCTCGATGGTCTTTACAATTTGGCATGTTTTTGCAGCGGCTGGTACCAGTTGTTCCTTTCCATGTTTAGTGCTTCCTTCAGGAGCTCTTTTAGGGCAGGCCTGGTGGTGACAAAATCTCTCAGCATTTGCTTGTCTGTAAAGGATTTTATTTGTCCTTCACTTATGAAGCTTAGTTTGGCTGGATATGAAATATTGGGTTGAAAATTCTTTTAAGAATGTTGAATATTGGCCCCCACTCTCTTCTGGCTTGTAGAGTTTCTGCCAAGAGATCAGCTGTTAATCTGATGGGCTTCCCTTTGTGGGTAACCCGACCTTTCTCTCTGGCTGCCCTTAACATTTTTTCCTTCATTTCGACTTTGGTGAATGTGACAAATATGTGTCTTGGAGTTGCTCTTCTCGAGGAGTATCTTTGTGGTGGTCTCTGTATTTCCTGAATTTGAATATTGGCCTGCCTTGCTAGACTGGGGAAGTTCTCCTGGATAATATCCTGCCGAGTGTTTTCCAACTTGGTTCCATTCTTCCCGTCACTTTCAGGTACAGCAATCAGACGTAGATTTGGTCTTTTCACATAGTCCCATATTTCTTGGAGGCTTTGTTTCTTTTTATTCTTTTTTCTCTAAACTTCTCTTCTTGCTTCATTTCATTCATTTGATCTTCAATCACTGATACCCTTTCTTCCAGTTGATCAAATTGGCTACTGAGGCTTGTGCATTCGTCACATAGTTCTCGTGCCATGGTTTTCAGCTCCATCAGGTCCTTTAAGGACTCCTCTGCATTGGTTATTCTAGTTAGCCATTCGTCTAATTTTTTTTCAAGGTTTTTAACTTCTTTGCCATGGGTTCGAACTTCCTCCTTTAGCTCGGAGTAGTTTGATCATCTGAAGTCTTCTTCTCTCAACTCGTCAAAGTCATTCTCTGTCCAGCTTTGTTCCGTTGCTGGTGAGGAGCTGTGTTCCTTTGGAGGAGGAGAGGCACTCTGATTTTTAGAGTTTCCAGTTTTTCTTCTCTGTTTTTTCCCCATCTTTGTGGTTTTATCTACCTTTGGTCTTTGATGATGGTGACGTACAGATGGGATTTTGGTGTGGATGTGCTTTCTGTTTGTTAGTTTTCCTTCTAACAGGACCCTCAGCTGCAGGTCTGTTGGAGTTTGCTGGAGGTCCACTCCAGACCCTGTTTGCCTGGGTATCACCAGTGGAGGCTGCAGAACAGCAGATACTGGTGAACAGTAAATGTTGCTGCCTGATCATTCTTCTGGAAGTTTTGTCTCAGAGGAGTACCCGGCCGTGTGAAGTGACAGTCTGCCCCTACTGGGGGATGCCTCCCAGTTAGGCTACTCGAGGGTCAGGGACCCACTTGAGGAGGCAGTCTGTCCGTTCTCAGATCTCCAGCTGTGTGCTGGGAGAACCACTACTCTCTTCAAAGCTGTCAGACAGGGACATTTAAGTCTGCAGAGTTTTCTGCTGCCTTTTGTTTGGCTATGCCCTGCCCCCAGAGGTGGAGTCTACAGAGGCTGGCAGGCTTCCTTGAGCTGTGGTGGGCTCTACCCAGTTCGAGCTTCCCAGCTGCTTTGTTTACCTACTCAAGCCTCGGCAATGGCAGGCACCCCTCCCCTAGCCTCGCTGCTGCCTTGCAGTTTGATCTCAGACTGCCGTGCTAGCAATCAGCGAGGCTCCGTGGGCGTAGGACCCTCCGAGCCATGCACGGGATATAATCTCCTGGTGTGCCGTTTGCTAAGACCATTGGAAAAGTGCAGTATTAGGGTGGGAGTGACCCGATTTTTCAGGTGCCATCTGTCACCCCTTTCTTTGACTAGGAAAGGGAATTCCCTGACCCCTTGCGCTTCCCAGGTGAGGCGATGCCTCGCCCTGCTTCGGCTCACACTTGGTGCACTGCACCCACTGTCCTGCACCCACTGTCCGACACTCCCCAGTGCGATAAACCCGGTACCTCAGTTGGAAATGCAGAAATCACCCGTCTTCTGCGTCACTCATGCTGGGAGCTGTAGACTGCAGCTGTTCCTATTCAGCCATCTTGGCTCCACCCTCCCACAGTATCAAAAAAATCTTTAGAAAGCATAACTTACTAAAACTGGCAAGATGAAATAGAAAATCTGAATAGCTTAATATCTCCTTTTTTAATTGAATGTGTAATTTTTAAAATATTTTCCATAAAGAAAAGTATTTTACAAATACAGTCCCCAACTTATAATGGCTCAAATTACAATTTTATGACTTTACTGTAGGAGTATGAGCCAGAGACAAAACTCCTCAGACATGGAGTTAAAGAAGGAAGGGGTTTATTCGGCCAGGGGCATTCGAAGATTCCTGTCTCAAGAGCCGAGCTCCCCAAGTGAGCAGTTCTGTCCCTTTTAAAGGCTCACAACTCTAAAGGGGTTCATGTGAGATGGTCCTGATCGATTGAGCAAGCAGGGGGTATGTGACTGCGGGCTGCATGCACCGGTAATCAGAATGGAACAGGACAGGATGGGTTTTCACAGTGCTTTCCCATACAATGTCTGGAATCTATAGATAACATAACCTGTTAGGTCAGGGGTCGATCTTTAACTACCAGGCCCAGGGTGTGGCGCTGGGCTGTCTGCCTGTGGATTTCATTTCTGCCTTTTAGTTTTTACTTCTTTCTTTGGAGGCAGAAAGTGGGGATAAGACAATATGAGGGGTGGTCTCTTCCCTTATTGCAATGATATGAAAGCAATACACATTCAGTAGAAACCGTTCGAATGCCCATACAGCCATTCTGTTTTTTACTCTTACTGCATTATTCAATAGATGGCATGAAATATTTAAGACTTTATTATAAAATAGACCTTGTATTAGATGGTTTTGCATAACAGTAGGCTAATGTAAGAGTGCTCAGGACATTTAAGGTAGGCTAAGCTATGATGTTAGGTAGGTTAGGTGTATTAAATGCACTTGGAATTTAACAGTATTTTCAACTTACAGTGGGTTTATCAGGAAATAACCCCATGGTAGGTCAAGGCACATCTGTAGTTAATTAATTGGCCCCTCAGGGCCCCTCATGTTGATTAGTGTTTGTTTTTCCTTCCCTTGAGTCTGAACTTGTGACTTGTTTTGACCAAAAGCATGTGGCAGAAGTGATGCTGTGTCATTTCCAATGCTGAAACTTAAGAATCTGTTGCTCCAGAGTTCACCAATTCATCTATTCCCTCTCCTAAGTCAAATACTATGGCAAAAGTCTGACTACCCTGAGACCACCATGCTGTAAGGAAGCCTTGCTAGCCATGTGGAGAGAGAAACCATGTGCAGAGCACCAAGGCACCAGACTTATGAGTGAAGGCTTTGAATTCCCAGCCCGCCCACCACCTGAATGCAGCTGAGTGAATGGCCCCAACCAGTATTGTGTGGATTAATGTCTGCCCAGATTAGCTTGAATTACTGACCCACAGAATTGTGAGAAAATAAAATGGTGATGGTTTTAAGCCACTATATTTTGAAGTAGTTTGTTAGGTAGCAATAGATCATCAAATCACCTTCACACGATGCATTGATAACTCCTTATCCCACCAATGTGTAATGCCACTATTTCATCTACTAAATTATGTGGTTCACCTGGCTAATTTGTTTTTTGTACTTTTAGAAGAGACTGGGTTTCACCATGTTGGCCAGGCTGGTCTCAAACTCCTGACCTCAGGAGATCTGCCCACCTCAGCCTCCCAAAGTGCTGGGATTACAGGCGTGAGCTCCCACTTATGAGTGGGAACATGCAGTATTTGGTTTTCTGTTTCTGTGTTGATTCATTCCCTTAGGAAGATGGCTTCCACCTGCATCCATGCTGCTGCAAGGGACGTGATTTCATTCTTTTTGGGGCTGCATAGTATTCCATGGTGTATGTGTACCGCATTTTCTTTGTCCAGTCCACTGTTGATGGGCAGCTGGGTTCATTCCGTGTCTTTGCTATTGTGAATAGTGCTGTGATGAACATGGTAGTGCCTGTATCTTTTTGATAGAACGTAAATCATAGTTTCAATGACAGAAATTGAATATTAGCTGTTGTACTGTAGTTTGTTAATTTTGTTTTGCATTCCTTTTATAGAAATCATCCCCCTTTCTCAGGCTGATGTGTGCCTTGACTGTACTAGAATCAAGGCCATGTACTTAGAAAGCGGGAAGTAAAAAAAAAAAATTATCTGGTTAATTTAATTCAAGATTTTTTTCACAAAGTCTTTTTTTAGACTATTTATATTGAGAGAATTGCAGATTCACATGCAGTTGTAAGAATAATACAGAGAGCTCCCATGTACCCTTTACCAACTTCCCCTTGTGGTAACATTTTGCAAAATGATATTACAATGTCCCAACCAGGACATTGACACTGAAACAATACATATGTGGAACATTTCCATCACGACAAGATCCCTCTTGTTGCCCTTTTACAGCCACACCCACTTCCCTCCTGCACATACAACCCAACAACTAATCTATTCCTATAATTTTGTCATTCCAAGAAAGTTACCTAAATAGAATCATTATAGAATAGAATATGACTTAAAAACATTTTTTTTTTGAGACAGGGTCTCACTCTGTCTCCCAGGCTGGAGTGCAGGTGCAAACCTGGCTCAGTACGGCCTTGATCATCTATGCTTAAACAATCCTCCTGGCTCAACCTCTGTGTACCTGGGACCACATGCTTACCACCATGCCTAGCTATTTTTTTTTTCTTTTTTTTGTACATACAGGGTCTCACTTTGTTGTCCAGGCTGGTGTCAAACTCCCAGGCTCAAGTGATCCTCTCACCTCGCCTCCCAAAGCATTGGGATTACAGGCCTGAGCCACCATACTTGGCCTATATTTAACCTCTTGCAATTGACTTTTCTCCCAGCATAATTATTTGGAGATTAAAATTGTTGTACATAAACATAGTTAATTCCTTTTTCTTGCAGAGTAGTATTACACGGTTTAATATACCCATAGTTTGTTTAATCAGTTATCTGATGCAGGACATCTGAGTTGTTTCCAGTTTTCAGCTATTACAAATAAAGCTGCCAAAAACATTTATGTACAGGTTTTTGTGTGATTCCAAGTTTTAGTTTCTCTGTGATAAATGTCAAAGAGTACAATTGCTGGGTCATATAATAGTTGCATGTTTTGTTTTTTAAAAGTCACCAAACTATTTTCCAGAGTAGCTGTACCATATATTCCTACCAGCAAAGTGTGATCAACCTAGTTTCTCCACTTCCTTGCCAGCCTTTGGTGTTGTCTCTGTTTTTTATTTTAGCCATTCTGATGGCTTTTTTATTTTAGCCATTCTGATGGGTGTGTAGTGATGGGTGTGTAGTGATTAAAGTCACAATGTCCCATTGTGACTTTAATTTGCATTTCCCTGATGGCTGGTGATGTTGAACATCTTTTCATGTGATGTTTTGCCCTCTGTATATCATTTTCAAAATGAGGTATCAATTCATATATTTTGCTCATTTTCTAACTGTTGAGTTTTGAGAATTCTTTATATTCTGTAGATACCAGTCCTTTGTCAGGTATGTAGTTTGCAAATACTTCCTGACATCTGTAGCTTATCTTTTCATCCTCTTCATATGGCACATACTTTTGCACAGTAAAAGTTTTTAATTTGATAAAATCCTATTTATTGATTTCTAAAAATGGATTATGCTTTTGCTATCAAGTCTGAGAACTCTTTGCCTAGCTTGAGGTCTTGAGGATCCTGTGTTTCTCCTATGTTTTTTTCTAAAAGTTTTATGATTTTACACATGATGTTTAAATCCATGATCTACTTTGAGTTAATTTTTATGGAAGTGAGATGTTTAGGTCGAGGTTTTGTTTTTGTTTTTGCTTATGGATATCCAATTGTTCCAACACCATATATTGGAAAAACAATAGTTCTTAAATCATTTTGAATGTATTAGTAGGTAGACTCTTATGCTCTTATTTAGTATGTGAGATGTGTAAAACATGATCGATATTTTTCAGGTTAAGGAGACTCATTGCTGTTGACACAGAGATGTGGTGTTCAAATTTCCCTTCAAGGAAGGATTTATTGCCCCAGCTGCAGTGGGTATTTTGATGGAACAGCTTTCAGCTTTTAATCCCTTCCAGGAACACATCACTATGGAAAGCCGTCTCACCAAGGTCATGCCCTTCTAGGAGAGGCTCACATCTAATGATGGATGGATGGATAGAGGCAGGGACATAAAAGACCAGCCACTCTGACTCAAACTGGGATGATCCTTTTGAGCCATTTCTGCTCCAGAACTCCCTGTGGCTGAGTCTGTCAAACCTATATCACAGTTCAACTTCCTCTCTACCCAGTCCCTCTTTCTCCCTTCCTTCCCACAGGTGTTGATTGCAAGAGCACTCCTGAACATTAAACTTTGTCTCAGGGACTGCTTCTTAGAGAACCCAAACTGTGACATTTGTTTTCATTTCTATTTAAGGCTAAGCATGAAATATGTCTTAAGTGTTGAGAATGATGAGGTCATAACTTGTTGGTTTTTATACTATGATTATAGGAGGCAGTCACCTCAGGAAAACTTTCATCAAAAAGTCTACACTCCCGTGGCCAGGCATGGTGATGGGTGCCTGTAATCTCAGCTACTTGTGAGGCAGAGGCAGGAAGAATACTTGAGGCTAGGAGTTTCAGACCAGCCTGGACAACATAGTGAGACCTCATCTCTACGAAAAAATAAAAATAAGTAAACAATTAGCTGTGTATGGTGATGCATGCCTATAGTCCCAGCTACTCTGGAGGATAAGGAGGGAAGATCACTTGAGCCCAGAAGTTCAACATTACAGTGAGCTATGATTATGCCACTGCTCTCCAGCCTAGGTGACAGAGGGAAATTCCATGATTAAAAATTCATGGGTGAATATCCCACACATGAAGGTAGACATGTGGGTGAATATCCCACACATGAAGTACAACAGGGCTAAATCTTCCCATTAACATGTGATCAAAAATTAGTCATGACCCTTGAAATAATCCCCAAGCTTATACCAGCTCCCATTCTGATGTCCTTCACATACTTTTCTGGACGTATGTGACTTTTCTGACTTATTAAACTGAGAAGGAAGCCATAGAACAGGCTTTTATCTGATTGTACAATTTCAAGTTCTAGTGTCATTGGGGGTAGGGGCAGAGAAGAAAGAGTAAAGGAAGAGCCCAGAGGAACTACCATTCAATTTCCAGTCATGTTCCCCAGCCCCAGAAAATTTAAAGTCGCGATGATTTGGGGAGAGAATTTTAATAGTGTTCTTTTCCTCTGCCTTCTATTTCATTTAATACAATAGAAGAGCCATGAATTTTTATTTTCAGTAGAATCAGTGTTTTTTTAAAAAAGATATTTTTCTACTCTATTTCAGATCTTCAAACTTTTATTTTTCTTCTGGTTGTTTTTTCCTGGTAAATCCATGGCAAAATAATAGGCATCCCCATAAATCAGGAAAAGCATTGCCCTCCAAAATGTTGAAGTTGAAAAATGTCAGTTGCCTTTCTGTATTAGAGTTTCCAAGAGCAAAATCCATCTATTGTCATTATTTATGCCACTGAACATTTGTAGCAGGGTCAGGTTTATACAGAAGCAGAAAAAAAGTTCATACCCATAATTTCCTCTGACATTAATGTTGCCTGTTTATTCTCCCCCATCCCGTTTTGAAAATGCATCCTTCAGTTGAATACGGCTTACTGAATATCCATTCTGTTTAGTCTGCACTTGTGGCAGAAAACAAACACCAATTGGCATCTTGGCTCTATTACATTTTCTGACAAGTGGGAACTAATCTGTTTGTGAAGCAATAAATACTTGGTTCTAAGTAATTCAGCAAATTGGCTTATTTAGCCTTAGCTCTGCAGGGATGCATAGAGGGAAGAATTTTCACCCATCATTGATTCCACACTGAAATATGTCATGATTGTCTATGCACACAGCTGGAAAAACTTTATGATGGTGTAAGTGAATGAGCAGTTAGTGAAAATACTCTTCTAAGTCAGTGCAAAACTAGTAATCGTACTGTTTACCTACATGGCTAGAGCAGACTTTTCTCTGTTCATGAGAGCTGATTGTCAAATATTCAGGAATTTCTTGAGCTGGATATTAAACCTTGGAACTTTGAAATTGAGAGTATTTATACCACAGAAATTGTCAATCACTTCAAATCAGGGCTTTTTTGTTTTTCTTGAAAGCTGATTTATAAATATACCACTGTCTACTTTAAATCAATGTAGGAAAGTTACAAAGGAGTCGGCAGGTAAAAAACTTAAGGTTTCACAGGGAAAAGTGAATAACACAAGTAAACTAAAAATACACAAAGAAATGGATGACAAAGGTGTAATAACTTGATGAAGGTGCACAGATGGGGATACACGTTTTAAGCATTTGAAAGATAGAGACCTGTTTATTAGACTAAAGTATGATAATGATTTATGAAAGTGCATCTGAAATAAGGTGTTTTTTGTTTGTTTGTTTGTTTTTTAATTTTTAAGGCAGGGTTTCGCTCTGTCACCCAGTCTGGAGTGCAGTGGTGCAATTACATCTCACTGCAGCCTCGACCTCCCAGGCTCAAGCGATCCTCCCACCTCAGTGTCCCAACTAGCTGGGAGAGCAGGCATGCACCAGGCCCGGTTAATTTACTTATTTCTTTTAATTTTTTGTTGAGACGGAGTCTCACTATGTTGCCCAGGCTGGTCTAGAACTCCTGGGCTCAAGTGATCCTCCCACCTTGGCCTCCCAAAGTGCTGGGATTACAGGCGTGAACCACCACACCAGGACTGTTTTCTTGTTAGTTGAAGTATGCAGCACAAATCGTAATGATTGTCACAAATCATAATGAACACACATGCATAAGTGCCATCCAGGTAATCAAGCAAATTTTGAAGAGACAAAAAGGTACTCTTTTGTGGAAAGTAATGGATTAGACATTCCCAGCAGTCATGCAACAGGAAGATGACTTGCAGCAGCATAACAGATATATTTGAGCTTCAAGAATTTCAGCTGCACAATAAACCCTCCTCTGAATTTTTATTTTATTGGATGCTGCAAATTAGTTTATAAAGACTTTTTAGCTGTGCTGATGAATGTATGTAATAGCTAAATTTAGGGCTTTTGAAAAACTCTCCTTTGAGATTTGAAGGTGTTGCTTAGCTACTCTCTCCTTAGTGAAGTCTCTTATTTAATGTAATTTCTTATGCTGCAGGTGGGGGAAATGGGCTATTGAATATCTTTCTGTCAGGTTCAGTAGCATATGCAGTATACATATTGCTGTTACTTTTGTATTGTTAACTTCTTAGTCTCCTAAAACTAGACATTTAAACCATCATTTGTATATATGTGTGTTCTTTTCTTGGTGGAAAGGTTTATGTAGACACAAATTATAGTTATCATGATAACACCTGTAGTTATACTAAACTGTTTCATTTTTATTGTAAAAATTTTTTCAGTATCAGACCTTTAAAACAAAAATTATACAGTAGCATGAGTTTGTGCTAAATGGTTTTCCAAAATAATTGAACCTTCAGTAGGGAACCCATCCTTTAAGCCTATGTTTTCTTCCTTGAGTCTCCTAGAGCTTCCAGTTCACTACACCTAAACCCGGGCATGCACCATTGGAGGATCAACAGAGTCCTTATCAGCGGCGGCAGTTGGTAATATTTTTGTCGGTGTGCTTATCAGCTTTGACTGGGATTAGTCCTGTCTTACATGGAGTATAATAATTCCATGAGAATAGAGATGTGGCCTCTAATTCCTTTATAATTCCTAAAAGTACTCAGAACTATGTTATAATCCACACACTGTGGGGACCAAATAAACTTTTTTTGTTGACCAAGTTGTAGTCCAGGTTTAAATAACACCTGCAAGGAATTCAAAATTCTACCTAATTAAGTCCATTGATCTTTACATCATTCTTAATAGTTAATATTATTTCCATCATATAAATGGGAAATCAGAGAATAGAGAGGTTCTATTACTTACCAACAATTATACAGAGAGATGGTAGCAGGACATAAGGGGTCTTTTCTCTGTTTCTTTGCTTGAGTATATCATATGCTCTAGCATGATGGCAGTGACTATCCCATGAGTTGGTGGTGGGTTGATAAATGCTGTCTCACCACACACTTGCTTTGCTTAGGCACACTCCAGGAGTTGCGTTTCTAGCAGTGATAATGGGTTTGCATCTGTTGTAGGGCAGTTGAAAGAGTTAGCAGTGTGGCTGTCTATGAAACTGACAAGACTAATTTTGTTGGCTCTAGTATGGAACAGTAACCACTGTGCTACCAGCCATAGATCTACTTTAGTGCCAAAATGCAAATGTCACCATCCAGTTCCATTGTCAACCAGCCCATCTAAGTAATGCTATGACTAGTAAATTAGAACTGACCCCTCAGCTATCAAATAAATTTGTAAATTAGTTATACACTAGGACCATTTGGATATAAGAACGTTGAATCCACTCTTTTTGTCCTGTTGCACTTGTCATGAATATTGGATTATAAGGACTACTTTTCACCCTAATTGGAAACTTGGAAATCAACTTCATCCTAGTCATATAAACATTATGTAAAAATACCACCAAATTCTGATTTTTAAAAAATTAAGACTCTTAAGCATAAATCTCCCAACCTATTATGAAATTAGAAATGATCTCCAGATTTATTATTTTATTTATTTATTTATTTATTTATTTATTTAAGAAAGGGTCTTGCTCTGTCACCCAGCCTCATCCTCCCAGGCGCAAGCAATCCTCCCACCTCAGCCTCCTGAGCGTCTGGGACTACAGGCATGTGCCACCATGACTAGCTAATTTATTTACTTATGTATTTATTTGTAGAGATGGGATCTCACTATGTTGCCCAGGCTTGTCACGAACTCCTGAGCTCAAGCAATCTTCCTACCTTAGCCTCCCAAAGTGCCGGGATTACAGGTGTGAGCCACCATGCCTGGCCAATCTCTAGATTTAGACCATAGAATTTTATTTAAAAATAAACTAAAAAGCTGGGCGCGGTGGCTCATGCCTGTAATCCCAGCACTTTGGGAGGCCTAGGCGGGTGGATCATGAGGTCAGGAGATCGAGACCATCCTGGCCAACATGGTGAAACCCCGTCTCTACTAAAAATACAAAAATTAGCCAGGCGTGGTGGCGGGCACCTGTAGTCCCAGCTACTTGGGAGCTGAGACAGGAGAACTGCTTGAACTCAGGAGGTGGAGGTGGAAGTGAGCCGAGATAGTGCCACTGCACTCTGGCCTGGGCGATGAGCAAAAACTCCATTTCTAAATAAATAAATAAATAAATAAATAAAAACTAAAAAGACTTCTGGTTTCCGGTCCAAAATATAAAGATCTTAGAAGTTGCCACTCCATCCAAACATCAAATAAAAAGCTGAATAATCTGAAAAATCAACTCTTTTTAGCTCCATCAGAGAAGTGAATTCACAGGGCAAACTGCTGCCCCCATAATTGAAAAAATAGGCAGCAAATACAGAAAATCACAACTTAACCAGACCAGAAACCTAGGAGCAGAAACCTCTGCAGGAATCAGAGTAGGAAAACCTGAACTGTAATTGACAAATTGCTGGAGACTCAATGTGAACAATTCTGAGTTAAAAACTCCAGGGAGACCATTCATGGGGGGCCCTCACATTTTCATGAGTTTTACCTCCAGGAATGCTACCAGATTCTCACAGAGAATATTGGTGACATATTCCCTCATGTCTCCATCAGCAGGGAAAAGGAACCATTTTGCAATACACTGGAGGATTCTGTTCCTTTTAATAAGGCCTTTCCTCAGGAGAAACTATTTTATCAGAGCCTAATCTCCTGGGGTTTTTCCAGAGACTAATTGACCTGGGGGAAGGGAAATACACAACTCCAGCTTGCTTCAGCCTTCCAGTCCCACCTAAGGGAGGAAAAAAAACTGAGAAGCACTGGTGAAGGTTGCAGTCCAGGGGCATAGACTCATCAAAAGACCAAGACCTAATCATAGGACTATAGAACACTTGGATTAGTTATAAATGTACATTACAAACTCTTGGGCAACAACTAAAATAATGTTTTTAAAGAAGTACAATTGATATGCTTAGAAGATAAAATGCAATTATGTAAATGTAATTAATGCTCAATTAAAATAGCGAAAAAAAGTATGGAATATAAAAACAGGAACAAAGAAAAGAACAACAAATAGAAAACAGTACCAACTATACTAGATATTAATCTAGGTATATCAATAATGATGTTAAACATCAATGATCTATAGAGAACCCAGAAATAAGGACAAATACTTACAGCCAACTGATCTTCAACAAAGCATACAAAAACACAAATTGGGGAAAGGATGCCCTGTTCAATAAACGGTACTGAGAAAATTGGCAAGCCACATGCAGAAGAATGAAACTAGATCCCCATCTATTACCGTATACAAAAATCAACTCAAGATGGATCAAAGACTTAAATCTAAGACCTAAAACAGTAAGAGTTCTAGAAGATAACATCAGAAAAAACTCTTCTAGACACTGGCTTAGGCAAAGAATTCATGGCTAAGACCCCCAAAGCAAATGCAACAAAAACAAAAATTAAAAAATGGAACCTAATTAGACTAAAATGCTTCTGCACAGCAAAAGAAATAATCAGCAGAACAAACAGCCCACAGAGTGAGAGAAAACATTCACAAAATTTGCATCTAACGAAGAACTAATATCCAGAATCTACAAGAAACTCAAATCAGCAAGAAAAAAAAAACAATCCCATAAAAATGTGGGCTAAGGACATGAATAGACAATTCTCAAGAGAAGATATACAAACAGCCAACAAACATATTAAAAAATGCTCAACATCACTCATCATCAGGGAAATGCAAATTAAAACCACAACGAGATACCACCTTACTCCTGCAAGAATGGGCATAATAAAAAAGTCAAAAAACAATAGACGTTGGTGTGGATGTGGTGAAAAGGGAACAGTTTTACCCGACTGGTGGGAATGTAAATTAGTACAACTATGAAAAACAGCATGGAGATTCCTTAAAGAACTAAAAGAACTACCTTTTGATCTAGCAATCCCACTACTGGGTATCTACCCAAAGGAAAATAAGTCATTATATAAAAAGATACTTACACACACATGTTTCTCCATGATTGGCAATTGTAAAGATGTAGAACCAACCTAAGTGCCCATCAACCCATGAGCGGATAAAGAAAATGCAGTGTATATATACACCATGGGATACCAGTCAGGAATAAAAAGGAACAAAATAATGTCTTTTGCAGCAACTTGGATAGAGCTGGAGGCCATAATTTTAAGTGAAGTAACTCAGCAGTAGAAAACCAAATATCATATGTTCTCATTTATAAGTGAGAGCTAAGCTATGAGGATGCAAAGGCATAAGAATAATACAATGGGCTTTGGGAACTTAGGGTGCAGGGAAGGTCAGGAGTGGGATGAGGGATAAAAGACTACATATTGGGTACAGTGTATACTGCTCAGGTGGCGAGTGCCCTAAAATCTCAGAAATCACCACTAAAGAACTTACCTATGTAAGAAAAAACCACCTGTACCCCCAAAGCTATTGAAATACAAATCAAAAAATTTTAAAAAACAATAGTGTAACTACACAAATTAAATTACATGGATTGGGCTGGGTGCAGTGGCCCACGCGTGTAATCCCAGCACTTTGGGAGGCTGACATGAGCGTATCATGAGGTCAGCAGTTTGAGACTAGCCTGACCAATATGGTGAAACCCTGTCTCTACTAAAAATGCAAAAATTAGCTGGGCATGGTGGCACACGCCTGTAATTCCAGCTACTCAGGAGGCTGAGGCAGGAGAATTGCTTGAACCCAGGAGGCAAAGTTTGCAGTGAGCCAAGATTGCCCCACTGCACTCCAGCCTGGGTGACAGAGCGAGACTCTGTCTCAAGAAAAGACAAAAAAAAAAAAAAAAAAAAAAAAAACATGCATTGTATTTTAATGCATGAGGATTAAAAAACAAGAAAGGGTCAAAAAACAAGATCCAACTATATGTTCCCTTCAATAAATTTCACTTTAAATATAATTACACATGTAGATTAAAAATAAATGGATGGAGAAAGATATACCATGCTAACATTAATCAAATCATATACCCTACTAAAATTAAAAACTGTATATATTTAAGGTGTACAATGTGATGATTTGCCATTCTGCCATGTGAAGACACAGCATTCAGGCTTTTCTCCATGTGAGGATGCAGCAAGAAGAGCCACCCAAGAGCTCTCTTAGAAGGGAGCAAGCCCTTAACAGATGGCAAATCTGCTGGCACCCTGATCTTAGACTTCTCAGCCCCCAGAACTGTGAGAAATAAATTTCTATTATTTATAAATTACCCATCTATTTTACTATAGAAGCAGGAATAGTCTGAGACAGAATGGACTGAGAATATTGATAGATATCTATGATTGATTGATAGATATATAGATATAGTCTTTCCCATCTTGAGTATCTTGTCAGTGTAATTATAATCATCTTTATTTCTTGAAAACAAATGACAAGAAAGCAATTATCACTCTAAAGAAAATGTATAGAATACTGGCTAAATCCCCAAACAAGAAAAAATTAGGTCTCTTACATTAATTTTTAGCTATTTTAACAACTTACAGAAAACTAATTACGAGGTTTAGTTAAAAATTCAATTCCCCCAATCCAGAATGAGATAATTCATACTCCATGTAACTGTAATTCTTAATCTCTTCTTTTCCAGTTGTTTGAATCATCACTGTAATTTAGCCTTTATTCAAGTGGGAGACTTTTTATTCTCTTGAGAGAAAGAAAACAAAGGGACATTAAGTACTTCTTTTGAATTATTCTTTAAAGCTTGAAATATAGGTTTTATTTCAAAACCAGTGTTTGTACGTTGAATAGCATACAAATCAGGGTTTGAATTAAAATCCTTGAAGATATGACAGAAATATAGTATTATTTTAAATTTAAATGTTCCTTAACATGTAAATGACTTAAAATTACATTAATATATTTTTTGTCATCTGCACGTTCTGTAGCTCCTTTGGAGTTATTAAAATAAAAGTGTATTGAAAACAAAAACAAATACCTAACATAAAAGCACATGCTGAAACCTCTTTATAATTGTATAATTAAACACCACCAAGTTGGGAAATGTTAAATTGAACATTTCATACAACCATCAGTTCCTGGCGTTGCATACAATGAGAGCATTATTCAACTTCACTCACAAATAACTGGTTGAATAATATAATTACATTTAAACTAGCTAATTGGATCTCAAAGTCAGAGCTACGACCAACCAGTGAATCCTGAAGATTTTGCGAATTACTCATATTGTGTTCTTGAGCAGGAGCAATATGTTTTTAGAAAGGTGTTGACAGAGAGGAAGGTAAATGAAAAGGAAGGCAAGAGAACAGTAAAGAAGGCAAACTTGAGTTCTCCATAATAAGTGCCTTAAGATCACCAATGCTAGATGACCAAGATTTTTCTCTTTTTTTTAAATTATATATGTTAAGTTCTCGGTTACATGTGCAGAACGTGCAGTTTTGTTACATAGGTATACACGTGCCATGGTGGTTTGCTGCACCCATCAACCTGTCACCTACATTAGGTATTTCTCCTAATGTTATCCCTCCCTTAACCGCCCACCCCCCACAGGCCCTGGTGTGTGATGTTCCCCTCCCTGTGTCCATGTGTTCTCATTGTTCAACTCCCCCTTACGAGTAAGAACATGTGATGTCTGGTTTTCTGATCTTGTGATAGTTTGCTGAGAATGATGGTTTCCAGCTTCATCCATGTCCCTGCAAAGACATGAACTCATCCTTTTTTATGCCTGCATAGTATTCCATGGTGTATATGTGCCACATTTTCTTAATCCAGTCTATCATTGATAGACATTTGGGTTGGTTCCAAGTCTTTGCTATTGTTAATAGTGCCACAGTAAACATACATGTGCATGTGTCTTTATCGTAGAATGATTTGTAATCCTTTGGGTATATACCCAGTAATGGGATTGCTGGTTCACATGATATTTCTAGTTTTAGATCCGTGAGGAATTGCCACACTGTCTTCCACAATGGTTGAACTAATTTACACTCCCAACAGTGTAAAAGCATTCCTATTTTTCCACAACCTCTCCAGCATCTGTTGTTTCCTGACTTTTTAATGATCGCCATTCTAACTGGGGTGAGATAGTATCTCATTGTGGTTTTGATTTGCACTTCTCTAATGACCATTGATGATTAGCATTTTTTCATATGTCTGTTGTCTGCATAAATATCTTCTTTTGAGAAGGGTCTGTTCATATCCTTTGCCCATTTTTTGATGGGCTTGTTTGCTTTTTTCTTGTAAATTTAAGTTCTTTGTAGATTCTGGATATTAGCCCGTTGTCAGATGGATAGATTGCAAAAATTTTCTCCCATTCTGTAGGTTGCCTGTTCACTCTGATGATAGTTTCTGTTGCTGTGCAGAAGCTCTTTAGTTTAATTAGATCCCATTTGTCAATTTTGGCCTTTGTTGCCATTGCTTTTGGTGTTTTAGATGTGAAGTCTTTGCCCATGCCTGTGTCCTGAATGGTATTGCCCAGGTTTTCTTCTAGGATTTTTATGGCCCTAGGTCTTATGTTTTAGTCTTTGATCCATCTTGAGTTGATTTTTATATAAGGTGTAAGGAAGGGGTCCAGTTTCAGTTTTCTGCATATGGCTAGCCAGTTTTCCCAACACCACTTATTAAATAGGGAATCTTTTCCCCATTGCTTGTGTGTGTCAGGTTTGTCAAAGATCAGATGGTGGTAGATGTGTGGTGTTATTTCTGAGGACTCCGTTCTGTTCTACTGGTCTATATATCTGTTTTGGTACCAATACCATGCTGTTTTGGTTACTGTAGCCTTGTACTATAGTTTGAAGTAAGGTAGTGTAATGCCTCCAGCGTTGTTCTTCTTGCCCAGGATTGTCTTGGCTATGTGAGCTCTTTTTTGGTTCCATATGAAATTTAAAGTAGTTTTTCCAATTCTTTGAAGAAAGTCAGTGGTAGCTTGATGGGGATAGCATTGAATCTATAAATTACTTTGGGCAGTAAGGCCGTTTTCATGATATTGATTCTTCCTATCCATGAGCATGGGATGTTTTTCCATTTGTTTGTGTCCTCTCTTATTTCCTTGAGCAGTGGTTTGTAGTTCTTCTTGAAGAGGTCCTTCACATCTCTTGTAAGTTGTATTCTTAGGTATTTTATTCTCTTAGTAGCAATTGTGAATGGGAGTTCACTCATGATTTGGCTCTCTGTTACTGGTGTATAGGAATGCTTGTGATTTTTGCGCATTGATTTTGTATCCTGGTACTGCTGAAGTTGCTTATCAGCTTAAGGAGATTTTGGGCTGAGATGATGGGGTTTTTCTGAGCATACCATTATGTCATCTGCAAACAGAGACAATTTGAATTCCACTCTTCCTATTTGAAAACCTTTATTGCTTTCTCTTGCCTGATTGCCCTGGCCAGAACTTCCAATACTATGTTGAATAGGAGTGGTGAGAGAGGGCATCCCTGTCTTGTGCCAGTTTTCAAAGGGAATGCTTCCAGTTTTTGCCCATTCAGTATGATATTGGCTGTGGGTTTGTCATAATTAGCTCTTATTATGTTGAGATATGTTCCATTGATACCTAGTTTATTGAGAGTTTTTAGCATGAAAGGCTCTTGAATTTTGTTGAAGGCCTTTTCTGCATCTATTAAGATAATCGTGGTTTTTGTTGTTGGTTCTGTTTATGTGATGGATTACGTTTATTGATTTGCATATGTTGAACCAGTCTTGCATCCCAGGGATGAAGCCCACTTGATCATGGTGGATAAGCTTTTTGATGTGCTACTGGATTCGGTTTGCCAGCATTTTATTGAGGATTTTCGCATCAATGTTCATCAGGGATATTGGCCTAAAATTCTCTTTTTTTGTTGTGTCTCTGCCAGGCTTTCATATCAGGATGATGCTGGCCTCATAAAATGAGTTAGGGAGGATTCCCTCTTTTTCTATTGATTGGAATAGTTTCAGAAGGAATGGTACCAGCTCCTCTTTGTACCTCTGGTAGAATTCAGCTGTGAATCTGTCTGGTCTTGAACTTTTTTTGGTTGGTAGGCTGTTAATTATTGCCTCAATTTCAGAACCTGTTATTGGTCTGTTCAGAGCTTCAACTTCTTCCTGGTTTAGTCTTGGGAGGGTGTATGTGTCGAGAAATTTATCCATTTCTTCTAGTTTTTCTAGTTTATTTGCGCAGAGGTGTCTATAGTATTCTCTGGTGGTAGTTTGTATCTCTGTGGGATTGGTGGTGATATCCCCTTTATCATTTTTTATTGCATCTATTTGATTCTTCTCTCTTTTCTTCACTAGTCTTGGTAGCGGTCTATTTTGTTGATCTTTTCAAAAAATCAGCTCTTGGATTCATTTATTTTTTTGTGTCTCTATCTCCTTCAGTTCTGCTGTGATCTTAGTTATTTCTTGTCTTCTGCTAGCTGTTGAATTTGTTTGCTCTTTCTTCTCTAGTAGTGTTAATTGTGATGTTAGGGTGTTGATTTTAGATCTCTCTTGCTTTCTTTTGTGGGCATTTAGTAGTATCAATTTCCCTCTACACACTGCTGCTTTAAATGTGTCCCAGAGATTCTGGTACGTTGTGTCTTTGTTCTCATTGGTTTCAAAGAACATTTTTATTTCTGCCTTCATTTTGTTATGTACCCAATAGTCATTCAGGAGCAGGTTGTTCAGTTTCCATGTAGTTGTACAGTTTTGAGTGAGATTCTTAATCCTGAGTTCTAATTTGATTGAACTGTGGTCTGAGAGACACTTTGTTGTGATTTCTGTTCTTTTACATTTGCTAAGGAGTGTTTTACTTCCAATTATGTGGTCACTTTTAGAATAAGTGCGACGTAGTGCTGAGAAGAATGTATATTCTGTTGTTTTGGGATGGAGAGTTTTGTAGATGTCTATTAGGTCCGCTTGGTGCAGATCTGAGTTGAAGTCCTGGATATCCTTGTTAGTTTTCTGTCTCGTTGATCTGTCTAATATTGACAGTGGGGTGTTACAGTCTCCCATTATTATTGTGTGGGAATCTAAGTCTCTTTGTAGGTCTCTAAGAACTTGTTTTATGAATCTGTGTGCAACTGTATTGGTTGCATATATATTTAGGATAGTTAGCTCTTCTTGATAAATTGATTCCTTTGCCTTTATGTAATGGCCTTCTTTGTCTCTTTTGATCTTTGTTGGTTTAAAGTCTATTTTATCAGAGACCAGAATTGCAACCCCTGCTTTTTTTTGCTTTCCATTTGTTTGGTAGATCGTCCCCCATCCCTTTGTTTTGAGCCTATGTGTGTCTTTGCATGTGAAATGGATCTCCTAAATACAGCACACCTATGGGTCTTGACTCTTTATCCAATTTGCCAGTCTGTGTCTTTTAATTGGGGCATTTAGGCCATTTACATTTAAGGTTAATATTGTTATGTGTGAAATTGATCCTGTCATTATGATGCTAGCTGGTTATTTTGCCCATTAATTGATGCAGTTTCTTCATAGCATCAGTGATCTTTACAATTTGGCATGTTTTTGCAGTGGCTGGTACTGGTTGTTCCTATCCATGTTTAGTGCTTCCTTCAGGAGCTCTTGTAAGGCAGGCCTGGTGATGACAAAATCTTTCAGCATTTGCTCGTCTGTAAAGCATTTTATTTCTCCTTCACTTATGAAGCTTAGTTGGGCTGGATATGAAATCCTGGGTTGAAAATTCTTTTCTTTAAGAATGTTGAATATTGGCCCCCACTCTCTTCTGGCTTGTAGGGTTTCTGCAGAGAGATCTGCTGTTAGTCTGATGGGCTTCCCTTTGTGGGTAACCCAATCTTTCTCTCTGACTGTTCTTAACATTTTTTTCCTTCATTTCAACCTTGGTGAATCTGACAATTATGTTTCTTGGGGTTGCTCTTCTCGAGGAGCATCTTTGTAGTGGTCTCTGTATATCCTGAATTTGAACATTGGCCTGCCTTGCTAGGTTGGGGAAGTTCTCCTGGATAATATCCTGAAGAGTGTTTTCTTTTTATTGTTTTTGAGATGGAGTTTCACCCTTGTTGCCCAGGCTAGAGTGCAATGACATGATCTCGGCTCAACGCAACCTCCGTCTCCTGGGTTCAAGTGATTCTCCTGCCTTGGCGTCCTGAGTAGCTAGGATTACAGGCATGCACCACCACGCCCGGCTAATTTTGTAGTTTTAGTAGAGACAGGGTTTCTCCATGTTGGTCAGGCAGGTCTCAAACTCCTGACCTCACGTGATCCGCCAGCCTTGGCCTCCCAAAGTGCTGGGATTACAGGCGTGAGCCACTGCGCCCAGCCAGAGTGTTTTCTAACTTGGTTCCGTTCTCCCTAACACTTTCAGGTACACCAATCAAACATAGATTTGGTCTTTTCACATAGTCCCATATGTCTTGGAAGCTTTGTTCGTTTCTTTTCACTCTCTTTTCTCTAATCTTGTCTTCTTGCTTTATTTCATTAGTTTGATCTTCAATCACTGATATCCTTTCTTCTGCTTGATCGAATAGGCTATTGAAGCTTGTGTATGCTTCACGAAGTTCTAGTACTGTGGTTTTCAGCTCCATCAGGTCATTTAAGCTCTTCTCTTCACTTATTTTTCTAGTTAGCTTGATCTAACCTTTTTTCAAGGTTTTTAACTTGCATGTGATGTTTTAGAACATGCTCCTTTAGCTTGGAGAAGTTTGTTATTACCAACCTTCTGAAGCCTACTTCTGTCAACTCATCAAACTCATTCTCCATCCAGTTTTGTTCTCTTGCTGGCGAGGAGTTGTGTTCCTTTGGAACAGAAGAGTCATTCTGGTTTTGGGAATTTTCAGCCTTTCTGCTCTGGTTTCTCCCCATCTTTGTGGTTTTATCTACCTTTGATCTTTGATGTTGGTGACCTACAGATGGGGTTTTGGTGTGGATGTCCCTTTTGTTGATGTTGATGCTATTCCTTTCTGTTTGTTAGTTTTCCTTCTAACAGACAGGCCCCTCAGCCGCAGGTCTGTCGGAGTCCTGTGGACATCTGCTGGATGTCCACTCCAGACCCTGTTTGCCTGGGTATCACCAGCAGAGGCTGCAGAACAGCAAATATTGCTGCCTGATCCTTCCTCTTAAAGCTTTGTCCCAGAGGGGCATCTGGTTGTATGAGGTGTTTGTCGGCCCCTACTGGGAGGCATCTTCCAGTCAGGCTACATGGGGGTCAGGGACCCACTTGAGGAGGCAGTTTAGTCCGTTACTGGAGCTCGAACACCATGATGGGAGAACCACTGCTCTCTTCAGAGCTGTCAGGCAGGGGCGTTTAAGTCTGGAGAAGCTGTTTGCTGCCTTTTGTTCAGATATGCCCTGCCCCCATAGGTGGAATCTAGAGAGGCAGTAGGCCTTGCTGAGCTGCAGTGGGCCCCGCCCAGTTCCAGCTTCCCTACCACTTTGTTTACAATGTGAGCATAGAACCACCTACTGAAGCCTCAGCAATGGCGGGTGCCCCTCCCCCCACCAAGCTCCTGTGTCCCAGGTTGATCTCAGACTGCTGTGTTAGCAGCAAGCAAGGCTCCGTGGGCGTGGGACCCACCGAGCCAGGCACGGGAGGGGATCTCCTGGTCTGCTGGTTGCAGAGACCATGGGAAAAGCACAGTATTTGGGAAGAAGTGTATCATTCCTCCAGGTACAGTCACTCACAGCTTCCCTTGGCTAGGAAAGGGAAATGCCCCGACCCCTTGCACTTCTCGGGTGAGGTGACGCCCCACCCTACTTTGGCTCACCCTCCATGGGCTGCACCCACTGTCCAACCAGTCCCAGTGAGATGAACCAGGTACCTCAGTTGGAAATGCAGAAATCACCTGTCTTTTGCATCCCATCTCGCTGGGAGCTGTAGACCAGAGCTGTACCTATTCAGCCATCTTGGAAATGACCAGGATTTTTCTTTAAAACCAAGAAAAGAAGATACTGCCTTTTCCCCTCATACTTAACTTTTTTCCATTAAAATACATATACAGAAAAGTGCACAAAATATAAATATTCAACTTAATGCTTTATAATAAAATATAACACAACTACCACCCAGGTCAAGAAATAGACTATTCCAGCACCCCAAAGACCTTTATAGAACCCCACTCAATCACTACTGCACCTCTCTAAAGTTAACTACTCTCTTAACTTCTAATACCATAGTTTAGTTTGGCCTCGTCTTGAACCTTACATAAAGATTCATAAAGAACATAAACTGGCTGGGTGTGGTGGCTAATGCCTGTGGTCCCAGCACTTTGGGTGGCCAAGGTGGGCGAATCATGAAGTCTGAAGTTCAAGACAAGCCTGGCCAACGTGGTGAAATCCCGTCTCTACTAAAAATACAAAAAATTAGCTGGGCTGTTGGCAGGTGACTGTAATCCCAGCTACTCAGGAGGCTGAGGCAGGAGAATCGCTTGAACCCAGGAGGCAGAGGTTGCAGTGAGCTGAGATCGCACCACTGCACTCCAGCCCGGGCAACAGTGCGAGACTCCATCTCAAAAAATAATAATAATAATAATAATAATAATATAAACTTTGGTGTCTGGCTTCTTTCACACCATATTCATCCTTATGATTGCAGTTCCTTGTAGATGGTCACATTCATTGCTGTAGAATATCCCATTATCCACAGATACTACAATGTACTGAACCATGCTAATGCTTATTCTTCGATGATTTGCTCTGTGACAAAGATCTGTTTGAATTTTTTTTATATTAGATTATGGCCTTTCTCGATGACCTATCCATTTCAATGGCCCTTAAAAATACTTCTTTAAGATACATAAATTTTGATTGTTTAATTTCTCTAAAGAAGCAATTTTAAGCTGATATTTCCAATAACTTGTACTGTTGTAATTATTTCATATTATTTTCAAAGACTGTTTAAATGGCAGCAGATGTGTGCTCCTGCAGTGGGTTTTACCTGAGTGAAGGGAGGACTAGCTGGGAAAAGACAAAGAAGAAAACTCAAGTTTAATGTTTTAAAATATTTATTTATAACCCTAGGAAAAAAATATTAAGCCATCCAGACGGAATACACATCTTAAAAGAAAGAATTAAGGGCTATATAACTTTTTGAGATCTTTAAGTTTTTCCACACAATAAATAAAAACATAGCTGCTTTCAAAGATGGAATTTGGGAGGCACTGAAGGTTTCTGTTTCAGTTTGGTTCTTTGGCATAATCTGTAGTAAGTTCCTCTGGCCATCTTAAACAAGAAAAAATATACCTGAAGGATATCAGGGGTGACAGAATGGCTAGGAGGCTGGATAACAGGGCCAGAACAAAGGCTATCCTGGGGCCTAGAAAGACATCTCATAGCAAGAAGTATATGGGCAGATGCCGCCAGTCAGATTGATTAAACTAGTTTTCTGTCTCTTTATTCCTCAGTTCAAGATTCATATTCCAAGAAGGGAGCAAATGATTGCTTTAACTTGGGTCAAATGCCTTCCCTTTAGCTAGGCAGAGAACTTCAGTGACTGTCCCATAAGATGCAATCCAACGATTTAAAGGTAAAACTAATAAATGGAACTGAGGGGCCTATAGGAAAGGGAAGTAGATGCAAAGAAGCTCCAGCCCGGTGATAGTCACTGCGTACTCCTACAACATGACCTCCATTTGGGATCAACATGGGCCAATGGAAATTGAAGCCTCTGCTTTATACATAGAATTTGGGGAATGTACAATTGATGTCATTATTGCCCCTGCCTTCTTCAGACTAGTAGGTTGTTGGGAGCATTGCTACTCCCAGACTTTATTCCTGGAGATCCCTGTCCTTACAAAAACAAATAAACAAAAATAGAAGTTTCAAGCTTCTTAGAGCTCCTTGGAGAAGACAGGAAAAGGATCCCCTAATGATTATTGTCACATTTCTTCATGTGAGTTGCATCTAATCATTGTTAGAATTGAAACATTCATTTATTTTTGGATGAAGAGTTTATTCCCTTCTAAAGTTTTTGTTCACAAGAAAACACTGGTAAAAATTTAAATGCTTTTGAGAGGTGACAGCGTGCTGGCAGTCCTCACAGCCCTTGCTCGCTCTCAGCGCCTCCTCTGCCTGGGCTCCCACTTTGGCGGCACTTGAGGAGCCCTTCAGCCCACCGCTGCACTGTGGGAGCCCCTTTCTGGGCTGGCCAAGGCCGGAGCCCACTCCCTTAGCTTGCAGGGAGGTGTGGAGGGAGAGGCGCGAGCAGGAACCCGGGCTGTGTGCAGCACTTGAGGGCCAGCTGGAGTTCCAGGTGGGCGTGGGCTTGGCGGGCCCCACACTCAGAGCAGCCGGCCGGCCCTGCTGCCCCGGGCAATGAGGGACTTAGCATCCGGGCCAGCGGCTGCGGAGGGTGTACTGGGTACCCCAGCAGTGCTAGCCCACCGGCTCTGTGCTCGATTTCTCACCAGGCCTTAGCTGCCTTCCCGCAGGGCAGGGCTCGCTACCTGCAGCCCGCCATGCCTGAGCCTCCCACCCCCTCCATGGGCTCCTGTGCGGCCCGAGCCTCCCCGACGAGTACCACCCCCTGCTCCATGGCGCCCAGTCCCATCAACCACCCAAGGGCTGAGGAGTGCGAGCGCACGGCACAGGACTGGCAGGCAGCTCCACCTGCAGCCCCTGTGCGGGATCCACTGGGTGAAGCCAGCTGGGCTCCTGAGTCTGGTGGGGACGTGGAGAACCTTTATGTCTAGCTCAGGGATTGTAAGTACACCAATCAGCACTCTGTATCTAGCTCAAGGTTTGTAAACACACCAATCAGCACCCTGTGTCTAGCTCAGGGTTTGTGAATGCACCAATTGACACTCTGTATCTAGCTGCTCTGGTGGGGAGGTGAAGAACCTTTATGTCTAGCTCAGGGATTGTAAATACACCAGTTGGCATTCTGTATCTAGCTCAAGGTTTGTAAACACACCAATCAGCACCCTGTGTCTAGCTCAGGGTTTGTGAATGCACCAATGGACACTGTATCTAGCTGCTCTGGTGGGGACGTGGAGAACCTTTATGTCTAGCTCAGGGATTGTAAATACACCAATCGGCACTCTGTATCTAGCTCAAGGTTTGTAAACACACCAATCAGCACCCTGTGTCTAGCTCAGGGTTTGTGAATGCACCAATGGACACTGTATCTAGCTGCTCTGGTGGGGACGTGGAGAACCTTTATGTCTAGCTCAGGGATTGTAAATACACCAATCGGCACTCTGTATCTAGCTCAAGGTTTGTAAACACACCAATCAGCACCCTGTGTCTAGCTCAGGGTTTGTGAATGCACCAATCAACACTCTATCTAGCTGCTCTGGTGGGGCCTTGGAGAACCTTTGTGTCCATACTCTGTATCTAACTGATCTGATGGGGAGGTGGAGAACCTTTATGTCTAGCTCAGGGATTGTAAACGCACCAATCAGCACCCTGTCAAAACAGACCACTCTGCTCTACCAATCAGCAGGACATGGGTGGGGCCACATAAGAGAATAAAAGCAGGCTGCCCCAGCCAGCAGTGGCAACCCGCTTGGGTCCCCTCCCACACTGTAGAAGCTTTGTTCTTTCGCTCTTTGCAATAAATCTTGCTACTGCTCACTCTTTGGGTCCACGCTGCTTTTATGAGCTGTAACACTCACCGCCAAGGTCTGCAGCTTCACTCCTGAGCCAGCGAGACCACGAACCCACCAGAAGGAAGAAACTCCAAACACATCCGAACATCAGAAGGAACAAGCTCCAGACGCGCCACCTTAAGAGCTGTAACACTCACCGCGAGGGTCCACGGCTTCATTCTTGAAGTCAGTGAGACCAAGAACCCACCAATTCCGGACACACTTTGGCTATTACCTGTAAAGAGTGAAAGGCCCTTGCTTTTCTTGGAATCATGTGACATTAAAAGAAATTTCCCTCTAGTTTTACTGTGTATACGTGTAAAAGGAAAATGATTGTTAGAAGCTTTTCTGATTTAAAGAGAGTATTACAGAGTCTGTGATCCCTGTGCTTTATGGAATTAATCTAACACCTATATTTTGCTTCTAAGAAAGATAAAGTCAGTGACCAAGGTAGCATCCTTCATCCCTGGTACTTCAAGTTGTAACTTTTTAAATGCTTTTGCTTAGAGAAAACTGATATGTGTGAACATATAAACATAAGGTACAAAATCCAAGGACTGTAGCCCATGGAGTAAAGTCAGAGGTAGGGCCAATTTTTTCACCAGTCCAGTGCACTGGTTGTTTATGGCAGTCATCCATTCTGACTGATCACTGCCTGCTCTGACCAGCCTAGCAGTGGGGATGCAGTGAGGATGACCACTTCTCTTCTCTTGTCCATCTTCTGGCTGGAGAAGTCAGAGTGGTAGAAGAGAGGAGTAGAAGGAAAGGGGCAAAGAGCTTTTCACCAAACTGGGTTTGGTTGTGTTACTAGTTCTCTCATCACATTTTGGCTATCAATAGCATTTCATTATGGCAAGCATCTAATGCTTGCTCTTTAATGAGAAGCATTTGTAGTTTGTTGGAGACCTTAATCCAGGGGACCTCCACTGCAACATTTTCTGATGTAGGTAATGTTAACTCTCAGTTAGAGGTCAGTGAAAATAAAGAATTGATTATTTTTCCCATTAAAGATTATATACCCTCTGAATTCTATCCCCATCAAAAAACTATAGTGTCTGTCTGAGATGTTATCTAGGGGTCGGAAAAGGAGACCCAACAGAGTATTTCAAAGACATAGGAAGAAAAATTAAAGCCATTTCCTATTTCCATCCTATTGGGATTTTTTCCCTTTCTTCTTTTTGTGAAGCATGCAGGGACAGAGTAACCCTCCATGTAACCTGTGTTGGCAAATTCCAGAATGTCCCTCTCAATCCAGCTCAGGTGATAATGAAATGAACAGGTTTATAGTTTGAAGTCCAAAGAAGAGTATCTTCAGAGCTGGTGGCTCTGGCTCCATTTTCCTGTAATTCTGTCTTCTCTGCCCTTCCCTGGTGTCAGTTTCATCTTCAGACACATTGGAGATGCAAGTCTAGGCCTCATATCCAGGTGTGACAAGGGCCAGAAAAAGGAGGTGATGCTTCCAGAAGTTGCAAAAAAAAAAAAAACCCCAGCAAACTGCTCTTTGCATCTCACTGACATGTATTAAGTGTTAGGCTTAACCATTAACCACTTATTCATTCAAGCAACTTCTGTCCGAAGGGATAGAGGGGCTCAGATTCTTCTGAGTCTGGGGACTTCATGGGGTTCTAGGTATGCGGAAAGAGAGAACAGATGCTGGGTAGGCACTCTAGTATCCTTCCCAACAATTTTAATAGCTAGACGGTATTCTATTTATTGATGATTTATTTATCTAATCACCTATTATTAGAGACTTAGGTTGTTTCTAACTTTTCACAAGAATTCATAAGAATATATAACCTTGTACACATTCTTTTGAATATCTCTCATATTATTTGTTGGGATATAATTCTAGTAAGATGATTATTCAAAGTATTTACATATTTTTAAGCATTTGATTTATATTCCCAAATTGCCTTCAGCATAGTTGTTCCAAGTTGTACTCACACCAGAAGCATATAAGAATCCTATTTTCCCACCTATGCAGCCATGTGTATTTTACTTCTTTCAAATCTTTACCAATATAGTGGTTGGAAAGAGGTGTTTCATGGTGCTTCAATTGGCATTTCTTTAACTATCCATTAATCTGAATACTTTTATATGTGTTTCTTGGCCAGTTCTGTTTCTTATATTATGAATTGTCTGTTCATGTCCTTTACCTATTTCTATATTAGGGTGTTGATAATTTTCTTTTTTTTTCTTTTTGAGACGGAGTCTTGCTCTGTCACCAGGCTGGAGTGCAGTGGTGTGATCTTGGCTCACTGCAACTTGTACCTCCCGGGTTCAAGTGATTCTCCTGCCTCAGCCTCCAAAGTAGCTGGGACTACAGGCATGTGCCACCATGCTCAGCTAATTTTTTTTTTTGTATTTTTAGTAGAGATGGGGTTTCACCATGTTGGCCAGGATGGTCTCAATCTTCTGACCTCATGATCCGCCCACCTCGGCCTCCCAAGGTGCTGGGATTACAGGTATGAGCCACCACACCCGGCCTGGCATTGATAATTTTCTTACTGATTTTAAATACTCTCTCTATATTAATGATGTTATTAACACTATGGTATTTATTGTAAAATTTTATTAACAGTATTTTTAATATAGAAATTATAAAAATAATTTATAATCAAGTATATAAATTATGTTTTATATTTTGCCTTGATAACATGCTTTGAAAGGCCTTATTTGATTCTAAGTTATGTAAATATTCAACTATACTTTCTTCTAGTAACTCATTTAAGTCCTTTTAAATTTTATTGAGCTATAACTTATAAACCTTAAAATCCACCCACTTAAGGTGTACTATCCAGTGGTTTAGTTTTATTTATGGAGTTATACAACCATCACCATTATCTAATTTTAGAATATTTTTATCACCCTAAAATGATTATATTTAAATCTATGATTTATTTTGTGCTAATTTTCATGTATGGCATTAAGCAGTGGTCCAACTTTATTCTTTTGCTTGTGAACATTCAGTTGTCTGAGCACTGTTTGTTGAAAAGACTGTTCTTTCTCTCATCAAATTATCTTGTCACTCTTGTTGAAAATCAGTTGACCATTAATGTAAGGATTTATTTCTGGATTCTCAATTCTATCCCATTGATGTATTAATATATATCTATCCTTATGCCAGCAAGTGCCACACTGTTTTGATTACTATATGTTTGTAGTAAGTTTGGAAATCAGGGTATGTAAGCCCCCTACCTTTGTTCTTCTTTTTCAAAATAGTTGGCTATTATGGACCCCCTGCATTTCCATATGAATGTTAGGATCAGCTTATCAATTTCTGAAAAAAAAAAAAGGCGGCCAAGATTCTGATAGATTGCATTGAATCTGTTGGTCTATTTGGGGATATTGCCATCTTGA
Organism: Homo sapiens; assembly: GCF_000001405.40. NCBI lineage: Eukaryota > Metazoa > Chordata > Mammalia > Primates > Hominidae > Homo > Homo sapiens. Next base: position 43,652,051 of record NC_000003.12, on the reverse strand, counting down.
CAATATTAAATCCTCTGACCCAAGAACATGGAATATATTTCTGTTAATTTAGATCTTCTTTAAAAAGGAACTCTGCTTTGTAAGAAATGCTATCTTCCTTATTACTCCCGGCCCCCAACCCTAGAGGAGTAGAACCAGAAGAAGATGGGGAAATGGTCTTGCTACAACCAACCCTAGACTGTATTGTAGGAGGAAATAACTTATTTGAATCGGATATTAAATTTAAGTTTTGAACTTGATTGAACTAAGTATTAATCACTAAAAAACACTGGTACAAAATAGAACCTGCCCCTGATGTTATTAAGGGCCAGGCAAGGAAGATTCAACATAGAATGGTTGAAGGCATGATTGGAAAAATCTTAAATGTTTTTCACATTTAAAATCCAATGAGTTAAGACTTCCAGAAACCTGTTTGGACAAGGCTAAATAAGAGAAAAATTCTGCTCTTAAGGAATTCATCATCTTTTCCACATTCAAATGATTTTGCCAGGACTGCCACTAACCCCCATGGCATCTCTGTGCTAGCTAGAAAAAAATACTCCCTCTTTTTTTAAGACACTTTACTTCTATCTTCCAAAAACTCTTCCACATGTACCACGGGAACAGCATCCCTTTCAATACTGTGTAGACTACATTTGTACTGCACAATTAAACACAGCAGCTGTTCTCAGAGGAGGAATTCTGTAGTTTTACGGTGTGTCTTTATGGCGTAAGATTATATATCCTTTTATCTTGTTCTTCTAATCATTTTGTGTAGGTTTTTCTTCTGTACACTATTAAAAGCTTTGTAAAAGTGAGAACAGTGTAGGACACACAGTAGATATTTATTAATTATTTGTAGACTTGGGTTGAATAGAACTGAATGACATTTTTTGAAAGGTGTTATGAATAGTGTTTTTATCCTAAACTTTGTTCAAATTTCTCATCCATTATTTCACCTAATTTTACTGCCCTCCCCCAAAAGAAACAGTTTTTGGAAAACAGCTTTTGTATAAGTAACAGATTAATTGAAAGGAACATGTACTTGCTGGCACACGAGAGGGCAAGAAATAAATGATGTGATGAGCATATTATTATTAATTTTATCAAAAGGTGCTTCCTCAAGGAGGATGCTATTGTGCTCCTTATGAAAGGAAATTAACATAGGTATCTGTTAATATAAATATAACTTCCGCAAGTGTGTTTGAAGCCTTTGACTTCTTTCAGAGTTAGCAAATTGTTCATTTATTACATTAATGTTAGTACAACACACAATTTATCAGACAGGAAATTTTAAAAGTTGAATGAACACAAACAGAACACAGCAGCTGGCTTAAGATAATTATTTAGGGCTATGGGGAAATGTTCAAAACAGCCTAAAAACTGGAAAAAAATGATTCAGTACTTTAATTCTTGTATGTGTGCTTTTCCCTAAGCTCTGCTCTAATCCTGACCCAGAAATCCTTTGGTAATAGTCTTGCTTTTTATTGAAGTTGTTTTTTCTAACTTATGCAAAATAATTGCTGATTGCATCTTTTTCTGTGACTCTTTATGATTTAAAAAAATCAGGTTACTGCATGTTATTTCTTAGTTTTATTTCCTGTGTTTTCTTTTTCTAACTACCCAAAAAGGACACCAGACTTGATATCCTTGATCATTTTGCTCAGTAACTTAATGGTTTTTCTCGGTTTTCAGAGAAGTTTCCTTTCAACTACCTCTTATTTTTCTTATCTTACACCCATAAATGCTTTTACCTACCAAGAGAAGGAACACTGGGAGGAGTTCAGCCAGGGACAGTCGAAGAATTGGCCGCTGGATGGCCAAACTCCAGGGGAAGATCATCTTCCCAATTCTATCCCCTTTATAGCTCCCCATCCATCCCATGGAGAGCCACCTCCACCACTCAATAAAACCCCCACATTCACCATCCTTCAAGTCCGTGTGTCACCTGATTCTTCTGGGACACTGGACAAGAGCTTGGGATACAGAAAGCTGTCACACTGGCCCTCTGCAAAAAGACGCTTGCAAAAAGGCAGAGGGTCCACTGAACTTGTTAACACTTACGCCGTACATGGGACAGCAAGGCTAAAAGAGTGCACTGTAGCACACACCCTCTTGGGCTCAGGGAGTCACAGCCTCCGACCCCTGGACACTGCTGTGGGGCCAGAGCCCAGTACCTGGCTCCTGCACCTGTTTGTCTGCATGCTCCCCATCCCATAAGGGATTTGAGCAGCAGTGGTGACTGAACAGACAAGCCACACCCCTGTCGCACGTCCTGCAAGGGGGGTCAGGGAACTCATCCGTTTCACTAATTAGCACAATAGCTGAGGTCACGGGACCTCGGCTTAGCCTGAGTTTGGATCCCAACTCTGTCTCCTATTAGCTATATGATTTGAGGGCATTAGTTACTTTTTCTAATGCCTATCTACTTTCACTTTGCTCAAATCTTGAGTGTGCTGTGATCTCTAACTCTTACACCTCCCTGCTTACTGCCACCTAGAGCTGTTCTGTGTTAGGTGGCCAAGGGAGGGTTAGATAATTCTCCCCCATATAAATAACCAATGAATTCACACTATTCATTCAGCAAGTGTGACAGGACACTCAAGTTTCAGCTTAGTGTTTCCCTTAACCCTAGACAGTTATGGTTCCTGCTCTTACATGGAATCTCATGAGTGGAAACAAAAGCAGCTATAATCAGTATATGTTATTTAATGTTTTTAAGGCTACATTTTGTACTTACGTTAATATAAAAGGATTCTTATTTAATTATCACAGTAAATAATCTGTGAGGTAAACAAAACATAACCCCATTTTATGGAAGAGTAAAGTCAAATGTAAAGCAGTTATTTATACAATATCTCTGGAGCCAAGACATGAACCTACATGGTTCCTGACTCAGTGGGGCTGTCACAGGTGTTTGAACCAGAGCAACTTCATCTTGAATAGGGGCTGGGTAAAATAAGGCTGAGACCTACTGGGTTGCATTCCCAGACAGTTAAGGGATTCTAAATCACAGGATGAGATAGGAGGTCAGCACAAGATAGAGGTCATAAAGACCTTGCTGATAAAACAGGTTGCAGTAAAGAAGCCAGCTAAGGCTGGGCGCCGTGGCTCACGCCTGTAATCCCAGCACTTTGGGAGGCCAAGATGGGCGGATCACGAGGTCAGGAGATGGAGACTATCCTGGCTAACACGATGAAACCCCGTCTCTACTAAAAATACAAAAAAATTAGCCGGACGTGGTGGTGGGCGCCTATAGTTCCAGCTACTCGGGAGGCTGAGGCAGAAGAATGGCGTGAACCCGGGAAGCGGAGCTTGCAGTGAGGCAAGATCACGCCACTGCACTCCAGCCTGGGCGACAGAGCCAGACTCCATCTTAAAAAAAAAAAAAAAAAAAAAGCGGGCTAAAACCCACCAAAACCAAGAAGGCCACGAGAGTGACCTCCGATCGATCACCCTCACCGCTACACTCCCACCAGCACCATGACAGTTTACAAGTGCCATGGCAATGTCAAGAAATTACCCTGTATGGTCTAAAAAGGGGAGGCATGAATAATCTCCTTGTTTAGCATATAATCAATGAATAACCATAAAAATGGGCAAGCAGCAGCCCTTGGGGCTACTCTGTCTATAGAGTAGCCATTATTTTATTCCTCTACTTTCTTAATAGACTTGCTTTCACTTTACTCTATGGACTCGCCCTGAACTCTTTCTTGGCAAGATCCAAGAACCCTCTCTTGGGGTTTGGATCCAGACCTCTTTCCTGTAACAGGGCCACTTTCTCCCTGCCCATTGGCAGAAGATGAAATTTTCCACCTCCAAATGTTTGTCTTCCCTGGATTTAAGCTAGTCTGACCTGCCTCAAGGTTAGAAATTCAGGTTGAAAAGTTAATGAATGCATTTTTATTTTGTATTTATGTGAATAAAGTATAAAACTTTATACGTGAGGAGCCCAGAGGAGGGTGAGATTCTGGAAACTTGGATAGGTAAGAGAAGGTCTCCTGGGCTTCAGCCTGGCTGTAACAAGTAACCTAGATGGAGGTTGGTTCCCTTGAGAGAGGTGAAGAAAGAATGTAACAATGAGTTGGGCACGACAGCCAAAGTAGAGAGATGAGGGCCTTTAATGGTAATAGTAGTAGTTGAGGCCACAGCTATGCTAATCACTGTTCATGTATTTAAACTTGTTTAATCCCTACATAAACCTATGAATTCTGAGCTATTGTTACCCCTTTACAAATGAAGTAACTGAAACCCAGAAAGGTTTAGTCTATCTATGTCACACTACTGTTAAGTGATTGCATCAGAATCCTAAACTCTGCAATCTGTCTCCTTCCAGAGCCCATGGGGATATGGCTGAAAAGTAATTAGAATTAGACAGTAAAAGGATTTGAATACTTCGAATACAGAGTAGTGTAATATGATGGTTAATTTTATGTCTTAACTTCACTGGGTTAAAGGATATCCAGAAAGCTGGTTAAACATTATTTCTGGGTGTGCCTGAGAGGATGTTTCCAGAAGAGATTAACATTTGAATCAGTAGTCTGAGTAGAGAGGAATTTGCTCTCACCAAGGTGTGTGGGCATCACCCAAGCCGTTGAGGGCCTAGAGAGAATAAAACTGTGGGAGGAGGGTGAATTCACTCTCTCTTCTGGAGCTGAGACAGCCATCTTCTGCCCTCGGACATCTAAGCCCCAGGTTCTCAAGCCTTCAGACTCTGGGGCTTATACCAGCGCTCCCCCAACTCCCCAACACACACCACTGGCTTTCCTAATTCTCCAACTTGCAGACAGCAGATCATGAGATTTCTCACCCTCCATAATCATGTGAATCAATTCCCATAATAAATCTCTTATCTATCTATTTATCTATGGGTATAGAATACACACACACACACACACACACACACACACACACACACATATATACACATATCTTTTTGGTTCTGGTTCTTTGAAGAATCCACACTAATACATCCAGTCTTCTGGACTGGACCCATAAATCAAAGGAATCATACTCCAATGGCAGACTTCCAGACCTTAACAGTTGGAAGGTCGAAGAGAATTTTCTTCTTTGGGAAGGGAGGGTGCTTTTCTTTCCCGCTTTTCACAACAAGCCAGTCTTTACCTTCCAGATGTTGTACCCCCACCTTCAGGGATGACTCCATAATACTTGAAAGGGACAGTTTGTGTGACCAGCACAAATTTCTCATTTTAGAACCGAACTAGAAGTAAACAGTCATATGAGTCTATGTAAAGAAAGAAGAGGCCAGGTGTGGTGGCTCACACCTGTAATCCCAGCATTTTGGGAGGCTGAGGCAGGCAGATCACCTGAGGTCAGGAGTTCAAGACCAGCTTGGCCAACATGGTGAAACCTTGTCTCTACTAAAATACAAAAATTAACTGGGCGTGGTGTGGTGGCAGGCACGTGTAATCCCAGCCACTCAGGAGGCTGAGGTGGAAGTTGCAGTGAGTCAGGATTGCACCACTGCACTCCAGCCTGGGCATCAGAGCAAGACTCCGTCTCAAAAACAAACAAACAAAAAGTAGAGACTACTGACTCAGCATGACCATAACCATGGCTCTGTCTTCTAAGGCTCCTTCCACCATAAATTTGTTATCTTAGTTCTCTAACTCAAAGACGAATTCACAATCTCAGCCACACATGCTGTTACAATGAGCATATACAAGGATCAGGACAGGTAGCAGGCAG